>NC_000014.9:17004448-17304448 GCF_000001405.40 Homo sapiens | reverse complement strand
TGGTAGGGGAAGATATTCCCTTTATCACCATGGGCCTCAAACCGTCCGAAACGTCCACTTCCATATACTACAAAAAGAGGGTTTCAAACCTGCTCTATGAAAGGCAATGTTCAACTCTGTGACTTGAATGCAGACATCACAGAGCAGTTTCTGAGAATACTTCTGTCTAGATTTTATAGGAAGATATTCCCGTTTCCAATGAAATCTTCACAGCTATCCAAATATCCACTTGCAGATTCTACAAAAAGAGTGTATCAAAAATGCTCTGTCAAAAGGAAGGTTCTTCTCTGTTAGTTGAGTACATACGTCATAAAGGAGTTTCTGAGAATGTTTCTGTCTAGTGGTTATGGGAAGATATTTGCTTTTTCCCCGTAGGCCTCAGGGCGCTCCAAATGTCCACTTGCACATGCTACAAAAAGAGTGCTTCAAAGCTGATCTCTGAAAGGGAATGTTCAACTCTATGAGTTGAATGCAAACATCACAAAGACGTTTCTGAGAATGCTTCTCTCTAGATTTGATATGAAGATATTCCCGTTTCCAACGAAATCTTCAAATCTATCCAAATGTCCACTTGCAGATTCAACAAAAAGTGTTTTTCAGAACTGCTCAATCAAAAGAAAGATCCACCTGTGTTAGCCGAGTTCACACATCACAAACAAGTTTATGAGAATGCTTCTGTCTAGTTTTTATTTGAAGATATTTCCTTTCTCACCATAGACCTGAAAGCTGTCCTAATGTTCACTTCCAGTTACTACAGAAAGAGTGTTTCAAAACTGCTGTATGAAAGGGAATGTTCAACTGCTGTGACTTGAATGCACACATCACAAAGAAGTTTCTGAGGATGCTGCTGTCTACTTTTTATACGTAATCCCGTTTCCAACGAAATCCTCCAAGCTATCCAAATATCCACTTGCAGATTCCACAGAAAGACTGTTTCAAAACTGCTCTGTCAATAGAAAGGTTCAACTCTGATAACTGCGTGCATATATCCCAAAGAAGATTCTGAGATTGCTTCTGTCTAGTTTTTATGGGAAGATATTTCCCTTTTCACCGTAGGTGTCAAGGCGCGCCAAATGTCCACTTCCAGATACTACAAAAAGAGTGTTTCAAACCTACTCTGTGAAAGGGAATATTCAACTCTGTGACTTGAATGCACATATCACAAAGAAGTTTCTGAGAATGCTTCTGTCGAGATTTTATATGAAGATATTCCCGTTTCCAACGAAATCCTGAAATCTATCCAAATATCCCCTCGCAGATTCTACAAAAAGAGTGTTTCAAAACTGCTCTGTAAAAAGAAAGGTTCAACTCTGTTAGTTGACTACACACATCACAAACAAGTTTCACAGAATGCTTCTTTCTAGCTTGTAGGGGAAGATATTTCCTTTATCACCATGGTTCTCAAACCGTCCGAAACGTCCACTTCCACATACTAAAAAAACAGTGTTTGAAACCTGCTCTATGAAAGGCAATGTTCAACTCTGTGACTTGAATGCAGACATCACAGAGCAGTTTCTGAGAATGCTTCTGTCTAGATTTTATAGGAAGATATTCCCGTTTCCAACGAAATCTTCACAGCTATCCAAATATCCACTTGCAGATTCTACAAAAAGAGTGTATCAAAACTGCTCTGTCAAAAGGAAGGTTCTTCTCTGTTAGGTAAGTGCATACGTCATAAAGGAGTTTCTGAGAATGTTTCTGTCTAGTGGTTATGGGAAGATATTTGCTTTTTCACCGTAGGCCTCAGAGCGCTCCAAATATCCACTTGCACAGACTACAAAAAGAGTGCTTCAAAGCTGCTCTCTGAAAGGGAATGTTCAACTCTATGAGTTGAATGCAAACATCACAAAGACGTTTCTGAGAATGCTTCTGTCTAGATTTGATATGAAGATATTCCCGTTTCCAACGAAATCTTCAAATCTATCCAAATGTCCACTTGCAGATTCAACAAAAAGTGTTTTTCAGAACTGCTCTATCAAAAGAAAGATCCACGTCTGTTAGCTGAGTTCACACATCACAAACAAGTTTATGAGAATGCTTCTGTCTAGTTTTTATTTGAAGATATTTCCTTTCTCACCATAAACCTGAAAGCTGTCCTAATGTTCACTTCCAGATACTACAGAAAGAGTGTTTCAAAACTGCTGTACGAAAGGGAATGTTCAACTCTGTGACTTGAATGCACACATCACAAAGAAGTTTCTGAGGATGCTGCTGTCTACTTATTATACGTAATCCCGTTTCCAACGAAATCCTCCAAGCTATCCAAATATCCACTTGCAGATTCCACAGAAAGACTCTTTCAAAACTGCTCTGTCAATAGAAAGGTTCAACTCTGTTAGCTGCGTGCATACATCCCAAAGAAGATTCTGAGATTGCTTCTGTCGAGATTTTATATGAAGATATTCCCGTTTCCAACAAAATCCTGAAATCTATCCAAATATCCCCTCACAGATTCTACAAAAAGAGTGTTTCAAAACTGCTCTGTAAAAAGAAAGGTTCAACTCTGTTAATTGAGTACACACATCACAAACAAGTTTCACAGAATGCTTCTTTCTAGCTTGTAGGGGAAGATATTCCCTTTATCACCATGGGCCTCCAACCGTCCGAAACATCCACTTCCATATACTACAAAAAGAGCGTTTCAAACCTGCTCTATGAAAGGCAATGTTCAACTGTGTGACTTGAATGCAGACATCACAGAGCAGTTTCTGAGAATGCTTCTGTCTAGATTTTATAGGAAGATATTCCCGTTTCCAACGAAATCTTCACAGCTATCCAAATATCCACTTGCAGATTCTACAAAAAGAGTGTATCAAAACTGCTGTGTCAAAAGGAAGGTTCTTCTCTGTTAGGTGAGTGCATACGTCATAAAGGAGTTTCTGAGAATGTTTCTGTCTAGTGGTTATGGGAAGATATTTGCTTTTTCACCGTAGGCCTCAGAGCGCTCCAAATATCCACTTGCACATACTACAAAAAGAGTGCCTCAAAGCTGCTCTCTGAAACGGAATGTTCAACTCTATTAGTTGAATGCAAACATCACAAAGACGTTTCTGAGAATGCTTCTGTCTAGATTTGATATAAAGATATTCCCGTTTCCAACGAAATCTTCAAATCTATCCAAATGTCCACTTGCAGATTCAACAAAAAGTGTTTTTCAGAACTGCTCTATCAAAAGAAAGATCCACCTCTGTTAGCTGAGTTCACACATCACAAACAAGTTTATGAGAATGCTTTTGTCTAGTTTTTATTTGAAGATATTTCCTTTCTCACCATAGACCTGAAAGCTGTCCTAATGTTCACTTCCAGTTACTACAGAAAGAGTGTTTCAAAACTGCTGTACGAAAGGGAATGTTCAACTACTGTGACTTGAATGCACACATCACAAAGAAGTTTCTGAGGATGCTGCTGTCTACTTTTTATACGTAATCCCGTTTCCAACGAAATCCTCCAAGCTATCCAAATATCCACTTGCAGATTCCACAGAAAGACTGTTTCAAAACTGCTCTGTCAATAGAAAGGTTCAACTCTGTTAGCTGCGTGCATATATCCCAAAGGAGATTCTGAGATTGCTTCTGTCTAGTTTTTATGGGAAGATATTTCCCTTTTCACCATAGGTGTCAAGGCGTTCCAAATGTCCACTTCCAGATACTACAAAAAGAGTGTTTCAAACCTACTCTGTGAAAGGGAATATTCAACTCTGTGACTTGAATGCACATATCACAAATAAGTTTCTGAGAATGCTTCTGTCGAGATTTTATATGAAGATATTCCCGTTTCCAATGAAATGCTGAAATGTATCAAAATATCCCCTCGCAGATTCTACAAAAAGAGTGTTTCAAAACTGCTCTGTAAAAAGAAAGGTTCAACTCTGTTAGTTGAGTACACACATCACAAACAAGTTTCACAGAATGCTTCTTTCTAGCTTGTAGGGGAAGATATTCCCTTTATCACCATGGGCCTCAAACCGTCCGAAACGTCCACTTCCATATACTACAAAAAGAGCGTTTCAAACCTGCTCTATGAAAGGCAATGTTCAACTCTGTGACTTGAATACAGACATCGGCAGAGCAGTTCCTGAGAATGCTTCTGTCTAGATTTTATAGGAAGATATTCCCGTTTCCAAAGAAATCTTCACAGCTATCCAAATATCCACTTGCAGATTCTACAAAAAGAGTGTATCAAAACTGCTCTGTCAAAAGGAAGGTTCTTCTCTGTTAGGTGAGTGCATACGTCATAAAGGAGTTTCTGAGAATGTTTCTGTATAGTGGTTATGGGAAGATATTTGCTTTTTCACCGTAGGCCTCAGAGCGCTCCAAATATCCACTTGCACATACTACAAAAAGAGTGCTTCAAAGCTGCTCTCTGAAACGGAATGTTCAACTCTATGAGTTGAATGCAAACATCACAAAGACGTTTCTGAGAATGCTTCTGTCTAGATTTGATATGAAGATATTCCCGTTTCCAACGAAATCTTCAAATCTATCCAAATGTCCACTTGCAGATTCAACAAAAAGTGTTTTTCAGAACTGCTCTATGAAAAGAAAGATCCACCTCTGTTAGCTGAGTTCACACATCACAAACAAGTTTATGAGAATGCTTCTGTCTAGTTTTTATTTGAAGATATTTCCTTTCTCACCATAGAGCTGAAAGCTGTCATAATGTTCACTTCCAGATACTACAGAAAGAGTGTTTCAAAACTGCTGTACGAAAGGGAATGTTCAACTCTGTGACTTGAATGCACACATCACAAAGAAGTTTCTGAGGATGCTGCTGTCTACTTTTTATACGTAATCCCGTTTCCAACGAAATCCTCCAATCTATCCAAATATCCACTTGCAGATTCCACAGAAAGACTGTTTCAAAACTGCTCTGTCAATAGAAAGGTTCAACTCTGTTAACTGCGTGCATATATCCCAAAGAAGATTCTGAGATTGCTTCTGTCTAGTTTTTATGGGAAGATATTTCCCTTTTCACCGTAGGTGTCAAGGGGCTCCAAATGTCCACTTCCAGATACTACAAAAAGAGTGTTTCAAACCTACTCTGTGAAAGGGAATATTCAACTCTGTGACTTAAAGGCAGATATCACAAAGAAGTTTCTGAGAATGCTTCTGTCGAGATTTTATATGAAGATATTCCCGTTTCCAACGAAATCCTGAAATCTATCCAAATATCCCCTCGCAGATTCTACAAAAAGATTGTTTCAAAACTGCTCTGTAAAAAGAAAGGTTCAACCCTGTTAGTTGAGTACACACATCACAAACAAGTTTCACAGAATGCTTCTTTCTAGCTTGTAGGGGAAGATATTCCCTTTATCACCATGGGCCTCCAACCGTCCGAAACGTCCACTTCCATATACTACAAAAAGAGCGTTTCAAACCTGCTCTAGGAAAGGCAATGTTCAACTCTGTGACTTGAATGCAGACATCACAGAGCAGTTTACTGAGAATGCTTCTGTCTAGATTTTATAGGAAGATACTCCCGTTTCCAACGAAATCTTCACAGTTATCCAAATATACACTTGCAGATTCTACAAAAAGAGTGTATCAAAACTGCTCTGTCAAAAGGAAGGTTCTTCTCTGTTAGTTGAGTACATACGTCATAAAGTAGTTTCTGAGAATGTTTCTGTCTAGTGGTTATGGGAAGATATTTGCTTTTTCACCGAAGGCCTCAGAGCGCTCCAAATATCCACTTGCACATACTACAAAAAGAGTGCCTCAAAGCTGCTCTCTGAAACGGAATGTTCAACTCTATGAGTTGAATGCAAACATCACAAAAGACGTTTCTGAGAATGCTTCTGTCTAGATTTGATATGAAGATATTCCCGTTTCCAACGAAATCTTCAAATCTATCCAAATGTCCACTTGCAGATTCAACAAAAAGTGTTTTTCAGAACTGCTCTATCAAAAGAAAGTTCCACCTCTGTTAGCTGAGTTCACACATCACAAACAAGTTTATGAGAATGCTTCCGTCTAGTTTTTATTTGAAGATATTTCCTTTCTCACCATAGACCTGAAAGCTGTCCTAATGTTCACTTCCAGTTACTACAGAAAGAGTGTTTCAAAACTGCTGTACGAAAGGGAATGTTCAACTCTGTGACTTGAATGCACACATCACAAGGATGTTTCTGAGGATGCTGCTGTCTACTTTTTATACGTAATCCCGTTTCCAACGAAATCCTCCAAACTATCCAAATATTCACTTGCAGATTCCACAGAAAGACTGTTTCAAAACTGCTCTGTCAATAGAAAGGTTCAACTCTGTTAGCTGCGTGCATATATCCCAAAGAAGTTTCTGAGATTACTTCTGTCTAGTTTTTATGGGAAGATATTTCCCTTTTCACCGTAGGCGTCAAGGCGCTCCAAATGTCCACTTCCAGATACTACAAAAAGAGTGTTTCAAACCTACTCTGTGAAAGGGAGTATTCAACTCTGTGACTTGAATGCAGATATCACAAAGAAGTTTCTGAGAATGCTTCTGTCGAGATTTTATATGAAGATATTCCCGTTTCCAACGAAATCCTGAAATCTATCCAAATATCCCCTCGCAGATTCTACAAAAAGAGTGTTTCAAAACTGCTCTGTAAAAAGAAAGATTCAACTCTGTTAGTTGAGTACACACATCACAAACAAGTTTCACAGAATGCTTCTTTCTAGCTTGTAGGGGAAGATATTCCCTTTATCACCATGGGCCTCAAACCGTCCGAAACGTCCACTTTTATATACTACAAAAAGAGCGTTTCAAACCTGCTCTACGAAAGTCAATGTTCAACTCTGTGACTTGAATGCAGACATCACAGAGCAGTTTCTGAGAATGCTTCTGTCTAGATTTTATAGGAAGATATTCCCGTTTCCAACGAAATCTTCACAGCTATCCAAATATCCACTTGCAGATTCTACAAAAAGAGTGTATCAAAACTGCTCTGTCAAAAGGAAGGTTCTTCTCTGTTAGGTGAGTGCATACGTCATAAAGGAGTATCTGAGAATGTTTCTGTCTAGTGGTTATGGGAAGATATTTGCTTTTTCACCGTAGGCCTCAGAGCGCTCCAAATATCCACTTGCACATACTACAAAAAGAGTGCCTCACAGCTGCTCTCTGAAACGGAATGTTCAACTCTATGAGTTGAATGCAAACATCGCAAAGACGTTTCTGAGAATGCTTCTGTCTAGATTTGATATGAAGATATTCCCGTTTCCAACGAAATCTTCAAATCTATCCAAATGTCTACTTGCAGATTCAACAAAAAGTGTTTTACAAAACTGCTGTATCAAAAGAAAGATCCACGTCTGTTAGCTGAGTTCACACATCACAAACAAGTTTATGAGAATGCTTCTGTCTAGTTTTTATTTGAAGATATATCCTTTCTCACTATAGACCTGAAAGCTGTCCTAAAGTTCACTTCCAGATACTACAGAAAGAGTGTTTCAGAAACTGCTGTATGAAAGGGAATGTTCAACTCTGTGACTTGAATGCACACATCACAAAGAAGTTTCTGAGGATGCTGCTGTCTACTTTTTATACGTAATCCCGTTTCCAACGAAATCCTCCAAGCTATCCAAATATCCACTTGCAGATTCCACAGAAAGACTGTTTAAGAACTGCTCTGTCAATAGAAAGGTTCAACTCTGTTAGCTGCGTGCATATATCCCAAAGAAGATTCTGAGATTGCTTCTGTCTAGTTTTTATGGGAAGATATTTCCCTTTTCACCGTAGGCGTCAAGGCGCTCCAAATGTCCACTTCCAGATACTACAAAAAGAGTGTTTCAAACCTACTCTGTGAAAGGGAATATTCAACTCTGTGAGTTGAATGCACATATCACAAAGAAGTTTCTGAGAATGCTTCTGTCGAGATTTTATATGAAGATATTCCAGTTTCCAACCAAATCCTGAAATCTATCCAAATATCCCCTCGCAGATTCTACAAAAAGAGTGTTTCAAAACTGCTCTGTAAAAAGAAAGGTTCAACTCTGTTAGTTGAGTACACACATCACAAACAAGTTTCACAGAATGCTTCTTTCTAGCTTGTAGGGGAAGATATTCCCTTTATCACCATGGGCCTCCAACCGTCCGAAACGTCCACTTCCATATACTACAAAAAGAGCGTTTCAAACCTGCTCTATGAAAGGCAATGTTCAACTCTGTGACTTGAATGCAGACATCACAGAGCAGTTTCTGAGAATGCTTCTTTCTAGATTTTATAGGAAGATATTCCCGTTTCCAACGAAATCTTCACAGCTATCCAAATATCCACTTGCAGATTCTACAAAAAGTGTGTATCAAAACTGCTCTGTCAAAAGGAAGGTTCTTCTCTGTTAGGTGAGTGCATACGTCATAAAGGAGTTTCTGAGAATGTTTCTGACTAGTGGTTATGGGAAGATATTTGCTTTTTCACCGTAGGCCTCAGAGCGCTCCAAATATCCACTTGCACATACTACAAAAAGAGTGCCTCAAAGCTGCTCTCTGAAACGGAATGTTCAACTCTATGAGTTGAATGCAAACATCGCAAAGACGTTTCTGAGAATGCTTCTGTCTAGATTTGATATGAAGATATTCCCGTTTCCAACGAAATCTTCAAATCTATCCAAATGTCCACTTGCAGATTCAACAAAAAGTGTTTTTCAGAACTGCTCTATCAAAAGAAATATCCACCTCTGTTAGCTGAGTTCACACATCACAAACAAGTTTATGAGAATGCTTCTGTCTAGTTTTTATTTGAAGATATTTCCTTTCTAATTATAGACCTGAAAGCTCTCCTAATGTTCACTTCCAGATACTACAGAAAGAGTGTTTCAAAACTGCTGTACGAAAGGGAATGTTCAACTCTGTGTCTTGAATGCACACATCACAAGGAAGTTTCTGAGGATGCTGCTGTCTAATTTTTATACGTAATCCCGTTACCAACGAAATCCTCCAAGCTATCCAAATATCCACTTGCAGATTCCACAGAAAGACTGTTTCAAAACTGCTCTGTCAATAGAAAGGTTCAACTCTGTTAGCTGCGTGCATATATCCCAAAGAAGATTCTGAGATTGCTTCTGTCTAGTTTTTATGGGAAGATATTTCCCTTTTCAGGGTAGGCGTCGAGGCGCTCCAAATGTCCACTTCCAGATACTACAAAAAGAGTGTTTCAAACCTACTCTGTGAAAGGGAATATTCAACTCTGTGACTTGAATGCACATATCACAAAGAAGTTTCTGAGAATGCTTCTGTCGAGATTTTATATGAAGATATTCCCGTTTCCAACGAAATCCTGAAATGTATCCAAATATCCCCTCGCAGATTCTACAAAAAGAGTGTTTCAAAACTACTCTGTAAAAAGAAAGGTTCAACTCTGTTAGTTGAGTACACACATCACAAACAAGTTTCACACAATGCTTCTTTCTAGCTTGTATGGGAAGATATTCCCTTTATCACCATGGGCCTCAAACCGTCCGAAACGTCCACTTCCATATATTACAAAAAGAGTGTTTCAAACCTGCTCTATGAACGGCAATGTTCAACTCTGTGACTTGAATGCAGACATCACAGAGCAGTTTCTGAGAATGCTTCTGTCTAGATTTTATAGGAAGATATTCCCGTTTCCAACGAAATCTTCACAGCAATCCAAATATCCACTTGCAGATTCTACAAAAAGAGTGTATCAAAACTGCTCTGTCAAAAGGAAGGTTCTTCTCTGTTAGGTGAGTGCATACGTCATAAAGGAGTTTCTGAGAATGTTTCTGTCTAGTGGTTATGGGAAGATATTTGCTTTTTCACCTTAGGCCTCAGAGCGCTCCAAATATCCCCTTGCACATACTACAAAAAGAGTGCTTCAAAGCTGCTCTCTGAAAGGGAATGTTCAACTCTATGAGTTGAATGCAAACATCACAAAGACGTTTCTGAGAATGCCTTCTGTCTAGATTTGATATAAAGATATTCCCGTTTCCAACGAAATCTTCAAATCTATCCAAATGTCCACTTGGAGATTCAACAAAAAGTGTTTTTCCGAACTGCTCTATCAAAAGAAAGATCCACCTCTGTTAGCTGAGTTCACACATCACAAACAAGTTTATGAGAATGCTTCTGTCTAGTTTTTATTTGAAGATATTTCCTTTCTCACCATAGACCTGAAAGCTGTCCTAATGTTCACTTCCAGATACTACAGAAAGAGTGTTTCAATACTGCTGTACGAAAGGGAATGTTCAACTCTGTGACTTGAATGCACACATCAAAAGGAGGTTCTGAGGATGCTGCTGTCTACTTTTTATACGTAATCCCGTTTCCAACGAAATCCTCCAAGCTATCCAAATATCCACTTGCAGATTCCACAGAAAGACTGTTTCAAAACTGCTCTGTCAATAGAAAGGTTCAACTCTGTTAGCTGCGTGCATATATCCCAAAGAAGATTCTGAGATTGCTTCTGTCTAGTTTTTATGGGAAGATATTTCCCTTTTCACCGTAGGCGTCAAGGCGCTCCAAATGTCCACTTCCAGATACTACAAAAAGAGTGTTTCAAACCTACTCTGTGAAAGGGAATATTCACCTCTGTGACTTGAATGCACATATCACAAAGAAGTTTCTGAGAATGCTTTCTGTCGAGATTTTATATGAAGATATTCCCGTTTCCAACGAAATCCTGAAATCTATCCAAATATCCCCTCGCAGATTCTACAAAAAGATTGTTTCAAAACTGCTCTGTAAAAAGAAAGGTTCAACTCTGTTAGTTGAGTACACACATCACAAACAAGTTTCACACAATGCTTCTTTCTAGCTTGTAGGGGAAGATATTCCCTTTATCACCATGGGCCTCCAACCGTCCGAAACATCCACTTCCATATACTACAAAAAGAGCGTTTCAAACCTGCTCTATGAAAGGCAATGTTCAACTCTGTGACTTGAATGCAGACATCACAGAGCAGTTTCTGAGAATGCTTTCTGTCTAGATTTTATAGGAAGATATTCCCGTTTCCAAAGAAATCTTCACAGCTATCCAAATATCCACTTGCAGATTCTACAAAAAGAGTGTATCAAAACTGCTCTTTCAAAAGGAAGGTTCTTCTCTGTTAGTTGAGTACATACGTCATAAAGGAGTTTCTGAGAATGTTTCTGTCTAGTGGTTATGGGAAGATATTTTCTTTTTCACCGTAGGCCTCAGAGCGCTCCAAATATCCACTTGCACATACTACAAAAAGAGTGCTTCAAAGCTGCTCTCTGAAACGGAATGTTCAACTCTATGAGTTGAATGCAAACATCACAAAGACGTTTCTGAGAATGCTTCTGTCTAGATTTGATATGAAGATATTCCCGTTTCCAACGAAATCTTCAAATCTATCCAAATGTCCACTTGCAGATTCAACAAAAAGTGTTTTTCGAAACTGCTGTATCAAAAGAAAGATCCACGTCTGTTAGCTGAGTTCACACATCACAAACAAGTTTATGAGAATGCTTCTGTCTAGTTTTTATTTGAAGATATTGCCTTTCTCACCATAGACCTGAAAGCTGTCCTAATGTTCACTTCCAGATACTACAGAAAGAGTGTTTCAAAACTGCTGTACGAAAGGGAATGTTCAACTCTGTGACTTGAATGCACACATCACAAAGAAGTTTCTGAGGATGCTGCTGTCTACTTTTTATACCTAATCCCGTTTCCAACGAAATCCTCCAAGCTATCCAAATATCCACTTGCAGATTCCACAGAAAGACTGTTTCAAAACTGCTCTGTCAATAGAAAGGTTCAACTCTGTTAGTTGCGTGCATATATCCCAAAGAAGATTCTGAGATTGCTTCTGTCTAGTTTTTATGGGAAGATATTTCCCTTTTCACCGTGGGCGTCAAGGCGCTCCAAATGTCCACTTCCGGATACTACAAAAAGAGTGTTTCAAACCTACTCTGTGAAAGGGAATATTCAACTCTGTGACTTGAATGCACATATCACAAGGAAGTTTCTGAGAATGCTTCTGTCGAGATTTTCTATGAAGATATTCCCGTTTCCAACGAAATCCTGAAATCTATCCAAATATCCCCTCGCAGATTCTACAAAAAGAGTGTTTCAAAACTGCTCTGTAAAAAGAAAGGTTCAACTCTATTAGTTGAGTACACACATCACAAACAAGTTTCACAGAATGCTTCTTTCTAGCTTGTAGGGGAAGATATTTCCTTTATCACCATGGGCCTCAAACCATCCGAAACGTCCACTTCCATATACTAAAAAAAGAGTGTTTGAAACCTGCTCTATGAAAGGCAATGTTCAACTCTGTGACTTGAATGCAGACATCACAGAGCAGTTTCTGAGAATGCTTCTGTCCAGACTTTATAGGAAGATATTCCCGTTTCCAAGGAAATCTTCACAGCTATCCAAATATCCACTTGCAGATACTACAAAAAGAATGTATCAAAAATGCTCTGTCAAAAGGAAAGTTCTTCTCTGCTAGTTGAGTACATACGTCATAAAGAAGTTTCTGAGAATGTTTCTGTCTAGTGGTTATGGGAAGATATTTGCTTTTTCACCGTAGGCCTCAGAGCGCTCCAAATATCCACTTGCACATACTACAAAAAGAGTGCCTCAAAGCTGCTCTCTGAAAGGGAATGTTCAACTCTATGAGTTGAATGCAAACATCGCAAAGACGTTTCTGAGAATGCTTCTGTCTAGATTTGATATGAAGATATTCCCGTTTCCAACGAAATCTTCAAATCTATCCAAATGTCCACTTGCAGATTCAACAAAAAGTGTTTTTCAGAACTGCTCTATCAAAAGAAAGATCCACCTATGTTAGCTGAGTTCACACATCACAAACAAGTTTATGAGAATGCTTCTGTCTAGTTTTTATTTGAAGATATTTCCTTTCTCACCATAGACCTGAAAGCTGTCCTAGTGTTCACTTCCAGATACTACAGAAAGAGTGTTTCAAAACTGCTGTACGAAAGGGAATGTTCAACTCTGTGACTTGAATGCACACATCACAAAGAAGTTTCTGAGGATGCTGCTGTCTACTTTTTATACGTAATCCCGTTTCCAACGAAATCCTCCAAGCTATCCAAATGTCCACTTGCAGATTCCACAGAAAGACTGTTTCAAAACTGCTCTGTCAATAGAAAGGTTCAACTCTGTTAGCTGCGTGCATATATCCCAAAGAAGATTCTGAGATTGCTTCTGTCTAGTATTTATGGGAAGATATTTCCCTTTTCACCGTAGGTGTCAAGGTGCTCCAAATGTCCACTTCCAGATACTACAAAAAGAGTGTTTCAAACCTACTCTGTGAAAGGGAATATTCAACTCTGTGACTTGAATGCAGATATCACAAAGAAGTTTCTGAGAATGCTTCTGTCGAGATTTTATATGAAGATATTCCCGTTTCCAACGAAATCCTGAAATCTATCCAAATATCCCCTCGCAGATTCTTCAAAAAGAGTGTTTCAATACTGCTCTGTAAAAAGAAAGGTTCAACTCTGTTAGTTGAGTACACACATCACAAACTAGTTTCACAGAATGCTTCTTTCTAGCTTGTAGGGGAAGATATTCCCTTTATCACCATGGGCCTCAAACCGTCCGAAATGTCCACTTCCATATACTACAAAAAGAGTGTTTCAAACCTGCTCTATGAAAGGCAATGTTCAACTCTGTGACTTGAATGCAGACATCACAGAGCAGTTTCTGAGAATGCTTCTGTCTAGATTTTATAGGAAGATATTCCCGTTTCCAACGAAATCTTCACAGCTATCCAAATATCCACTTGCAGATTCTACAAAAAGAGTGTATCTAAACTGCTCTGTCAAAAGGAAGGTTCTTTTCTGTTAGGTGAGTGCATACGTCATAAAGGAGTTTCTGAGAATGTTTCTGTCTAGTGGTTATGGGAAGATATTTGCTTTTTCACCGTAGGCCTCAGAGCGCTCCAAATATCCACTTGCACATACTACAAAAAGAGTGCCTCAAAGCTGCTCTCTGAAACGGAATGTTCAACTCGATGAGTTGAATGCAAACATCGCAAAGACGTTTCTGAGAATGCTTCTGTCTAGATTTGATATGAAGATATTCCCGTTTCCAACGAAATCTTCAAATCTATCCAAATGTCCACTTGCAGATTCAACAAAAAGTGTTTTTCCGAACTGCTCTATCAAAAGAAAGATCCGCCTCTGTTAGCTGAGTTCACACATCACAAACAAGTTTATGAGAATGCTTTCTATCTAGTTTTTATTTGAAGATATTTCCTTTCTCACCATAGACCTGAAAGCTGTCCTAATGTTCACTTCCAGATACTACAGAAAGAGTGTTTCAAAACTGCTGTACGAAAGGGAATGTTCAACTCTGTGACTTGAATGCACACATCACAAAGAATGATTTCTGAGGATGCTGCTGTCTACTTTTTATACGTAATCCCCTTTGCAACGAAATCCTCCAATCTATCCAAATATCCACTTGCAGATTCCACAGAAAGACAGTTTCAAAACTGCTCTGTCAATAGAAAGGTTCAACTCTGTTAGCTGCGTGCATATATCCCAAAGAAGATTCTGAGATTGCTTCTGTCTAGTTTTTATGGGAAGATATTTCCCTTTTCACCGTAGGCGTCAAGGCGCTCCAAATGTCCACTTCCAGATACTACAAAAAGAGTGTTTCAAACCTACTCTGTGAAAGCGAATATTCAACTCTGTGACTTGAATGCACATATCACAAAGAAGTTTCTGAGAATGCTTCTGTCGAGGTTTTATATGAAGATATTCCCGTTTCCAACGAAATCCTGAAATCTATCCAAATATCCCCTCGCAGATTCTACAGAAAGAGTGTTTCAAAACTGCTCTGTAAAAAGAAAGGTTCAACTCTGTTACTTGAGTACACACATCACAAACAAGTTTCACAGAATGCTTCTTTCTAGCTTGTAGGGGAAGATATTCCCTTTATTACCATGGGCCTCAAACCGTCCGAAAAGTCCACTTCCATATACTACAAAAAGAGCGTTTCAAACCTGCTCTATGAAAGGCAATGTTCAACTCTGTGACTTGAATGCAGACATCACAGAGCAGTTTCTGAGAATGCTTCTGTCTAGATTTTATAGGAAGATATTCCCGTTTCCAACGAAATCTTCACAGCTATCCAAATATCCACTTGCAGATTCTACAAAAAGAGTGTATCAAAACTGCTCTGTCAAAAGGAAGGTTCTTCTCTCTTAGGTGAGTACATACGTCATAAAGGAGTTTCTGAGAATGTTTCTGTCTAGTGGTTATGGGAAGATATTTGCTTTTTCACCGTAGGCCTCAGAGCGCTCCAAATATCCACTTGCACATAGTACAAAAAGAGTGCTTCAAAGCTGCTCTCTGAAAAGGAATGTTCAACTCTATGAGTTGAATGCAAACATCACAAAGACGTTTCTGAGAATGCTTCTGTCTAGATTTGATATGAAGATATTCCCGTTTCCAACGAAATCTTCAAATCTATCGAAATGTCCACTTGCAGATTCAACAAAAAGTGTTTTTCAGAACTGCTCTATCAAAAGAAAGATCCACCTCTGTTAGCTGAGTTCACACATCACAAACAAGTTTATGAGAATGCTTCTGTCTAGTTTTTAGTTGAAGATATTTCCTTTCTCACCATAGACCTGAAAGCTGTCCTAATGTTCACTTCCAGATACTACAGAAAGAGTGTTTCAAAACTGCTGTACGAAAGGGAATGTTCAACTCTGTGACTTGAATGCACACATCACAAAGAAGTTTCTGAGGATGCTGCTGTCTACTTTTTATACGTAATCCCGTTTCCAACGAAATCCTCCAAGCTATCCAAATATCCACTTGCAGATTCCACAGAAAGACTGTTTCAAATCTGCTCAGTCAATAGAAAGGTTCAACTCTGTTTGCTGCGTGCATATATCCCAAAGAAGATTCTGAGATTGCTTCTGTCTAGTTTTTATGGGAAGATATTTCCCTTTTCACCGTAGGTGTCAAGGCGCTCCAAATGTCCACATCCAAATACTACAAAAAGAGTGTTTCAAACCTACTCTGTGAAAGGGAATATTCAACTCTGTGACTTGAATGCACATATCACAAAGAAGTTTCTGAGAATGCTTCTGTCGAGATTTTATATGAAGATATTCCCGTTTCCAACGAAATCCTGAAATGTATCCAAATATCCCCTCGCAGATTCTACAAAAAGAGTGTTTTAAAACTGCTCTGTAAAAAGAAAGGTTCAACTCTGTTAGTTGAGTACACACATCACAAACAAGTTTCACACAATGCTTCTTTCTAGCTTGTAGGGGAAGATATTCCCTTTATCACCATGGGCCTCAAACCGTCCGAAACGTCCACTTCCATATACTACAAAAAGAGAGTTTCAAACCTGCTCTATGAAAGGCAATGTTCAACTCTGTGACTTGAATGCAGACATCACAGAGCAGTTTCTGAGAATGCTTCTGTCTAGATTTTATAGGAAGATATTCCCGTTTCCAACGAAATCTTCACAGCTATCCAAATATCCACTTGCAGATTCTACAAAAAGAGTGTATCAAAACTGCTCTGTCAAAAGGAAGGTTCTTTTCTGTTAGGTGAGTGCATACGTCATAAAGGAGTTTGCTGAGAATGTTTAAGTCTAGTGGTTATGGGAAGATATTTGCCTTTTCACCTTAGGCCTCAGAGCGCTCCAAATATCCACTTGCACATACTACAAAAAGAGTGTTTCAAAGCTGCTCTCTGAAAGGGAATGTTCAACTCTATGAGTTGAATGCAAACATCACAAAGACGTTTCTGAGAATGCTTCTGTCTAGATTTTATATGAAGATATTCCCGTTTCCAACGAAATCTTCAAATCTATCCAAATGTCCACTTGCAGATTCAACAAAAAGTGTTTTTCAGAACTGCTCTATCAAAAGAAAGATCCACCTCTGTTAGATGAGTTCACACATCACAAACAAGTTTATGAGAATGCTTCTTGTCTAGTTTTTATTTGAAGATATTTTCTTTCTCACCATAGACCTGAAAGCTGTCCTAATGTTCACTTCCAGATACTACAGAAAGAGTGTTTCAAAACTGCTGTACAAAAGGGAATGTTCAACTCTGTGACTTGAATGCACACATCACAAAGAAGTTTCTGAGGATGCTGCTGTCTACTTTTTATACGTAATCCCGTTTCCAACGAAATCCTCCAAGCTATCCAAATATCCACTTGCAGATTCCACAGAAAGACTGTTTCAAAACTGCTCTGTCAATAGAAAAGTTCAACTCTGTTAGCTGTGTGCATATATCCCAAAGAAAATTCTGAGATTGCTTCTGTCTAGTTTTTATGGGAAGATATTTCCCTTTTCACAATAGGTGTCAAGGCGCTCCAAATGTCCACTTCCAGATACTACAAAAAGAGTGTTTCAAACCTACTCTGTGAAAGGGAATATTCAACTCTGTGACTTGAATGCAGATATCACAAAGAAGTTTCTGAGAATGCTTCTGTCGAGATTTTATATGAAGATATTCCCGTTTCCAACAAAATCCTGAAATGTATCCAAATATCCCCTCGCAGATTGTACAAAAAGAGTGTTTCAAAACTGCTCTGTAAAAAGAAAGGTTCAACTCTGTTAGTTGAGTACACACATCACAAATAAGTTTCACACAATGCTTCTTTCTAGCTTGTAGGGGAAGATATTTCCTTTATCACCATGGGCCTCAAACCGTCCGAAACGTCCACTTCCATATACTAAAAAAAGAGTGCTTGAAACCTGCTCTATGAAAGGCAATGTTCAACTCTGTGACATGAAAGCAAACATCACAGAGCAGTTTCTGAGAATGCTTCTGTCTAGATTTTATAGGAAGATATTCCCGTTTCCAACGAAATCTTCACAGCTATCCAAATATCCACTTGCATATTCTACAAAAAGAGTGTATCAAAACTGCTCTGTCAAAAGGAAGGTTCTTCTCTGTTAGGTGAGTGCATACGTCATAAAGGAGTTTCTGAGAATGTTTCTGTCTAGTGGTTATGGGAAGATATTTGCTTTTTCCCCGTAGGCCTCAGGGCGCTCCAAATGTCCACTTGCACATGCTACAAAAAGAGTGCCTCAAAGCTGCTCTCTGGAAGGGAATGTTCAACTCTATGAGTTGAATGCAAACATCACAAAGAGGTTTCTGAGAATGCTTCTGTCTAGATTTGATATGAAGATATTCCCGTTTCCAACGAAATCTTCAAATCTATCCAAATGTCCACTTGCAGATTCAACAAAAAGTGTTTTTCAGAACTTCTCTATCAAAAGAAAGATCCACCTCTCTTAGCTGAGTTCACACATCAGAAACAAGTTTATGAGAATGCTTCTGTCTAGTTTTTATTTGAAGATATTTCCTTTCTCACCATAGTACCTGAAAGCTGTCCTAATGTTCACTTCCAGTTACTACAGAAAGAGTGTTTCAAAACTGCTGTACGAAAGGGAATGTTCAACTCTGTGACTTGAATGCACACATCACAAAGAAGTTTCTGAGGATGCTGCTGTCTACTGTTTATACTTAATCCCGTTTCCAACGAAATCCTCCAAGCTATCCAAATATCCACTTGCAGATTCCACAGAAAGACTGTTTCAAAACTGCTCTGTCAATAGAAAGGTTCAACTCTGTTAGCTGCGTGCATATATCCCAAAGAAGATTCTGAGATTGCTTCTGTCTACTTTTTATGAGAAGATATTTCCCTTTTCACCGTAGGCGTCAAGGTGCTCAAAATGTCCACTTCCAGATACTACAAAAAGAGTGTTTCAAACCTACTCTGTGAAAGGGAATATTCAACTCTGTGACTTGAATGCACATATCACAAAGAAGGTTCTGAGAATGCTTCTGTCGAGATTTTATATGAAGATATTCCCGTTTCCAACGAAATCCTGAAATCTATCCAAATATCCCCTCGCAGATTCTACAAAAAGAGTGTTTCAAAGCTGCTCTGTAAAAAGAAAGGTTCAACTCTGTTAGTTGAGTACACACATCACAAACAAGTTTCACAGAATGCTTCTTTCTAGCTTGTAGGGGAAGATATTCCCTTTATCACCATGGGCCTCAAACCGTCCGAAACGTCCACTTCCATATAGTACAAAAAGAGCGTTTCAAACCTGCTCTAGGAAAGGCAATGTTCAACTCTGTGACTTGAATGCAAACATCACAGAGCAGTTTCTGAGAATGCTTCTGTCTAGACTTTATAGGAAGATATTCCCGTTTCCAACGAAATCTTCACAGCTATCCAAATATCCACTTGCAGATTCTACAAAAAGAGTGTATCAAAACTGCTCTGTCAAAAGGAAGGTTCTTTTGCTGTTAGGTGAGTGCATACGTCATAAAGGAGTTTCTGAGAATGTTTTCTGTCTAGTGGTTATGGGAAGATATTTGCTTTTTCCCCGTAAGCCTCAAAGCGCTCCAAATGTCCACTTGAACATACTACAAAAAGAGTGCTTCAAAGCTGCTCTCTGAAAGGGAATGTTCAACTCTATGAGTTGAATGCAAACATCACAAAGACGTTTCTGAGAATGCTTCTGTCTAGACTTGATATGAAGATATTCCCGTTTCCAACGAAATCTTCAAATCTATCCAAATGTCCACTTGCAGATTCAACAAAAAGTGTTTTTCAGAACTGCTCTATCAAAAGAAAGATCCACCTCTGTTAGCTGAGTTCACACATCACAAACAAATTGATGAGAATGCTTCTGTCTACTTTTTATTTGAAGATATTTCCTTTCTCACCATAGACCTGAACGCTGTCCTAATGTTCACTTCCAGATACTACAGAAAGAGTGTTTCAAAACTGCTGTACGAAAGGGAATGTTCAACTCTGTGACTTGAATGCACACATCACAAGGAAGTTTCTCAGGATGCTGCTGTCTATTTTTTATACGTAATCCCGTTTCCAACGAAATCCTCCAAGCTATCCAAATATCCACTTGCAGATTCCACAGAAAGACTGTTTCAAAACTGCTCTGTCAATAGAAAGGTTCAACTCTGTTAGCTGCGTGCATATATCCCAAAGAAGATTCTGAGATTGCTTCTGTCTAGTTTTTATGGGAAGATATTTCCCTTTTCACCGTGGGCGTCAAGGCGCTCCAAATGACCACTTCCAGATACTACAAAAAGAGTGTTTCAAACCTACTCTGTGAAAGGGAATATTCAACTCTGTGACTTGAATGCACATATCACAAGGAAGTTTCTGAGAATGCTTCTGTCAAGATTTTATATGAAGATATTCCCGTTTCCAACGAAATCCTGAAATCTATCCAAATATCCCCTCGCAGATTCTACAAAAAGAGTGTTTCAAAACTGCTCTGTAAAAAGAAAGGTTCAACTCTGTTAGTTGAGTACACACATCACAAACAAGTTTCACAGAATGCTTCTTTCTAGCTTGTAGGGGAAGATATTTCCTTTATCACCATGGTCCTCAAACCGTCCGAAACGTCCACATCCATATACTAAAAAAAGAGTGTTTGAAACCTGCTCTATGAAAGGCAACGTTCAACTCTGTGACTTGAATGCAGACATCACAGAGCAGTTTCAGAGAATGCTTCTGTCTAGATTTTATAGGAAGATATTCCCGTTTCCAACAAAATCTTCACAGCTATCGAAATATCCACTTGCAGATTCTACAAAAAGAGTGTATCAAAACTGCTCTGTCAAAAGGAAGGTTCTTCTCTGTTAGGTGAGTGCATACGTCATAAAGGAGTTTCTGAGAATGTTTTCTGTCTAGTGGTTATGGGAAGATATTTGCTTTTTCACCGTAGGCCCCAGAGCACTCCAAATATCCACTTGCACATACTACAAAAAGAGTGCTTCAAAGCTGCTCTCTGAAACGGAATGTTCAACTCTATGAGTTGAATGCAATCATCACAAAGACGTTTCTGAGAATGCTTCTGTCTAGATTTCATATGAAGGTATTCCTGTTTCCAACGAAATCTTCAAATCTATTCAAATGTCCACTTGCAGATTCAACAAAAAGTGTTTTTTAAAACTGCTGTTTCAAAAGAAAGATCCACCTCTGTTAGCTGAGTTCGCACTTCACAAACAAGTTTATCAGAATGCTCTGTCTAGTTTTTATTTGAAGATATTTCCTTTCTCACCATAGACCTGAAAGCTGTCCTAATGTTCACTTCCAGATACTACAGAAAGAGTGTTTCAAAACTGCTGTACGAAAGGGAATGTTCAACTCTGTGACTTGAATGCACACATCACAAAGAAGTTTCTGAGGATGCTGGCTGTCTACTTTTTATACGTAAACCCGTTTCCAACGAAATCCTCCAATCTATCCAAATATCCACTTGCAGATTCCACAGAAAGACTGTTTCAAATCTGCTCTGTCAATAGAAAGATTCAACTCTCTTAGCTGCGTGCATATATCCCAAAGAAGATTCTGAGATTGCTTCTGTCTAGTTTTTATGGGAAGATATTTCCCTTTTCACCGTAGGCGTCAAGGCGCTCCAAATGTCCACTTCCAGATACTACAAAAAGAATGTTTGAAACCTACTCTGTGAAAGGGAATATTCAACTCTGTGACTTGAATGCAGATATCACAAAGAAGTTTCTGAGAATGCTTCTGTCGAGATTTTATATGAAGATATTCCCCTTTCCAAAGAAATCCTGAAATCTATCCAAATATCCCCTCGCAGATTCTACAAAAAGAGTGTTTCAAAACTGCTCTGTAAAAAGAAAGGTTCAACTCTGTTAGTTGAGTACACACATCACAAACAAGTTTCACAGAATGCTTCTCTTTCTAGCTTGTAGAGGAAGATATTCCCTTTATCACCATGGGCCTCCAACCGTCCGAAACATCCACTTCCATATACTACAAAAAGAGCGTTTCAAACCTGCTCTATGAAAGGCAATGTTCAACTCTGTGACTTGAATGCAGACATCACAGAGCAGTTTCTGAGAATGCTTTCTGTCTAGATTTTATAGGAAGATATTCCCGTTTCCAACGAAATCTTCACAGGTATCCAAATATTCACTTGCAGATTCTACAAAAAGAGTGTATCAAAACTGCTCTGTCAAAAGGAAGGTTCTTCTCTGTTAGGTGAGTGCATACGTCATAAAGGAGTTTCTGAGAATGTTTCTGTCTAGTGGTTATGGGAAGATATTTGCTTTTTCACCGTAGGCCTCAGAGCGCTCCAAATATCCACTTGCACATACTACAAAAAGAGTGCTTCAAAGCTGGTCTCTGAAACGGAATGTTCAACTCTATGAGTTGAATGAAAACATCACAAAGACGTTTCTGAGAATGCTTCTGTCTAGATTTGATATGAAGATATTCCCGTTTCCAACGAAATCTTCATATCTATCCAAATGTCCACTTGCAGATTCAACAAAAAGTGTTTTTCAAAACTGCTGTATCAAAAGAAAGATCCACGACTGTTAGCTGAGTTTACACATCACAAACAAATTTATGAGAATGTTTCTGTCTAGTTTTTATTTGAAGATATTTCCTTTCTCACCATAGACCTGAAAGCTGTCCTAATGTTCACTTCCAGATACTACAGAAACAGTGTTTCAAAACTGCTGTACGAAAGGGAATGTTCAACTCTGTGACTTGAATGCACACCTCACAAATAAGTTTCTGAGGATGCTGCTGTCTACTTTTTATACGTAATCCCGTTTCCAACGAAATCCTCCAATCTATCCAAACATCCACTTGCAGATTCCACAGAAAGACTGTTTCAAAACTGCTCTGTCAATAGAAAGGTTCAACTCTGTTAGCTGCGTGCATATATCCCAAAGAAGATTCTGAGATTGCTTCTGTCTAGTTTTTACGGGAAGATATTTCCCTTTTCACCGTAGGTGTCAAGGCGCTCCAAAGGTCCACTTCCAGATACTACAAAAAGAGTGTTTCAAACCTACTCTGTGAAAGGGAATATTCCACTCTGTGACTTGAATGCAGATATCACAATGAAGTTTCTGAGAATGCTTCTGTCGAGATTTTATATGAAGATATTCCCGTTTCCAACGAAATCCTGAAATCTATCCAAATATCCCCTCGCAGATTCTACAAAAAGAGTGTTTCAAAACTGCTCTGTAAAAAGAAAGGTTCCACTCTGTTAGTTGAGTACACACATCACAAACAAGTTTCACAGAATGCTTCTTTCTAGCTTGTAGGGGAAGATATTTCCTTTATCACCATGGTCCTCAAACCGTCCGAAACGTCCACTTCCATATACTAAAAAAAGAGTGTTTGAAACCTGCTCTATGAAAGGCAATGTTCAACTCTGTGACTTGAATGCAGACATCACAGAGCAGTTTCTGAAAATGCTTCTGTCCAGACTTTATAGGAAGATATTCCCGTTTCCAACGAAATCTTCACAGCTATCCAAATATCCACTTGCAGATACTACAAAAAGAGTGTATCAAAAATGCTCTGTCAAAAGGAAAGTTCTTCTCTGCTAGTTGAGTACATACGTCATAAAGAAGTTTCTGAGAATGTTTCTGTCTAGTGGTTATGGGAAGATATTTGCTTTTTCACCGTAGGCCTCAGAGCGCTCCAAATATCCACTTGCACATACTACAAAAAGAGTGCTTCAAAGCTGCTCTCTGAAACGGAATGTTCAACTCTATGAGTTGAATGCAAACATCACAAAGACGTTACCGCGAATGCTTCTGTCTAGATTTGATATGAAGATATTCCCGTTTCCAACGAAATCTTCAAATCTATCCAAATGTCCACTTGCAGATTCAACAAAAAGTGTTTTTCAGAACTGCTCTATCAAAAGAAAGATCCACCTCTGTTAGCTGAGTTCACACATCACAAACAGGTTTATGAGAATGCTTCTGTCTAGTTTTTATTTGAAGATATTTCCTTTCTCACCATAGACCTGAAAGCTGTCCTAATGTTCACTTCCAGATACTACAGAAAGAGTGTTTCAAAGCTGCTGTACGAAAGGGAATGTTCAAATCTGTGACTTGAATGCACACATCACAAAGAAGTTTCTGAGGATGCTGCTGTCTACTTTTTATACGTAATCCCGTTTCCAACGAAATCCTCTAATCTATCCAAATATCCACTTGCGGATTCCACAGAAAGACTGTTTCAAAACTGCTCTGTCAATAGAAAGGTTCAACTCTGTTAGCTGCGTGCATATATCCCAAAGAAGATTCTGAGATTGCTTCTGTCTAGTTTTTATGGGAAGATATTTCCCTTTTCACCGTAGGCGTCAAGGCGCTCCAAATGTCCACTTCCAGATGCCTCAAAAAGAGTGTTTCAAACCTAATCTGTGAAAGGGAATATTCAACTCTGTAACTTGAATGCACATATCACAAAGAAGTTTCTGAGAATGCTTCTGTCGAGATTTTATATGAAGATATTCCCGTTTCCAACGGAATCCTGAAATCTATCGAAATATCCCCTCGCAGATTCTACAAAAAGAGTGTTTCAAAACTGCTCTGTAAAAAGAAAGTTTCAACTCTGTTAGTTGAGTACACACATCACAAACAAGTTTCACAGAATGCTTCTTTCTAGCTTGTAGGGGAATATATTCCCTTTATCACCATGGGTCTCAAACCGTCCGAAACGTCCACTTCCATATACTACAAAAAGAGCATTTCAAACCTGCTCTATGAAAGGCAATGTTCAACTCTGTGACTTGAATGCAGACATCACAGAGCAGTTTCTGAGAATGCTTCTCTCTAGATTTTATAGGAAGATATTCCCGTTTCCAACGAAATCTTCACAGCTATCCAAATATCCACTTGCAGATTCTACAAAAAGAGTGTATCAAAACTGCTCTGTCAAAAGGAAGGTTCTTCTCTGTTAGGTGAGTGCATACGTTATAAAGGAGTTTCTGAGAATGTTTCTGTCTAGTGGTTATGGGAAGATATTTGCTTTTTCACCCTAGGCCTCAGAGTGCTCCAAATATCCACTTGCACATACTACAAAAAGAGTGCTTCAAAGCTGCTCTCTGAAACGGAATGTTCAACTCTATGTGTTGAATGCAAACATCACAAAGACGTTTCCGAGAATGCTTCTGTCTAGATTTGATATGAAGATATTCCCGTTTCCAACGAAATCTTCAAATCTATCCAAATGTCCACTTGCAGATTAAACAAAAAGTGTTTTTCAGAACTGCTCTATCAAAAGAAAGATCCACCTCTGTTAGCTGAGTTCACACATCACAAACAAGTTTATGAGAATGCTTCTGTCTAGTTTTTATTTGAAGATATTTCCTTTCTCACCATAGAGCTGAAAGCTGTCCTAATGTTCACTTCCAGATACTACAGAAAGAGTGTTTCAAAACTGCTGTACGAAAGGGAATGTTCAACACTGTGACTTGAATGCACACATCACAAAGAAGTTTCTGAGGATGCTGCAGTCTACTTTTTATACGTAATCCCGTTTCCAACGAAATCCTCCAATCTATCCAAATATCCACTTGCAGATTCCACAGAAAGACTGTTTCAAAACTGCTCTGTCAATAGAAAGGTTCAACTCTGTTAGCTGCGTGCATATATCCCAAAGAAGATTCTAAGATTGCTTCTGTCTAGTTTTTATGGGAAGATATTCCCTTTTCACCGTAGGCGTCAAGGCGCTCCAAATGTCCACTTCCAGATACTACAAAAAGAGTGTTTCAAACCTACTCTGTGAAAGGGAATATTCAACTCTGTGACTTGAATGCACATATCACAAAGAAGTTTCTGAGAATGCTTCTGTCGAGATTTTATATGAAGATATTCCCGTTTCCAAAGAAATCCTGAAATCTATCCAAATATCCCCTCGCAGATTCTACAAAAAGAGTGTTTCAAAACTGCTCTGTGAAAAGAAAGGTTCAACTCTGTTAGTTGAGTACACACATCACAAACAAGTTTCACAGAATGCTTCTTTCTAGCTTGTAGGGGAAGATATTCCCTTTATCACCCTGGGCCTCCAACCGTCCGAAACGTCCACTTCCATATACTACAAAAAGAGCGTTTCAAACCTGCTCTAGGAAAGGCAATGTTCAACTCTGTGACTTCAATGCAGACATCACAGAGCAGTTTCTGAGAATGCTTCTGTCTAGATTTTATAGGAAGATATTCCCGTTTCCAACGAAATATTCACAGCTATCCAGATATCCACTTGCAGATTCTACAAAAAGAGTGCATCAAAACTGCTCTGTCAAAAGGAAGGTTCTTCTCTGTTAGGTGAGTGCATACGTCATAAAGGAGTTTCTGAGAATGTTTCTGTCTAGTGGTTATGGAAAGATATTTGCTTTTTCACCGTAGGCCTCAGAGCGCTCCAAATATCCACTTGCACATACTACAAAAAGAGTGCCTCAAAGCTGCTTTCTGAAACGGAATGTTCAACTCTATGAGTTGAATGCAAACAACGCAAAGACGTTTCTGAGAATGCTTCTGTCTAGATTTGATATGAAGATATTCCCGTTTCCAACGAAATCTTCAAATCTATCCAAATGTCCACTTGCAGATTCAACAAAAAGTGTTTTTCAGAACTGCTCTATCAAAAGAAAGATCCACCTCTGTTAGCTGAGTTCACACATCACAAAAAGGTTTATGAGAATGCTTCTGTCTAGTTTTTATTTGAAGATATTCCCTTTCTCAACATAGACCTGAAAGCTGTCCTAATGTTCACTTCCAGATACTACAGAAAGAGCGTTTCAAAACTGCTGTACGAAAGGGAATGTTCAACTCTGTGACTTGAATGCACACATCACAAAGAAGTTTCTGAGGATGCTGCTGTCTACTTTTTATACGTAATCCCGTTTCCAACGAAATACTCCAAGCTATCCAAATATCCACTTGGAGATTCCACAGAAAGACTGTTTCAAAACTACTCTGTCAATAGAAAGGTTCAACTCTGTTAGCTGCGTGCATATATCCCAAAGAAGATTCTGAGATTGCTTCTGTCTAGTTTTTATGGAAAGATATTTCCCTTTTCACCGTAGGTGTCAAGGCGCTCCAAATGTCCACTTCCAGATACTACAAAAAGAGTGTTTCAAACCTACTCTGTGAAAGGGAATATTCAACTCTGTGACTTGAATGCAGATATCACAAAGAAGTTTCTGAGAATGCTTCTGTCGAGATTTTATATGAAGATATTCCCGTTTCCAACGAAATGCTGAAATGTATCCAAATATCCCCTCGCAGATTCTACAAAAAGAGTGTTTCAAAACTGTTCTGTAAAAAGAAAGGTTCAACTCTGTTAGTTGAGTACACACATCACAAACAAGTTTCACAGAATGCTTCTTTCTAGCTTGTAGGGGAAGATATTCTCTTTATCACCATGGGCCTCCAACCGTCCGAAACATCCACTTCCATATACTACAAAAAGAGCGTTTCAAACCTGCTCTATGAAAGGCAATGTTCAACTCTGTGACTTGAAAGCAGACATCACAGAGCAGTTTCTGAGAATGCTTCTGTCTAGATTTTATAGGAAGATATTCCCGTTTCCAACGGAATCTTCACAGCTATCCAAATATCCACTTGCAGATTCTACAAAAAGTGTGTATCAAAACTGCTCTGTCAAAAGGAAGGTTCTTTTCTGTTAGGTGAGTGCATACGTCATAAAGGAGTTTCTGAGAATGTTTCTGTCTAGTGGTTATGGGAAGATATTTGCTTTTTCACCGTAGGCCTCAGAGCGCTCCAAATATCCACTTGCACATACTACAAAAAGAGTGCCTCAAAGCTGCTCTCTGAAACGGAATGTTCAACTCTATGAGTTGAATGCAAACATCACAAAGACGTTTCTGACAATGCTTCTGTCTAGATTTGATATGAAGGTATTCCCGTTTGCAACGAAATCTTCAAATCTATCCAAATGTCCACTTGCAGATTCAACAAAAAGTGTTTTTCAGAACTGCTCTATCAAAAGAAAGATCCACCTCTGTTAGCTGAGTTCACACATCACAAACAAGTTTATGAGAATGCTTCTGTCTAGTTTTTATTTGAAGATATTTCCTTTCTCACCATAGTACCTGAAAGCTGTCCTAATGTTCAATTCCAGATACTACAGAAAGAGTGTTTCAAAACTACTGTACGAAAGGGAATGTTCAACTCTGTGACTTGAATGCACACATCACAAAGAAGTTTCTGAGGATGCTGCTGTCTACTTTTTATACGTAATCCCGTTTCCAACGAAATCCTCCAAGCTATCCAAATATTCACTTGCAGATTCCACAGAAAGACTGTTTCAAAACTGCTCTGTCAATAGAAAGGTTCAACTCTGTTAGCTGCGTGCATATATCCCAAAGAAGTTTCTGAGATTACTTTCTGTCTAGTTTTTATGGGAAGATATTTCCCTTTTCACCGTAGGTGTCAAGGCGCTCCAAATGTCCACTTCCAGATACTACAAAAAGAGTGTTTCAAGCCTACTCTGTGAAAGGGAATA
This sequence comes from Homo sapiens, assembly GCF_000001405.40. NCBI lineage: Eukaryota > Metazoa > Chordata > Mammalia > Primates > Hominidae > Homo > Homo sapiens. Next base: position 17,276,187 of record NC_000014.9, on the reverse strand, counting down.
TTCAACTCTGTGACTTGAATGCACATATCACAAAGAAGTTTCTGAGAATGCTTCTGTCGAGTATTTTATATGAAGATATTCCCGTTTCCAACGAAATCCTGAAATCTATCCAAATATCCCCTCGCAGATTCTACAAAAAGAGTGTTTCAAAACTGCTCTGTAAAAAGAAAGGTTCAACTCTGTTAGTTGAGTACACACATCACAAACAAGTTTCACAGAATGCTTCTTTCTAGCTTGTAGGGGAAGATATTCCCATTATCACCATGGGCCTCAAACCGTCCGAAACGTCTACTTCCATATACTACAAAAAGAGCGTTTCAAACCTGCTCTATGAAAGGCAATGTTCAACTCTGTGACTTGAATGCAGACGTCACAGAGCAGTTTCTGAGAATGCTTCTGTCCAGACTTTATAGGAAGATATTCCCGTATCCAACGAAATCTTCACAGCTATCCAAATATCCACTTGCAGATAGTACAAAAAGAGTGTATCAAAAATGCTCTGTCAAAAGGAAAGTTCTTCTCTGCTAGTTGAGTACATACGTCATAAAGAAGTTTCTGAGAATGTTTCTGTCTAGTGGTTATGGGAAGATATTTGCTTTTTCACCGTAGGCCTCAGAGCGCTCCAAATATCCACTTGCACATACTACAAAAAGAGTGCCTCAAAGCTGCTCTCTGAAACGGAATGTTTAACTCTATGAGTTGAATGCAAACATCGCAAAGACGTTTCTGAGAATGCTTCTGTCTAGATTTGATATGAAGATATTCCCGTTTCCAAAGAAATCTTCAAATCTATCCAAATGTCCACTTGCAGATTCAACAAAAAGTGTTTTTCAGAACTGCTCTATCAAAAGAAAGATCCACCTCTGTTAGCTGAGTTCACACATCACAAACAAGCTTATGAGAATGCTTCTGTCTAGTTTTTATTTGAAGATATTTCCTTTCTCACCATAGACATGAAAGCTGTCCTAATGTTCACTTCCAGATACTACAGAAAGAGCATTTCAAAACTGCTGTACGAAAGAGAATGTTCAACTCTGTGACTTGAATGCACACATCACAAAGAAGTTTCTGAGGATGCTGCTGTCTACTTTTTATACGTAATCCCGTTTCCAACGAAATCCTCCAATCTATCCAAATATCCACTTGCAGATTCCACAGAAAGACTGTTTCAAAACTGGTCTGTCAATAGAAAGGTTCAACTCTGTTAGCTGCGTGCATATATCCCAAAGGAGATTCTGAGATTGCTTCTGTCTAGTATTTATGGGAAGATATTTCCCTTTTCACCGTAGGTGTCAAGGCGCTCCAAATGTCCACTTCCAGATACTACAAAAAGAGTGTTTCAAACCTACTCTGTGAAAGGGAATATTCAACTCTGTGACTTGAATGCACATATCACAAAGAAGTTTCTGAGAATGCTTCTGTCGAGATTTTATATGAAGATATTCCCGTTTCCAACGAAATCCTGAAATCTATCCAAATATCCCCTCGCAGATTCTACAAAAAGAGTGTTTCAAAACTGCTCTGTAAAAAGAAAGGTTCAACTCTGTTAGTTGAGTACACACATCACAAACAAGTTTCACAGAGTGCTTCTTTCTAGCTTGTAGGGGAAGATATTCCCTTTATCACCATGGGCCTCAAACCGTCCGAAACGTCCACTTCCATATACTACAAAAAGAGCGTTTCAAACCTGCTCTATGAAAGGCAATGTTCAACTCTAGTGACTTGAATGCAGACATCACAGAGCAGTTTCTGAGAATGCTTCTGTCTAGATTTTATAGGAAGATATTCCAGTTTCCAACGAAATCTTCACAGCTATCCAAATATCCACTTGCAGATTCTACAAAAAGAGTGTATCAAAACTGCTCTATCAAAAGGAAGGTTCTTCTCTGTTAGTTGAGTACATACGTCATAAAGGAGTTTCTGAGAATGTTTCTGTCTAGTGGTTATGGGAAGATATTTGCTTTTTCACCTTAGGCCTCAGAGCGCTCCAAATATCCCCTTGCACATACTACAAAAAGAGTGCTTCAAAGCTGCTCTCTGAAAGGGAATTTTCAACTCTATGAGTTGAATGCAAACATCACAAAGACGTTTCTGAGAATGCTTCTATCTAGATTTGATATGAAGATATTCCCGTTTCCAACGAAATCTTCAAATCTATCCAAATGTCCACTTGCAGATTCAACAAAAAGTGTTTTTCAGAACTGCTCTATCAAAAGAAAGATCCACCTCTGTTAGCTGAGTTCACACATCACAAACAAGTTTATGAGAATGCTTCTGTCTAGTTTTTATTTGAAGATATTTCCTTTCTCACCATAGACCTGAATGCTGTCCTAATGTTCACTTCCAGATACTACAGAAAGAGTGTTTCAAAACTGCTGTACGAAAGGGAATGTTCAACTCTGTGACTTGAATGCACACATCACAAAGAAGTTTCTGAGGATGCTGCTGTCTACTTTTTATACGTAATCCCGTTTCCAACGAAATCCTCCAAGCTATCCAAATATCCACTTGCAGATTCCACAGAAAGACTGTTTCAAAACTGCTCTGTCAATAGAAAGGTTCAACTCTGTTAGCTGCGTACATATATCCCAAAGAAGATTCTGAGATTGCTTCTGTCTACTTTTTATGAGAAGATATTTCCCTTTTCACCGTAGGTGTCAAGGTGCTCCAAATGTCCACTTCCAGATACTAGAAAAAGAGTGTTTCAAACCTACTCTGTGAAAGGGAATATTCAACTCTGTGACTTGAATGCACATATCACAAAGAAGTTTCTGAGAATGCTTCTGTCGAGATTTTATATGAAGATATTCCCGTTTCCAACGAAATGCTGAAATGTATCCAAATATCCCCTCGCAGATTCTACAAAAAGAGTGTTTCAAAACTGCTCTGTAAAAACAAAGGTTCAACTCTGTTAGTTGAGTACACACATCACAAACAAGTTTCACAGAATGCTTCTTTCTAGCTTGTAGGGGAAGATATTCCCTTTATCACCAAGGGCCTCAAACCGTCCGAAACGTCCACTTCCATATACTACAAAAAGAGCGTTTCAAACCTGCTCTAGGAAAGGCAATGTTCAACTCTGTGACTTGAATGCAGACATCACAGAGCAGTTTCTGAGAATGCTTCTGTATAGATTTTATAGGAAGATATTCCCGTTTCCAACGAAATCTTCACAGCTATCCAAATATCCACTTGCAGATTCTACAAAAAGAGTGTATCAAAACTGCTCTGTCAAAAGGAAGGTTCTTCTCTGTTAGGTGAGTGCATACGTCATAAGGGAGTTTCTGAGAATGTTTCTGTCTAGTGGTTATGGGAAGATATTTGCTTTTTCACCGTAGGCCACAGAGCGATCAAAATATCCACTTGCACATACTACAAAAAGAGTGCTTCAAAGCTGCTCTCTGAAAGTGAATGTTCAACTCTATGAGTTGAATGCAAACATCACAAAGACGTTTCCTGAGAATGCTTCTGTCTAGATTTGATATGAAGATATTCCCGTTTCCAACGAAATCTTCAAATCTATCCAAATGTCCACTTGCAGATTCAACAAAACGTGTTTTTCAGAACTGCTCAATCAAAAGAAAGATCCACCTGTGTTAGCTGAGTTCACACATCACAAACAAGTTTATGAGAATGCTTCTGTCTAGTTTTTATGGGAAGATATTTCCCTTTTCACCGTAGGTGTCAAGGCGCTCCAAATGTCCACTTCCAGATAGTACAAAAAGAGTGTTTCAAACCAACTCTGTGAAAGGGAATATTCAACTCTGTGACTTGAATGCACACATCACAAAGAAGTTTCTGAGGATGCTGCTGTCTACTTTTTATACGTAATCCCGTTTCCAACGAAATCCTCCAAGCTATCCAAATATCCACTTGCAGATTCCACAGAAAGACTGTTTCAAAACTGCTCTGTCAATAGAAAGGTTCAACTCTGTTAGCTGCATGCATATATCCCAAAGAAGATGCTGAGATTGCTTCTGTCTAGTTTTTATGGGAAGATATTTCCCTTTTCACCGTAGGCGTCAAGGCGCTCCAAATGTCCACTTCCAGATACTACAAAAAGAGTGTTTCAAACCTACTCTATGAAAGGGAATATTCAACTCTGTGACTTGAATGCACATATCACAAAGAAGTTTCTGAGAATGCTTCTGTCGAGTATTTTATATGAAGATATTCCCGTTTCCAACGAAATCCTGAAATGTATCCAAATATCCCCTTGCAGATTCTACAAAAAGAGTGTTTCAAAACTGCTCTGTAAAAAGAAAGGTTCAACTCTGTTAGTTGAGTACACACATCACAAACAAGTTTCACACAATGCTTCTTTCTAGCTTGTAGGGGAAGATATTCCCTTTATCACCATGGGCCTCAAACCGTCCGAAACGTCCACTTCCATATACTACCAAAAGAGCGTTTCAAACCTGCTCTAGGAAAGGCAATGTTCAACTCTGTGACTTGAATGCGGACATCAGAGAGCAGTTTCTGAGAATGCTTCTGTCTAGATTTTATAGGAAGATATTCCCGTTTCCAACGAAATCTTCACAGCTATCCAAATATCCACTTGCAGATTCTACAAAAAGAGTGTATCAAAACTGCTCTGTCAAAAGGAAGGTTCTTCTCTGTTAGGTGAGTGCATACGTCATAAAGGAGTTTCTGAGAATGGTTCTGTCTAGTGGTTATGGGAAGATATTTGCTTTTTCACCGTAGGCCTCAGAGCGCTCCAAATATCCACTTGCACATACTACAAAAAGAGTGCTTCACAGCTGCTCTCTGAAAGGGAATGTTCAACTCTATGAGTTGAATGCAAACATCACAAAGACGTTTCTGAGAATGCTTCTGTCTAGATTTTATATGAAGATATTCCCGTTTCCAAAGAAATCTTCAAATCTATCCAAATATCCACTTGGAGATTCTACAAAAAGTGTTTTTCAAAATTGCTGTATCAAAAGAAAGATCCACCTTTGTTTGTTGAGTTCACACAACACAAACAAGTTTGTGAGAATGCTTCTGTCTTGTTTTTATTTGAAGATATTTCCTTTCTCACCATAGTCCTGAAAGCTCTCGAAATGTTCACTTCCAGGTACTACAAAAAGAGTGTTTCAAACTTTCTATGTGAAAGGGAATATTGAACTCTGTGACTTCAATGCAGATATCACAAAATCTTTCTGAGAATTCTGCTGTCTACTTTTTATACGTAATCCCGTTTCCAACGAAATCCTCCAAGCTATCCAAATATCCACTTGCAGATTCCACAGAAAGACTGTTTCAAAACTGCTCTGTCAATAGAAAGGTTCAACTCTGTTAGCTGCGTGCATATATCCCAAAGAGGATTCTGAGATTGCTTCTGTCTAGTTTTTATGGGAAGATATTTCCCTTTTCACCGTAGGCGTCAAGGCGCTCCAAATGTCCACTTCCAGATACTACAAAAAGAGTGTTTCAAACCTACTCTGTGAAAGGGAATATTCACCTCTGTGACTTGAATGCACATATCACAAAGAAGTTTCTGAGAATGCTTCTGTCGAGATTTTATATGAAGATATTCCCGTTTCCAACGAAATCCTGAAATCTATCCAAATATCCTCTCGCAGATTCTACAAAAAGAGTGTTTCAAAACTGCTCTGTAAAAAGAAAGGTTCAACTCTGTTAGTTGAGTACACACATCACAAACAACTTTCACAGAATGCTTCTTTCTAGCTTGTAGGGGAAGATATTCCCTTTATCACCATGGGCCTCCAACCGTCCGAAACGTCCACTTCCATATACTACAAAAAGAGAGTTTCAAACCTGCTCTATGAAAGGCAATGTTCAACTCTGTGACTTGAATGCAGACATCACAGAGCAGTTTCTGAGAATGCTTCTGTCCAGACTTTATAGGAAGATATTCCCGATTCCAACGAAATCTTCACAGCTATCCAAATATCCACTTGCAGATACTACAAAAAGAGTGTATCAAAAGTGCTCTGTCAAAAGGAAAGTTCTTCTCTGCTAGTTGAGTACATACGTCATAAAGAAGTTTCTGAGAATGTTTCTGTCTAGTGGTTATGGGAAGATATTTGCTTTTCCCCGTAGGCCTCAGAGCGCTCCAAATATCCACTTGCACATACTACAAAAAGAGTGCTTCAAAGCTGCTCTCTGAAAGGGAATGTTCAACTCTATGAGTTGAATGCAAACATCACAAAGACGTTTCTGAGAATGCTTCTGTGTAGATTTGATATGAAGATATTCCCGTTTCCAACGAAATCTTCAAATCTATCCAAATGTCCACTTGCAGATTCAACAAAAAGTGTTTTTCAGAACTGCTCTATCAAAAGAAAGATCCACCTCTGTTAGCTGAGTTCACACATCACAAACAAGTTTATGAGAATGCTTCTGTCTAGTTTTTATTTGAAGATATTTCCTTTCTCACCATAGACCTGAAAGCTGTCCTAATGTTCACTTCCAGATACTACAGGAAGAGTGTTTCAAAACTGCTGTACGAAAGGGAATGTTCAACTCTGTGACTTGAATGCACACATCACAAAGAAGTTTCTGAGGATGCTGCTGTCTACTTTTTATACGTAATCCCGTTTCCAACGAAATCCTCCAAGCTATCCAAATATCCACTTGCAGATTCCACAGAAAGACTGTTTCAAAACTACTCTGTCCATAGAAAGGTTCAACTCTGTTAGCTGCGTGCATATATCCCAAAGAAGATTCTGAGATTGCTTCTGTCTACTTTTTATGAGAAGATATTTCCCTTTTCACCGTAGGCGTCAAGGCGCTCCAAATGTCCACTTCCAGATACTACAAAAAGAGTGTTTCAAACCTACTCTGTGAAAGGGAATATTGAACTCTGTGACTTGAATGCACATATCACAAAGAAGTTTCTGAGAATGCTTCTGTCGAGATTTTATATGAAGATATTCCCGTTTCCCACGAAATCCTGAAATCTATCCAAATATCCCATCGCAGATTCTACAAAAAGAGTGTTTCAAAACTGCCCTGTGAAAAGAAAGGTTCAACTCTGTTAGTTGAGTACACACATCACAAACAAGTTTCACAGAATGCTTCTTTCTCGCTTCTAGGGGAAGATATTTCCTTTATCACCATGGGCCTCAAACCGTTCGAAACATCCACTTCCATATACTACAAAAAGAGCGTTTCAAACCTGCTCTATGAAAGGCAATGTTCAACTCTGTGACTTGAATGCAGACATCACAAAGCAGTTTCTGAGAATGCTTCTGTCTAGATTTTATAGGAAGATATTCCCGTTTCCAACGAAATCTTCACAGATATCCAAATATCCACTTGCAGATGCTACAAAAAGAGTGTATCAAAAATGCTCTGTCAAAAGGAAGGTTCTTCTCTGTTAGGTGAGTGCATACGTCATAAAGGAGTTTCTGAGAATGTTTCTGTCTAGTGGTTATGGGAAGATATTTGCTTTTTCACCTTAGGCCTCAGAGCGCTCCAAATATCCCCTTGCACATACTACAAAAAGAGTGCTTCAAAGCTGCTCTCTGAAAGGGAATGTTCAACTCTATGAGTTGAATGCAAACATCACAAAGACGTTTCCTGAGAATGCTTCTGTCTAGATTTGCTATGAAGATATTCCCGTTTCCAACGAAATCTTCAAATCTATCCAAATGTCCACTTGCAGATTCAACAAAAAGTGTTTTTCAGAACTGCTCTATCAAAAGAAAGATCCACCTCTGTTAGCTGAGTTCAGACATCACAAACAAGTTTATGAGAATGCTTCTGTCTAGTTTTTATTTGAAGATATTTCCTTTCTCAACATAGACCTGAAAGCTGTCCTAATGTTCACTTCCAGATACTACAGAAAGAGCGTTTCAAAACTGCTGTACGAAAGGGAATGTTCAACTCTGTGACTTGAATGCACACATCACAAAGAAGTTTCTGAGGATGCTGCTGTCTACTTTTTATACGTAATCCCGTTTCCAACGAAATCCTCCAAGCTATCCAAATATCCACTTGCAGATTCCACAGAAAGACTGTTTCAAAACTGCTCTGTCAATAGAAAGGTTCAACTCTGTTAGCTGCGTGCATATATCTCAAAGAAGATTCTGAGATTGCTTCTGTCTAGTTTTTATGGGAAGATATTTCCCTTTTCACCGTAGGCGTCAAGGCGCTCCAAATGTCCACTTCCAGATACCACAAAAAGAGTGTTTCAAACCTACTCTGTGGAAGGGAATATTCAACTCTGTGACTTGAATGCAGATATCACAAAGAAGTTTCTGAGAATGCTTCTGTCGAGATTTTATATGAAGATATTCCCGGTTTCCAACGAAATCCTGAAATGTATCCAAATATCCCCTCGCAGATTCTACAAAAAGAGTGTTTCAAAACTGCTCTGTAAAAAGAAAGGTTCAACTCTGTTAGTTGAGTACACACATCACAAACAAGTTTCACACAATGCTTCTTTCTAGCTTGTAGGGGAAGATATTCCCTTTATCACCATGGGCCTCCAACCGTCCGAAAAGTCCACTTCCATATACTACAAAAAGAGCGTTTCAAACCTGCTCTATGAAAGGCAATGTTCAACTCTGTGACTTGAATGCAGACATCACAGAGCAGTTTCTGAGAATGCTTCTGTCTAGATTTTATAGGAAGATATTCCCGTTTCCAACGAAATCTTCACAGCTATCCAAATATCCACTTGTAGATTCTACAAAAAGAGTGTATCAAAACTGCTCTGTCAAAAGGAAGGTTCTTTTCTGTTAGGTGAGTGCATACGTCATAAAGGAGTTTCTGAGAATGTTTCTGTTAGTGGTTATGGGAAGATATTTGCTTTTTCACCGTAGGCCTCAGAGCGCTCCAAATATCCACTTGCACATACTACAAAAAGAGTGCTTCAAAGCTGCTCTCTGAAACGGAATGTTCAACTCTATGAGTTGAATGCAAACATCGCAAAGACGTTTCTGAGAATGCTTCTGTCTAGATTTGATATGAAGATATTCCCGTTTCCAACGAAATCTTCAAATCTATCCAAATGTCCACTTGCAGATTCAACAAAAAGTGTTTTTCAGAACTGCTCTATCAAAAGAAAGATCCACCTCTGTTAGCTGAGTTCACACATCCAAACAAGTTTATGAGAATGCTTCTGTCTAGTTTTTATTTGAAGATATTTCCTTTCTCACCATAGAGCTGAAAGCTGTCCTAATGTTCACTTCCAGATACTACAGAAAGAGTGTTTCAAAACTGCTGTACGAAAGGGAAATGTTCAACTCTGTGACTTGAATGCACACATCACAAAGAAGTTTCTGAGGATGCTGCTGTCTACTTTTTATACGTAATCCCGTTTCCAAGGAAATCCTCCAAGCTATCCAAATATCCACTTGCAGATTCCACAGAAAGACTGTTTCAAAACTGCTCTGTCAATAGAAAGGTTCAACTCTGTTAGTTGCGTGCATATATCCCAAGGTAAGATTCTGAGATTGCTTCTGTCTTGTTTTTATGGGAAGATATTTCCCTTTTCACCGTAGGTGTCAAGGCGCTCCAAATGTCCACTTCCAGATACTACAGAAAGAGTGTTTCAAACCTACTCTGTGAAAGGGAATATTCAACTCTGTGACTTGAAGGCAGATATCACAAAGAAGTTTCTGAGAATGCTTCTGTCGAGATTTTATATGAAGATATTCCCCTTTCCAACGAAATCCTGAAATCTATCCAAATATCCCCTCGCAGATTCTACAAAAAGAGTGTTTCAAAACTGCTCTGTAAAAAGAAAGGTTCAACTCTGTTAGTTGAGTACACACATCACAAACAAGTTTCAGAGAATGCTTCTTTCTAGCTTGTAGGGGAAGATATTCCCTTTATCACTATGGGCCTCAAACCATCCGAAACGTCCACTTCCATATACTACAAAAAGAGCGTTTCAAACCTGCTCTAGGAAAGGCAGTGTTCAACTCTGTGACTTGAATGCAGACATCACAGAGCAGTTTCTGAGAATGCTTCTGTCTAGATTTTATAGGAAGATATTCCCGTTTCCAACGAAATCTTCACAGCTATCCAAATATCCACTTGCAGATTCTGCAAAAAGAGTGTATCAAAACTGCTCAGTCAAAAGGAAGGTTCTTCTCTGTTAGGTGAGTGCATACGTCATAAAGGAGTTTCTGAGAATGTTCCTGTCTAGTGGTTATGGGAAGATATTTGCTTTTTCCCTGTAGGCCTCAAAGCGCTCCAAATGTCCACTTGCACATACTACAAAAAGAGTGCTTCAAAGCTGCTCTCTGAAAGGGAATGTTCAACTCTATGAGTTGAATGCTAACATCACAAAGACGTTTCTGAGAATGCTTCTGTCTAGATTTAATATGAAGATATTCCCGTTTCCAACGAAATCTTCAAATCTATCCAAATGTCCACTTGCAGATTCAACAAAAAGTGTTTTTCAGAACTGCTCTATCAAAAGAAAGATCCACCTCTGTTAGCTGAGTTCACACATCACAAACAAGTTTATGAGAATGCTTCTGTCTAGTTTTTATTTGAAGATATTTCCTTTCTCACCATAGACCTGAAAGCTGTCCTAATGTTCACTTCCAGATACTACAGAAAGAGTGTTTCAAAACTACTGTACGAAAGGGAATGTTCAACTCTGTGACTTGAATGCACACATCACAAAGAAGTTTCTGAGGATGCTGCTGTCTACTTTTTATACGTAATCCCGTTTCCAACGAAATCCTCCAAGCTATCCAAATATCCACTTGCAGATTCCACAGAAAGACTGTTTCAAAACTGCTCTGTCAATAGAAAGGTTCAACTCTGTTAGCTGCGTGCATATATCCCAAAGTAGATTCTGAGATTGCTTCTGTCTAGTTTTTATGGGAAGATATTTCCCTTTTCACCGTAGGTGTCAAGGCCCTCCAAATGTCCACTTCCAGATACTACAAAAAGAGTGTTTCAAACCTACTCTGTGAAAGGGAATATTCAACTCTGTGACTTGAATGCACATATCACAAAGAAGTTTCTGAGAATGCTTCTGTCGAGATTTTATATGAAGATATTCCCGTTTCCAACGAAATCCAGGAATGTATCCAAATATCCCCTCGCAGATTCTACAAAAAGAGTGTTTCAAAACTGCTCTGTAAAAAGAAAGGTTCAACTCTGTTAGTTGAGTGCACACATCACAAACAAGTTTCACAGAATGCTTCTTTCTAGCTTGTAGGGGAAGATATTCCCTTTATCACCATGGGCCTCAAACCGTCCGAAACGTCCACTTCCATATACTACAAAAAGAGCGTTTCAAACCTGCTCTATGAAAGGCAATGTTCAACTCTGTGACTTGAATACAGACGTCGCAGAGCAGTTCCTGAGAATGCTTCTGTCTAGATTTTATAGGAAGATATTCCCGTTTCCAACGAAATCTTCACAGGTATCCAAATATCCACTTGCAGATTCTACAAAAAGAGTGTATCAAAACTGCTCTGTCAAAAGGAAGGTTCTTCTGTGTTACGTGAGTGCATACGTCATAAAGGAGTTTCTGAGAATGTTTCTGTCTAGTGGTTATGGGAAGATATTTGCTTTTTCACCGTAGGCCTCAGAGCGCTCCAAATATCCACTTGCACATACTACAAAAAGAGTGCTTCAAAGCTGTTCTCTGTAACGGAATGTTCAACTCTATGAGTTGAATGCAAACATCACAAAGACGTTTCTGAGAATGCTTCTGTCTAGACTTGATATGAAGATATTCCCGTTTCCTACGAAATCTTCAAATCTATCCAAATGTCCACTTGCAGATTCAACAAAAAGTGTTTTTCAGAACTTCTCTATCAAAAGAAAGATCCACCTCTGTTAGCTGAGTTCACACATCACAAACAAGTTTATGAGAATGCTTCTGTCTAGTTTTTATTTGAAGATATTTCCTTTCTCACCATAGACCTGAAAGCTGTCCTAATGTTCACTTCCAGATACTACAGAAAGAGTGTTTCAAAACTGCTGTACGAAAGGGAATGTTCAACACTGTGACTTGAATGCACACATCACAAAGAAGTTTACTGAGGATGCTGCTGTCTACTTATTATACGTAATCCCGTTTCCAACGAAATCCTCCAAGCTATCCAAATATCCACTTGCAGATTCCACAGAAAGGCTGTTTCAAAACTGCTCTGTCAATAGAAAGGTTCAACTCTGTTAGCTGCGTGCATATATCCCAAAGAAGATTCTGAGATTGCTTCTGTCTAGTTTTTATGGGAAGATATTTCCCTTTTCACCGTAGGTGTCAAGGTGCTCAAAATGTCCACTTCCAGATACTACAAGAAGAGTGTTTCAAACCTACTCTGTGAAAGGCAATATTCAACTCTGTGACTTGAATGCAGATATCACAAAGAAGTTTCTGAGAATGCTTCTGTCGAGTATTTTATATGAAGATATTCCCGTTTCCAACGAAATCCTGTAATCTATCCAAATATCCCCTCGCAGATTCTACAAAAAGAGTGTTTCAAAACTGCTCTGTAAAAAGAAAGGTTCAACTCTGTTAGTTGAGTACACACCTCACAAACAAGTTTCACAGAATGCTTCTTTCTAGCTTGTAGGGGAAGATATTCCCTTTATCACCATGGGCCTCAAACCGTCCGAAACGTCCACTTCCATATACTACAAAAAGAGCGTTTCAAACCTGCTCTAGGAAAGGCAATGTTCAACTCTGTGACTTGAATGCAGACATCACAGAGCAGTTTTCTGAGAATGCTTCTGTCTAGATTTTATAGGAAGATATTCCCGTTTCCAACGAAATCTTCACAGCTATCCAAATATCCACTTGCAGATTCTACAAAAAGAGTGTACCAAAACTGCTCTGTCAAAAGGAAGGTTCTTCTCTGTTAGGTGAGTGCATACGTCATAAAGGAGTTTCTGAGAATGTTTCTGTTAGTGGTTATGGGAAGATATTTGCTTTTTCACTGTAGGCCTCAGAGCGCTCCAAATATCCACTTGCACATACTACAAAAAGAGTGCCTCAAAGCTGCTCTCTGAAACGGAATGTTCAACTCTATGAGTTGAATGCAAACATCGCAAAGACGTTTCTGAGAATGCTTCTGTCTAGATTTGATATGACGATATTCCCGTTTCCAACGAAATCTTCAAATCTATCCAAATGTCCACTTGCAGATTTAACAAAACGTGTTTTTCAGAACTGCTCTATCAAAAGAAAGATCCACCTCTGTTAGCTGAGTTCACACATCACAAACAAGTTTATGAGAATGCTTCTGTCTACTTTTTATTTGAAGATATTTCCTTTCTCACCATAGACCTGAAAGCTGTCCTAATGTTCACTTCCAGATACTACAGAAAGAGTGTTTCAAAACTGCTGTACGAAAGGGAATGTTCAACTCTGTGACTTGAATGCACACATCACAAGGAAGTTTCTCAGGATGCTGCTGTCTACTTTTTATACGTAATCCCGTTTCCAACGAAATCCTCCAAGCTATCCAAATATCCACTTGCAGATTCCACAGAAAGACTGTTTCAAAACTGCTATGTCAATAGAAAAGTTCAACTCTGTTGGCTGTGTGCATATATCCCAAAGAAAATTCTGAGATTGCTTCTGTCTAGTTTTTATGGGAAGATATTTCCCTTTTCACCGTAGGCGTCAAGGCGCTCCAAATGTCCACTTCCAGATACTACAAAAAGAGTGTTTCAAACCTACTCTGTGAAAGGGAATATTCAACTCGTGTGACTAGAATGCACGTATCACAAAGAAGTTTCTGAGAATGCTTCTGTCGAGATTTTATATGAAGATATTCCCGTTTCCAACGAAATCCTGAAATCTATCCAAATATCCCCTCGCAGATTCTACAAAAAGAGTGTTTCAAAACTGCTCTGTAAAAAGAAAGGTTCAACTCTGTTATTGAGTACACACATCACAAACAAGTTTCACACAATGCTTCTTTCTAGCTTGTAGGGGAAGATATTCCCTTTATCACCATGGGCCTCAAACCGTCCGAAACGTCCACTTCCATATACTACAAAAAGAGCGTTTCAAACCTGCTCTATGAAAGGCAATGTTCAACTCTGTGACTTGAATGCAGACATCACACAGCAGTTTCTGAGAATGCTTCTGTCTAGATTTTATAGGAAGATATTCCCGTTTCCAACGAAATCTTCACAGCTATCCAAATATCCACTTGCAGATTCTACAAAAAGAGTGTATCAAAACTGCTCTGTCAAAAGGAAGGTTCTTCTCTGTTAGGTGAGTGCATACGTTTAAAGGTGTTTCTGAGAATGTTTCTGTCTAGTGGTTATGGGAAGATATTTGCTTTTTCACCGTAGGCCTCAGAGCGCTCCAAATATCCACTTGCACATACTACAAAAAGAGTGCTTCAAAGCTGGTCTCTGAAACGGAATGTTCAACTCTATGAGTTGAATGCAAACATCACAAAGACGTTTTCTGAGAATGCTTCTGTCTAGATTTGATATGAAGATATTCCCGTTTCCAAGGGAAATCTTCAAATCTATCCAAATGTCCACTTGCAGATTCAACAAAAAGTGTTTTTCAGAACTGCTCTATCAAAAGAAAGATCCACTTCTGTTAGCTGAGTTCACACATCACAAACAAGTTTATGAGAATGCTTCTGTCTAGTTTTTATTTGAAGATATTTCCTTTCTCACCATAGACCTGAAAGCTGTCCTAGTGTTCACTTCCAGATACTACAGAAAGAGTGTTTCAAAACTGATGTACGAAAGGGAATGTTCAACTCTGTGACTTGAATGCACACATCACAAAGTAGTTTCTGAGGATGCTGCTGTCTACTTATTATACGTAATCCCGTTTCCAACGAAATCCTCCAAGCTATCCAAATATCCACTTGCAGATTCCACAGAAAGACTCTTTCAAAACTGTTCTGTCAATAGAAAGGTTCAACTCTGTTAGCTGCGTGCATATATCCCAAAGAAGATTCTGAGATTGCTTCTGTCTAGTTTTTATGGGAAGATATTTCCCTTTTCACCGTAGGCGTCAAGGCGCTCCAAATGTCCACTTCCAGATACTACAAAAAGAGTGTTTCAAACCTACTCTGTGAAAGGGAATATTCAACTCTGTGACTAGAATGCACATATCACAAAGAAGTTTCTGAGAATGCATCTGTCGAGATTTTATATGAAGATATTCCCGTTTCCAACGAAATGCTGAAATCTATCCAAATATCCGCTCGCAGATTCTACAAAAAGAGTGTTTCAAAACTGCTCTGTAAAAAGAAAGGTTCAACTCTGTTAGTTGAGTACACACATCACAAACAAGTTTCACAGAATGCTCTTTCTAGCTTGTAGGGGAAGATATTCCCTTTATCACCATGGGCCTCCAACCGTCCGAAACATCCACTTACATATACTACAAAAAGAGCGTTTCAAACCTGCTCTATGAAAGGCAATGTTCAACTCTGTGACTTGAATGCAGACATCACAGAGCAGTTTCTGAGAATGCTTTCTGTCTAGATTTTATAGGAAGATATTCCCGTTTCCAACGAAATCTTCACAGCTATCCAAATATCCACTTGCAGATTCTACAAAAAGAGTGTATCAAAAGTGCTCTGTCAAAAGGAAGGTTCTTCTCTGTTAGGTGAGTGCATACGTCATAAAGGAGTTTCTGAGAATGTTTCTGTCTAGTGGTTATGGGAAGATACTTGCTTTTTCACCGTAGGCCTCAGAGCGCTCCAAATATCCCCTTGCACATACTACAAAAAGAGTGCTTCAAAGCTGCTCTCTGAAACGGAATGTTCAACTCTATGAGTTGAATGCAAACATCACAAAGACGTTTCTGGGAATGCTTCTGTCTAGATTTGATATGAAGATATTCCCGTTTCCAACGAAATCTTCAAATCTATCCAAATGTCCACTTGCAGATTCAACAAAAGTGTTTTTCAGAACTGCTCTATCAAAAGAAAGATCCACCTCTGTTAGCTGAGTTCACACATCACAAACAAGTTTATGAGAATGCTTCTGTCTAGTTTTTATTTGAAGATATTTCCTTTCTCACCATAGACCTGAAAGCTGTCCTAATGTTCACTTCCAGTTACTACAGAAAGAGTGTTTCAAAACTGCTGTACGAAAGGGAATGTTCAACTCTGTGACTTGAATGCACACATCACAAAGAAGCTTCTGAGGATGCTGCTGTCTACTTTTTATACGTAATCCCGTTTCCAACGAAATCCTCCAAGCTATCCAAATATCCACTTGCAGATTCCACAGAAAGACTGTTTCAAAACTGCTCTGTCAATAGAAAGGTTCAACTCTGTTAGCTGGGTGCATATATCCCAAAGAAGATTCTGAGATTACTTCTGTCTACGTTTTTATGAGAAGATATTTCCCTTTTCACCGTAGGCGTCAAGGCGCTCCAAATGTCCACTTCCAGATACTACAAAAAGAGTGTTTCAAACCTACTCTGTGAAAGGGAATATTGAACTCTGTGACTTGAATGCACATATCAAAAAGAAGCTTCTGAGAATGCTTCTGTCGAGATTTTATATGAAGATATTCCCGTTTCCAATGAAATCCTGAAATCTATCCAAATATCCCCTCGCAGATTCTACAAAAAGAGTGTTTCAAAACTGCTCTGTAAAAAGAAAGGTTCAACTCTGTTAGTTGAGTACACACATCACAAACAAGTTTCACAGAATGCTATCTTTCTAGCTTGTAGGGGAAGATATTCCCTTTATCACCATGGGCCTCAAACAGTCTGAAACGTCCACTTCCATATACTACAAAAAGAGCATTTCAAACCTGCTCTATGAAAGGCAATGTTCAACTCTGTGACTTGAATGCAGACATCACAGAGCAGTTTCTGAGAATGCTTCTGTCTAGGTATTATAGGAGGATATTCCCGTTTCCAACGAAATCTTCACAGCTATCCAAATATCCACTTGCAGATTCTACAAAAAGAGTGTATCAAAACTGCTCTGTCAAAAGGAAGGTTCTTCTCTGTTAGGTGAGTGCATACGTCATAAAGGAGTTTCTGAGAATGTTTCTGTCTAGTGGTTATGGGAAGATATTTGCTTTTTCACCGTAGGCCTCAGAGCGCTCCAAATATCCACTTGCACATACTACAAAAAGAGTGCTTCAAACCTGCTCTCTGAAAGGGAATGTTCAACTCTATGAGTTGAATGCAAACATGACAAAGACGTTTCTGAGAATGCTTCTGTCTAGATTTGATATGAAGATATTCCCGTTTCCAACGAAATCTTCAAATCTATCCAAATGTCCACTTGCAGATTCAACAAAAAATGTTTTTCAGAACTGCTCTATCAAAAGAAAGATCCACCTCTGTTAGCTGAGTTCACACATCACAAACAAGTTAATGAGAATGCTTTCTGTCTAGTTTTTATTTGAAGATATTTCCTTTCTCACCATAGACCTGAAGCTGTCCTAATGTTCACTTCCAGATACTACAGAAAGAGTGTTTCAAAACTGCTGTACGAAAGGGAATGTTCAACTCTGTGACTTGAATGCACACATCACAAAGAAGTTTCTGAGGATGCTGCTGTCTACTTTTGATACGTAATCCCGTTTCCAACGAAATCCTCCAAGCTACCAAATATCCACTTGCAGATTCCACAGAAAGACTGTTTCAAAACTGCTCTGTCAATAGAAAGGTTCAACTCTGTTAGCTGCGTGCATATATCCCAAAGAAGATTCTGAGATTGCTTCTGTCTAGTTTTTATGGGAAGATATTTCCCTTTTCACCGTAGGCGTCAAGGCGCTCCAAATGTCCACTTCCAGATACTACAAAAAGAGTGTTTCAAACCTACTCTGTGAAAGGGAATATTCAACCCTGTGACTTGAAGGCAGATATCACAAAGAAGTTTCTGAGAATGCTTCTGTCGAGATTTTATATGAAGATATTCCCGTTTCCAACGAAATCCTGTAATCTATCCAAATATCCCCTCGCAGATTCTACAAAAAGAGTGTTTCAAAACTGCTCTGTAAAAAGAAAGGTTCAACTCTGTTAGTTGAGTACACACCTCACAAACAAGTTTCACAGAATGCTTCTTTCTAGCTTGTAGGGGAAGATATTCCCTTTATCACCATGGGCCTCAAACCGTCCGAAACGTCCACTTCCATATACTACAAAAAGAGCATTTCAAACCTGCTCTAGGAAAGGCAATGTTCAACTCTGTGACTTGAATGCAGACATCGCAGAGCAGTTTCTGAGAATGCTTCTGTCTAGATTTTATAGGAAGATATTCCCGTTTCCAACGAAATCTTCACAGGTATCAAAATATCCACTTGCAGATTCTACAAAAAGAGTGTATCAAAACTGCTCTGTCAAAAGGAAGGTTCTTCTCTGTTAGGTGAGTGCATACGTCATAAAGGAGTTTCTGAGAATGTTTCTGTCTAGTGGTTATGGGAAGATATTTGCTTTTTCACCGTAGGCCTCAGAGCGCTCCAAATATCCGCTTGCACATACTACAAAAAGAGTGCTTCAAAGCTGCTCTCTGAAACGGAATGTTCAACTCTATGAGTTGAATGCAAACATGACAAAGACGTTTCTGAGAATGCTTCTGTCTAGATTTGATATGAAGATATTCCCGTTTCCAAGGAAATCTTCAAATCTATCCAAATGTCCACTTGCAGATTCTACAAAAATTGTTTTTCAGAACTGCTCTATCAAAAGAAAAATCCACGTGTGTTAGCTGAGTTCACACATCACAAACAAGTTTATGAGAATGCTTCTGTCTAGTTTTTATTTGAAGATATTTCCTTTCTCACCATAGACCTGAAAGCTGTCCTAATGTTCACTTCCAGTTACTACAGAAAGAGTATTTCAAAACTGCTGTACGAAAGGGAATGTTCAACTCTGTGACTTGAATGCACACATCACAAAGAAGTTTGCTGAGGATGCTGCTGTCTACTTTTTATACGTAATCCCGTTTCCAAAGAAATCCTCCAAGCTATCCAAATATCCACTTGCAGATTCCACAGAAAGACTGTTTCAAAACGGGTCTGTCAATAGAAAGGTTCAACTCTGTTAGCTGCGTACATATATCCCAAAGAAGATTCTGAGATTGCTTCTGTCTACTTTTTATGAGAAGATATTTCCCTGTTCACCGTAGGCGTCAAGGCGCTCCAAATGTTCACTTCCAGATACTACAAAAAGAGTGTTTCAAACCTACTCTGTAAAAGGGAATATTCAACTCTGTGACTTGAATGCACATATCACAAAGAAGTTTCTGAGAATGCTTCTGTCGAGATTTTATATGAAGATATTCCCGTTTCCAACGAAATCCTGAAATCTATCCAAATATCCCCTCGCAGATTGTACAAAAAGAGTGTTTCAAAACTGCTCTGTAAAAAGAAAGGTTCAACTCTGTTAGTTGAGTACACACATCACAAACAAGTTTCACAGAATGCTTCTTTCTAGCTTGTAGGGGAAGATATTCCCTTTATCACCAAGGGCCTCAAACCGTCCGAAACGTCCACTTCCATATACTACAAAAACAGCATTTCAAACCTGCTCTAGGAAAGGCAATGTTCAACTCTGTGACTTGAATGCAGACATCACAGAGCAGTTTCTGAGAATGCTTCTGTCTAGATTTTATAGGAAGATATTCCTCGTTTCCAACGAAATCTTCACAGCTATCCAAATATCCACTTGCAGATTCTACAAAAAGAGTGTATCAAAACTGCTCTGTGAAAAGGAAGGTTCTTCTCTGTTAGGTGAGTGCATACGTCATAAAGGAGTTTCTGAGAATGTTTCTGTCTAGTGGTTATGGGAAGATATTTGCTTTTTCACCTTAGGCCTCAGAGAGCTCCAAATATCCACTTGCACATACTACAAAAAGAGTGCTTCAAAGCTGCTCTCTGAAAGGGAATGTTCAACTCTGTGAGTTGAATGCAAACATCACAAAGACGTTTCTGACAATGCTTTCTGTCTAGATTTGATATGAAGATATTCCCGTTTCCAACGAAATCTTCAAATCTATCCAAATGTCCATTTGCAGATTCAACAAAAAGAGTTTTTCAAAACTGTTATATCAAAAGAAAGATCCACATCTGTTAGCTGAGTTCACACATCACAAACAAGTTTAAGAGAATGCTTCTGTCTAGTTTTTATTTGAAGATATTTCCTTTCTCACCATAGACCTGAAAGCTGTCCTAATGTTCACTTCCAGATACTACAGAAAGAGTGTTTCAAAACTGCTGTATGAAAGGGAATGTTCAACTCTGTGACTTGAATGCAGACATCACAGAGCAGTTTCTGAGAATGCTGCTGTCTACTTTTTATACGTAATCCCGTTTCCAACGAAATCCTCCAAGCTATCCAAATATCCACTTGCAGATTCCACAGAAAGACTGTTTCAAAACTGCTCTGTCAATAGAAAGGTTCAACTCTGTTAGCTGCGTACATATATCCCAAAGAAGATTCTGAGATTGCTTCTGTCTACTTTTTATGAGAAGATATTTCCCTTTTCACCGTAGGCGTCAAGGCGCTCTAAATGTCCACTTCCAGATACTAGAAAAAGAGTGTTTCAAACCTACTCTGTGAAAGGGAATATTCAACTCTGTGACTTGAATGCACATATCACAAAGAAGCTTCTGAGAATGCTTCTGTCGAGATTTTATATGAAGATATTCCGGTTTCCAACAAAATCCTGAAATCTATCCAAATATCCCCTCGCAGATTCTACAAAAAGAGTGTTTCAAAACTGCTCTGTAAAAAGAAAGGTTCAACTCTGTTAGTTGAGTACACACATCACAAACAAGTTTCACAGAATGCTTCTTTCTAGCTTGTAGGGGAAGATATTCCCTTTATCACCATGGGCCTCCAACCGTCCGAAACATCCACTTCCATATACTACAAAAAAGCGTTTCAAACCTGCTCTATGAAAGGCAATGTTCAACTCTGTGACTTGAATGCAGACATCACAGAGCAGTTTCTGAGAATGCTTCTGTCTAGATTTTATAGGAAGATATTCCCGATTCCAACGAAATCTTCACAGCTATCCAAATATCCACTTGCAGATTCTACAAAAAGAGTGTATCAAAACTGCTCTGTCAAAAGGAAGGTTCTTCTCTGTTAGTTGAGTACAAACGTCATAAAGGAGTTTCTGAGAATGTTTCTGTCTAGTGGTTATGGGAAGATATTTGCTTTTTCCCCGTAGGCCTCAGGGCGCTCCAAATGTCCACTTGCACATGCTACAAAAAGAGTGCTTCAAAGCTGCCTCTCTGAAAGGGAATGTTCAACTCTATGAGTTGAATGCAAACATCACAAAGACGTTTCTGAGAATGCTTCTGTCTAGATTTGATATGAAGATATTCCCGTTTCCAACGAAATCTTCAAATCTATCCAAATGTCCACTTGCAGATTCAACAAAAAGTGTTTTTCAGAACTGCTCTATCAAAAGAAAGATCCACCTCTGTTAGCTGAGTTCACACAACACAAACAAGTTTATGAGAATGCTTCTGTCTAGTTTTTATTTGAAGATATTTCCTTTCTCACCATAGACCTGAAAGCTGTCCTAATGTTCACTTCCAGATACTACAGAAAGAGTGTTTCAAAACTGCTGTACGAAAGGGAATGTTCAACTCTTTGACTTGAATGCACACATCACAAAGAAGTTTCTGAGGATGCTGCTGTCTACTTTTTATACGTAATCCCGTTTCCAACGAAATCCTCCAAGCTATCCAAATATCCACTTGCAGATTCCACAGAAAGACTGTTTCAAATCTGCTCTGTCAATAGAAAGGTTCAACTCTGTTAGCTGCGTGCATATATCCCAAAGATGATTCTGAGATTTCTTCTGTCTAGTTTTGATGGGAAGATATTTCCCTTTTCACCGTAGGCGTCAAGGCGCTCCAAATGTCCACTTCCAGATACTACAAAAAGAGTGTTTCAAACCTACTCTGTGAAAGGGAATATTCAACTCTGTGACTTGAATGCACATATCACAAGGAAGTTTCTGAGAATGCTTCTGTCGCGATTTTATATGAAGATATTCCCCTTTCCAACGAAATCCTGAAATCTATCCAAATATCCCCTCGCAGATTCTACAAAAAGAGTGTTTCAAAACTGCTCTGTAAAAAGAAAGGTTCAACTCTGTTAGTTGAGTACACACATCACAAACAAGTTTCACAGAATGCTTCTTTCTAGCTTGTAGGGGAAGATATTCCCTTTATCACCATGGGCCTCAAACCGTCCGAAAAGTCCACTTCCATATACTACAAAAAGAGCATTTCAAACCTGCTCTATGAAAGGCAATGTTCAACTCTGTGACTTGAATGCAGACATCACAGAGCAGTTTCTGAGAATGCTTCTGTCCAGACTTTATAGGAAGATATTCCCGTTTCCAACGAAATCTTCACAGCTATCCAAATATCCACTTGCAGATAGTACAAAAAGAGTGTATCAAAAATGCTCTATCAAAAGGAAAGTTCTTCTCTGCTAGTTGAGTACATACGTCATAAAGAAGTTTCTGAGAATGTTTCTGTCTAGTGGTTATGGGAAGATATTTGCTTTTTCACCGTAGGCCTCAGAGCGCTCCAAATATCCCCTTGCACATACTACAAAAAGAGTGCTTCAAAGCTGCTCTCTGAAAGGGAATGTTCAACTCTAAGAGTTGAATGCAAACATCACAAAGACGTTTCTGAGAATGCTTCTGTCTAGATTTGATATGAAGATATTCCCGTTTCCAAAGAAATCTTCAAATCTATCCAAATGTCCACTTGCAGATTCAACAAAAAGTGTTTTTCAGAACTGCTCTATCAAAAGAAAGATCCACGTGTGTTAGCTGAGTTCACACATCACAAACAAGTTTATGAGAATGCTTCTGTCTAGATTTGATATGAAGATATTCCCGTTTCCAACGAAATCTTCAAATCTATCCAAATGTCCACTTGCAGATTCAACAAAAAGTGTTTTTCAGAACTGCTCTATCAAAAGAAAGATCCACGTGTGTTAGTTGAGTTCACACATCACAAACAAGTTTATGAGAATGCTTGCTGTCTACTTTTATACCTAATCCCGTTTCCAACGAAATCCTCCAAGCTATCCAAATATCCACTTGCAGATTCCACAGAAAGACTGTTTCAAAACTGCTCTGTCAATAGAAAGGTTCAACTCTGTTAGCTGCGTGCATATATCCCAAAGAAGATTCTGAGATTGCTTCTGTCTAGTTTTTATGGGAAGATATTTCCCTTTTCACCGTAGGTGTCAAGGCGCTCCAAATGTCCACTTCCAGATACTACAAAAAGAGTGTTTCAAACCTACTCTGTGAAAGGGAACATTCAACTCTGTGACTTGAATGCACATATCACAAAGAAGTTTCTGAGAATGCTTCTGTCGAGATTTTATATGAAGATATTCCCCTTTCCAACGAAATCCTGAAATCTATCCAAATATCCCCTCGCAGATTCTACAAAAAGCGTGTTTCAAAACTGCTCTGTAAAAAGAAAGGTTCAACTCTGTTAGTTGAGTACACACATCACAAACAAGTTTCACAGAATGCTTCTTTCTAGCTTGTAGGGGAAGATATACCCTTTATCACCATGGGCCTCAAACCGTCCGAAAAGTCCACTTCCATATACTACAAAAAGAGCGTTTCAAACCTGCTCTATGAAAGGCAATGTTCAACTCTGTGACTTGAATGCAGACATCACAGAGCAGTTTCTGAGAATGCTTCTGTCTAGATTTTATAGGAAGATATTCCCGTTTCCAACGAAATCTTCACAGCTATCCAAATATCCACTTGCAGATTCTACAAAAAGAGTGTATCAAAACTGCTCTGTCAAAAGGAAGGTTCCTTTCTGTTAGGTGAGTGCATACGTCATAAAGGAGTTTCTGAGAATGTTTCTGTCTAGTGGTTATGGGAAGATATTTGCTTTTTCACCGTAGGCCTCAGAGCGCTCCAAATATCCACTTGCACATACTACAAAAAGAGTGCCTCAAAGCTGCTCTCTGAAACGGAATGTTCAACTCTATGAGTTGAATGCAAACATCACAAAGACGTTTCTGAGAATGCCTCTGTCTAGATTTGATATGAAGATATTCCCGTTTCCAACGAAATCTTCAAATCTATCCAAATGTCCACTTGCAGATTCAACAAAAAGAGTTTTTCAGAACTGCTCTATCAAAAGAAAGATCCACCTCTGTTAGCTGAGTTCACACATCACAAACAAGTTTATGAGAATGCTTCTGTCTAGTTTTTATTTGAAGATATTTCTTTTCTCACCATAGACCTGAAAGCTGTCGTAATGTTTACTTCCAGATACTACAGAAAGAGTGTTTCAAAACTAATGTACGAAACGGAATGTTCAACTCTGTGACTTGAATGCACACATCACAAAGAAGTTTCTGAGGATGCTGCTGTCTACTTTTTATACGTAATCCCGTTTCCAACGAAATCCTCCAAGCTATCCAAATATCCACTTGCAGATTCCACAGAAAGACTGTTTCAAAACTGCTCTGTCAATAGAAAGGTTCAACTCTGTTAGCTGCGTGCATATATCCCAAGAAGATTCTGAGATGGCTTCTGTCTAGTTTTTATGGGAAGATATTTCCTTTTTCACCGTAGGCGTCAAGGCGCTCCAAATGTCCACTTCCAGATACTACAAAAAGAGTGTTTCAAACCTACTCTGTGAAAGGGAATATTCAACTCTGTGACTTGAATGCACATATCACAAGGAAGTTTCTGAGAATGCTTCTGTCGAGAATTTATATGAAGATATTCCCGTTTCCAACGAAATCCTGAAATCTCTCCAAATATCCCCTCGCAGATTCTACAAAAAGAGTGTTTCAAAACTGCTCTGTAAAAAGAAAGGTTCAACTCTGTTAGTTGAGTACACACATCACAAACAAGTTTCACAGAATGCTTCTTTCTAGCTTGTAGGGGAAGATATTCCCTTTATCACAATGGGCCTCAAACCGTCCGATAAGTCCACTTCCATATACTACAAAAAGAGCGTTTCAAACCTGCTCTATGAAAGGCAATGTTCAACTCTGTGACTTGAATGCAGACATCACAGAGCAGTTTCTGAGAATGCTTCTGTCTAGATTTTATAGGAAGATATTCCCGTTTCCAACGAAATCTTCACAGCTATCCAAATATCCACTTGCAGATTCTACAAAAAGAGTGTATCAAAACTGCTCTGTCAAAAGGAAGGTTCTTCTCTGTTAGGTGAGTACATACCGTCATAAAGGAGTTTCTGAGAATGT
The DNA here is from genome assembly GCF_000001405.40 of Homo sapiens. NCBI lineage: Eukaryota > Metazoa > Chordata > Mammalia > Primates > Hominidae > Homo > Homo sapiens. The sequence continues at coordinate 17,251,061 of NC_000014.9, read as the reverse complement.
TTCCATCTAGTGGTTATGGGAAGATATTTGCTTTTTCACCGAAGGCCTCAGAGCGCTCCAAATATCCACTTGCACATACTACAAAAAGAGTGCCTCAAAGCTGCTCTCTGAAACGGAATGTTCAACTCTATGAGTTGAATGCAAACATCGCAAAGACGTTTCTGAGAATGCTTCTGTCTAGATTTGATATGAAGATATTCCCGTTTCCAACGAAATCTTCAAATCTATCCAAATGTCCACTTGCAGATTCAACAAAAAGTGTTTTTCAGAACTGCTCTATCAAAAGAAAGATCCACCTCTGTTAGCTGAGTTCAGACATCGCAAACATGTTTATGAGAATGCTTCTGTCTAGTTTTTATTTGAAGATATTTCCTTTCTCACCATAGACCTGAAAGCTGTCCTAATGTTCACTTCCAGATACTACAGAAAGAGTGTTTAAAAACTGCTGTACGAAAGGGAATGTTCAACTCTGTGACTTGAATGCACACATCACAAAGAAGTTTCTGAGGATGCTGCTGTCTACTTTTTATACGTAATCCCGTTTCCAACGAAATCCTCCAAGCTATCCAAATATCCACTTCCAGATTCCACAGAAAGACTGTTTCAAAACTGCTCTGTCAATAGAAAGGTTCAACTCTGTTAGCTGCGTGCATATATCCCAAAGAAGATTCTGAGATTGCTTCTGTCTAGTTTTTATGGGAAGATATTTCCCTTTTCACCGTAGGCGTCAAGGCGCTCCAAATGTCCACTTCCAGATACTACAAAACGAGTGTTTCAAACCTACTCTGTGAAAGGGAATATTCAACTCTGTGACTTGAATGCACATATCAGAAGGAAGTTTCTGAGAATGCTTCCGTCGAGATTTTATATGAAGATATTCCCGTTTCCAACGAAATCCTGAAATCTATCCAAATATCCGCTCGCAGATTCTACAAAAAGAGTGTTTCAAAACTGCTCTGTGAAAAGAAAGGTTCAACTCTGTTAGTTGAGTACACACATCACAAACAAGTTTCACAGAATGCTTCTTTCTAGCTTGTAGGGGAAGATATTCCCTTTATCACCATGGGCCTCAAACCGTCCGATAAGTCCACTTCCATATACTACAAAAAGAGCGTTTCAAACCTGCTCTATGAAAGGCAATGTTCAACTCCGTGACTTGAATGCAGACATCACAGAGCAGTTTCTGAGAATGCTTCTGTCTAGATTTTATAGGAAGATATTCCCGTTTCCAACGAAATCTTCACAGCTATCCAAATATCCACTTGCAGATTCTACAAAAAGAGTGTATCAAAAATGCTCTGTCAAAAGGAAGGTTCTTCTCTGTTAGTTGAGTACATACGTCATAAAGGAGTTTCTGAGAATGTTTCTGTCTAGTGGTTATGGGAAGATATTTGCTTTTTCACCGTAGGCCTCAGAGCGCTCCAAATATCCACTTGCACATACTACAAAAAGAGTGCCTCAAAGCTGCTCTCTGAAACGGAATGTGCAACTCTATGAGTTGAATGCAAACATCGCAAAGACGTTTCTGAGAATGCTTCTGTCTAGATTTGATATGAAGATATTCCCGTTTCCAACGAAACCTTCAAATCTATCCAACTGTCCTCTTGCAGATTCAACAAAAAGTGTTTTTCAGAACTGCTCTATCAAAAGAAAGATCCACGTGTGTTAGCTGAGTTCACACATCACGAACAAGTTTATGAGAATGCTTCTGTCTAGTTTTTATTTGAAGATATTTCCTTTCTCACCATAGACCTGAAAGCTGTCCTAATGTTCACTTCCAGATACTACAGAAAGAGTGTTTCAAAACTGCTGTATGAAAGGGAATGTTCAACTCTGTGACTTGAATGCACACATCACAAATAAGTTTCTGAGGATGCTGCTGTCTACTTTTTATACATAATCCCGTTTCCAACGAAATCCTCCAATCTATCCAAATATCCACTTGCAGATTCCACAGAAAGACTGTTTCAAAACTGCTCTGTCAATAGAAAGGTTCAACTCTGTTAGCTGCGTGCATATATCCCAAAGAAGATTCTGAGATTGCTTCTGTCTAGTTTTTATGGGAAGATATTTCCCTTTTCACCGTAGGCGTCAAGGCGCTCCAAATGTCCACTTCCAGATACTACAAAAAGAGTGTTTCAAACCTACTCTGTGAAAGGGAATATTCAACTCTGTGACTTGAATGGAGATATCACAAAGAAGTTTCTGAGAATGCTTCTGTCGAGATTTTATATGAAGATAATCCCCTTTCCAACGAAATTCTGAAATCTATCCAAATATGCCCTCGCAGATTCTACAAAAAGAGTGTTTCAAAACTGCTCTGTAAAAAGAAAGGTTCAACTCTGTTAGTTGAGTACACACATCACAAACAAGTTTCACAGAATGCTTCTTTCTAGCTTGTAGGGGAAGATATTCCCTTTATCACCATGGGCCTCAAACCGTCCGAAACGTCCACTTCCATATACTACAAAAAGAGTGTTTCAAACCTGCTCTATGAACGGCAATGTTCAACTCTGTGACTTGAATGCAGACATCACAGAGCAGTTTCTGAGAATGCTTCTGTCCAGAGTTTATAGGAAGATATTCCCGTTTCCAACGAAATCTTCACAGCTATTCAAATATCCACTTGCAGATACTAAAAAAGTGTATCAAAAATGCTCTGTCAAAAGGAAAGCTCTTCTCTGCTAGTTGAGTACATTCGTCATAAAGAAATTTCTGAGAATGTTTCTGTCTAGTGGTTATGGGAAGATATTTGCTTTTTCCCCGTAGGCCTCAGGGCGCTCCAAATGTCCACTTGCACATGCTACAAAAAGAGTGCTTCAAAGCTGCTCTCTGAAAGGGAATGTTCAACCCTATGAGTTGAATGCAAACATCACAAAGACGTTTCTGAGAATGCTTCTGTCTAGATTTGATATGAAGATATTCCCGTTTCCAACGAAATCTTCAAATCTATCCAAATGTCCACTTGCAGATTCAACAAAGTGTTTTTCAAAACTGCTGTATCAAAAGAAACATCCACCTCTGTTAGCTGAGTTCACACTTCACAAACAAGTTTATCAGAATGCTTCTGTCTAGTTTTTATTTGAAGATATTTCCTTTCTCACCATAGACCTGAAAGCTGTCCTAATGTTCAATTCCAGATACTACAGAAAGAGTGTTTCAAAACTGCTGTACGAAAGGGAATGTTCAACTCTGTGACTTGAATGCACACATCACAAAGAAGTTTCTGAGGATGCTGCTGTCTACTTTTTATACGTAATCCCGTTTCCAACGAAATCCTCCAAGCTATCCAAATATCCACTTGCAGATTCCACAGAAAGACTGTTTCAAACCTGCTCTGTCAATAGAAAGGTTCAACTCTGTTAGCTGCGTGCATATATCCCAAAGAAGATTCTGAGATTGCTTTCTGTCTAGTTTTTATGGGAAGATATTTCCCTTTTCACCGTAGGTGTCAAGGCGCTCCAAATATCCACTTCCAGATACTACAAAAAGAGTGTTTCAAACCTACTCTGTGAAAGGGAATATTCAACTCTGTGACTTGAATGCACATATCACAAAGAAGTTTCTGAGAATGCTTCTGTCGAGATTTTATATGAAGATATTCCCGTTTCCAACGAAATTCTGAAATGTATCCAAATATCCCCTCGCAGATTCTACAAAAAGAGTGTTTCAAAACTGCTCTGTAAAAAGAAAGGTTCAGCTCTGTTAATTGAGTACACACATCACAAACAAGTTTCACACAATGCTTCTTTCTAGCTTGTAGGGGAAGATATTCCGTTTATCACCATGGGCCTCAAACCGTCCGAAACGTCTACTTCCATATACTACAAAAAGAGCGTTTCAAACCTGCTCTATGAAAAGCAATGTTCAACTCTGTGACTTGAATGCAGACATCACAGAGCAGTTTGCTGAGAATGCTTCTGTATAGATTTTATAGGAAGATATTCCCGTTTCCAACGAAATCTTCACAGCTATCCAAATATCCACTTGCAGATTCTACAAAAAGAGTGTATTCAAACTGCTCTGTCAAAAGGAAGGTTCTTCTCTGTTAGTTGAGTACATACGTCATAAAGGAGTTTCTGAGAATGTTTCTGTCTAGTGGTTATGGGAAGATATTTGCTTTTTCACCTTAGGCCTCAGAGCACTCCAAATATCCCCTTGCAGATACTATAAAAAGAGTGCTTCAAAGCTGCTCTCTGAAACGGAATGTTCAACTCTATGAGTTGAATGCAAACATGACAAAGACGTTTCCGAGAATGCTTCTGTCTAGATTTGATATGACGATATTCCAGTTTCCAACGAAATCTTCAAATCTATCCAAATGTCCACTTGCAGATTCAACAAAAAGTGTTTTTCAGAACTGCTCTATCAAAAGAAAGATCCACCTGTGTTAGCTGAGTTCACACATCACAAACAAGTTTATGAGAATGTTTCTGTCTGGTTTTTATTTGAAGATATTTCTTTTCTCACCATAGACCTGAAAGCTGTCCTAATGTTCACTTCCAGATACTACAGAAAGAGTGTTTCAAAACTGCTGTACGAAAGGGAATGTTCAACTCTGTGACTTGAATGCACACATCACAAAGAAGTTTCTGAGGATGCTGCTGTTCTACTTTTTATACGTAATCCCGTTTCCAACGAAATCCTCCAAGCTATCCAATATCCACTTGCAGATTCCACAGAAAGACTGTTTCAAAACTGCTCTGTCAATAGAAAGGTTCAACTCTGTTAGCTGCGTGCATATATCCCAAAGAAGATTCTGAGATTGCTTCTGTCTAGTTTTTATGGGAAGATATTTCCCTTTTCACCGTAGGCGTCAAAGCGCTCCAAATGTCCACTTCCAGATACTACAAAAAGAGTGTTTCAAACCTACTCTGTGAAAGGGAATATTCAACTCTGTGATTTGAATGCAGATATCACAAAGAAGTTTCTGAGAATGCTTCTATCGAGATTTTCTATGAAGATATTCCCGTTTCCAACGAAATCCTGAAATCTATCCAAATATCCCCTCGCAGATTCTACAAAAAGAGTGTTTCAAAACTGCTCTGTAAAAAGAAAGGTTCAACTCTATTAGTTGAGTACACACATCACAAACAAGTTTCACAGAATGCTTCTTTCTAGCTTGTAGGGGAGATATTCCCTTTAACACCATGGGCCTCAAACCGTCCGAAACGTCCACTTCCATATACTACAAAAAGAGCGTTTCAAACCTGCTCTATGAAAGGCAATGTTCAACTCTGTGACTTGAATGCAGACATCACAGAGCAGTTTCTGAGAATGCTTCTGTCTAGATTTTATAGGAAGATATTCCCGTTTGCAACGAAATCTTCACAGCTATCCAAATATCCACTTGCAGATTCTACAAAAAGAGTGTATCAAAACTGCTCTGTCAAAAGGAAGGTTCTTCTCTGTTAGGTGAGTGCATACGTCATAAAGGAGTTTCTGAGAATGTTTCTGTCTAGTGGTTATGGGAAGATATTTGCTTTTTCACCGTAGGCCTCAGAGCGCTCCAAATATCCACTTGCACATACTACAAAAAGAGTGTTTCAAAGCTGCTCTCTGAAACGGAATGTTCAACTCTATGAGTTGAATGCAAACATGACAAAGACGTTTCTGAGAATGCTTCTGTCTAGATTTGTTATGAAGATATACCCGTTTCCAACGAAATCTTCAAATCTATCCAAATGTCCACTTGCAGATTCAACAAAGTGTTTTTCAAAACTGCTGTATCAAAAGAAAGATCCACTTGTGTTATCTGAGTTCACACTTCACAAACAAGTTTATCAGAATTCTTCTGTCTAGTTTTTATTTGAAGATATTTCCTTTCTCACCATAGACCTGAAAGCTGTCCTAATGTTCACTTCCAGATACTACAGAAAGAGTGTTTCGAAACTGCTGTACGAAAGGGAATGTTCAACTCTGTGACTTGAATGCACACATCACAAAGAAGTTTCTGAGGATGCTGCTGTCTACTTTTTATACGTAATCCCGTTTCCAACGTAATCCTCCAGGCTATCCAAATATCCACTTGCAGATTCCACAGAAAGACTGTTTCAAATCTGCTCTGTCAATAGAAAAGTTCAACTCTATTAGCTGCGTGCATATATCCCAAAGAAGATTCTGAGATTGCTTCTGTCTAGTTTTTATGGGAAGATATTTCCCTTTTCACCGTAGGTGTCAAGGCGCTCCAAATGTCAACTTCCAGATACTACAAAAAGAGTGTTTCAAACCTACTCTGTGAAAGGGAATATTCAACTCTGTGACTTGAATGCACATATCACAAAGAAGTTTCTGAGAATGCTTCTGTCGAGATTTTATATGAAGATATTCCCGTTTCCAACGAAATCCTGAAATCTATCCAATTATCCCCTCGCAGATTCTACAAAAAGAGTGTTTCAAAACTGCTCTGTAAAAAGAAAGGTTCAACTCTGTTAGTTGAGTACACACATCACAAACAAGTTTCACAGAATGCTTCTTTTTAGCTTGTAGGGGAAGATATTCCCTTTATCACCATGGGCCTCCAACCTTCCGAAACATCCAGTTCCATATACTACAAAAAGAGCATTTCAAACCTGCTCTATGAAAGGCAATGTTCAACTCTGTGACTTGAATGCAGACATCACAGAGCAGTTTCTGAGAATGCTTCTGTCTAGAATTTATAAGAAGATATTCCCGTTTCCAACGAAATCTTCACAGCTATCCAAATATCCACTTGCAGATTCTACAAAAAGAGTGTATCAAAAGTGCTCTGTCAAAAGGAAGGTTCTTCTCCGTTAGGTGAGTGCATACGTCATAAAGGAGTTTCTGAGAATGTTTCTGTCTAGTGGTTATGGGAAGATATTTGCTTTTTCACCGTAGGCCTCAGAGCGCTCCAAATATCCACTTGCACATACTACAAAAAGAGTGCTTCAAAGCTGCTCTCTGAAACGTAATGTTCAACTCTATGAGTTGAATGCAAACATCACAAAGACGTTTCCGAGAATGCTTCTGTCTAGATTTGATATGAAGATATTCCCGTTTCCAACGAAATCTTCAAATCTATCCAAATGTCCACTTGCAGATTCAACAAAAAGTGTTTTTCAGAACTGCTCTATCAAAAGAAAGATCCACCTCTGTTAGATGAGTTCACACATCACAAACAAGTTTATGAGAATGCTTCTGTCTAGTTTTTATTTGAAGATATTTCCTTTCTCACCATAGACCTGAAAGCTGTCCTAATGTTCACTTCCAGATACTACAGAAAGAGTGTTTCAAAACTGCTGTACGGAAGGGAATGTTCAACTCTGTGACTTGAATGCACACATCACAAAGAAGTTCCTGAGGACGCTGCTGTCTACTTTTTATGCGTAATCCCGTTTCCAACGAAATCCTCCAAGCTATCCAAATATCCACTTGCAGATTCCACAGAAAGACTGTTTCAAAACTGCTCTGTCAATAGAAAGGTTCAACTCTGTTAGCTGCGTGCATATATCCCAAAGAAGATTCTGAGATTGCTTCTGTCTAGTTTTGATGGGAAGATATTTCCCTTTTCACCGTGGGCGTCAAGGCGCTCCAAATGTCCACTTCCAGATACTACAAAAAGAGTGTTTCAAACCTACTCTGTGAAAGGGAATATTCAACTCTGTGACTTGAATGCACATATCACAAGGAAGTTTCTGAGAATGCTTCTGTCGAGATTTTATATGAAGATATTCCCGTTTCCAACGAAATCCTGAAATCTATCCAAATATCCCCTCGCAGATTCTACAAAAAGAGTGTTTCAAAACTGCTCTCTAAAAAGGAAGGTTCAACTCTGTTAGTTGAGTACACACATCACAAACAAGTTTCACAGAATGCTTCTTTCTAGCTTGTAGGGGAAGATATTCCCTTTATCACCATGGGCCTCAAAGCGTCCGAAACGTCCACTTCCATATACTACAAAAAGAGCGTTTCAAACCTGCTCTAGGAAAGGCAATGTTCAACTCTGTGACTTGAATGCAGACATCACAGAGTAGTTTCTGAGAATGCTTCTGTCTAGATTTTATAGGAAGATATTCCCGTTTCCTACGAAATCTTCACAGCTATCCAAATATCCACTTGCAGATTCTACAAAAAGAGTGTATCAAAACTGCTCTGTCAAAAGGAAGGTTCTTCTCTGTTAGGTGAGTGCATACGTCATAAAGGAGTTTCTGAGAATGTTTCTGTCTAGTGGTTATGGGAAGATATTTGCTTTTTCACCGTAGGCCTCACAGCGCACCAAATATCCACTTGCACATACTACAAAAAGAGTGCCTCAAAGCTGCTCTCTGAAACGGAATGTTCAACTCTATGGGTTGAATGCAAACATCACAAAGACGTTTCTGAGAATGCTTCTGTCTAGATTTGATATGAAGATATTCCCGTTTCCAACGAAATCTTCAAATCTATCCAAATGTCCACTTGCAGATTCAACAAAAAGTGTTTTTCAAAACTGCTGTATCAAAAGAAAGATCCACCTCTGTTAGCTGAGTTCACACATCACAAACAAGTTTATGAGAAAGCTTCTGTCTAGTTTTTATTTGAAGATCTTTCCTTTCTCACCATAGACCTGAAAGCTGTCCTAATGTTCACTTCCAGATACTACAGAAAGAGTGTTTCAAAACTGCTGTACGAAAGGGAATGTTCAACTCTGTGACTTGAATGCACACATCACAAAGAAGTTTCTGAGGATGCTGCTGTCTACTTTTTATACGTAATCCCGTTTCCAAAGAAATCCTCCAAGCTATCCAAATATCCACTTGCAGATTCCACAGAAAGACTGTTTCAAAACGGGTCTGTCAATAGAAAGGTTCAACTACTGTTAGCTGCGTACATATATCCCAAAGAAGATTCTGAGATTGCTTCTGTCTAGTTTTTATGGGAAGATATTTCCCTTTTCACCGTAGGCGTCAAGGCGCTCCAAATGTCCAATTCCAGATACTATAAAAAGAGTGTTTCAAAACTACTCTGTGAAAGAGAATATTCAACTCTGTGACTGGAATGCAGATATCACAAAGAAGTTTCTGAGAATGCTTCTGTCGAGATTTTATATGAAGATATTCCCGTTTCCAACGAAATCCTGAAATCTATCCAAATATCCCCTCGCAGATTCTACAAAAAGAGTGTTTCAAAACTGCTCTGTAAAAAGAAAGGTTCAACTCTGTTAGTTGAGTACACACATCACAAACAAGTTTCAGAGAATGCTTCTTTCTAGCTTGTAGGGGAAGATATTCCCTTTATCACCATGGGCCTCAAACCGTCCGAAACGTCCACCTTCCATATACTACAAAAAGAGCGTTTCAAACCTGCTCTAGGAAAGGCAATGTTCAACTCTGTGACTTGAATGCAGACATCACAGAGCAGTTTCTGAGAATGCTTCTGTCCAGACTTTATAGGAAGATATTCCCGTTTCCAACGAAATCTTCACAGCTATCCAAATATCCACTTGCAGATACTACAAAAGAGTGTATCAAAAATGCTCTGTCAAAAGGAAAGTTCTTCTCTGCTAGTTGAGTACATACGTTATAAAGAAGTTTCTGAGAATGTTTCTGTCTAGTGGTTATGGGAAGATATTTGCTTTTTCCCCGTAGGCCTCAGAGCGCTCCAAATGTCCACTTGCACATGCTACAAAAAGAGTGCTTCAAAGCTGCTCTCTGAAAGGGAATGTTCAACTCTATGAGTTGAATGCAAACAACACAAAGACGTTTCTGAGAATGCTTCTGTCTAGATTTGATATGAAGATATTCCCGTTTCCAACGAAATCTTCAAATCTATCCAAATGTCCACTTGCAGATTCAACAAAAAGTGTTTTTCAGAACTGCTCTATCAAAAGAAAGATCCACCTCTGTTAGCTGAGTTCACACCTCACAAACAACTTTATGAGAATGCTTCTGTCTAGTTTTTATTTGAAGATATTTCCTTTCTCACCATAGACCTGAAAGCTGTCCTAATGTTCACTTCCAGATACTACAGAAAGAGTGTTTCAAAACTGCTGTACGAAAGGGAATGTTCAACTCTGTGACTTGAATGCACACATCAGAAAGAAGTTTCTGAGGATGCTGCTGTCTACGTTTTATACGTAATCCCGTTTCCAACGAAATCCTCCAAGCTATCCAAATATCCACTTGCAGATTCCACAGAAAGACTGTTTCAAAACTGCTCTGTCAATAGAAAGGTTCAACTCTGTTAACTGCGTGCATATATCCCAAAGAAGATTCTGAGATTGCTTCTGTCTAGTTTTTATGGGAAGATATTTCCCTTTTCACCGTAGGTGTCAAGGCGCTCCAAATGTCCACTTCCAGATACTACAAAAAGAGTGTTTCAAACCTACTCTATGAAAGGGAATATTCAACTCTGTGACTTAAAGGCAGATATCACAAAGAAGTTTCTGAGAATGCTTCTGTCGAGATTTTATATGAAGATATTCCCGTTCCCAACGAAATCCTCAAATCTATCCAAATATCCCCTCACAGATTCTACAAAAAGAGTGTTTCAAAACTGCTCTGTAAAAAGAAAGGTTCAACTCTGTTAGTTGAGTACACACATCACAAACAAGTTTCACAGAATGCTTCTTTCTAGCTTGTAGGGGAAGATATTCCCTTTATCACCATGGGCCTCAAACCATCCGAAAGGTCCACTTCAATATACTACAAAAAGAGCGTTTCAAACCTGCTCTAGGAAAGGGAATGTTCAACTCTGTGACTTGAATGCAGACATCACAGAGCAGTTTCTGAGAATGCTTCTGTCTAGATTTTATAGGAAGATATTCCCGTTTCCAACGAAACCTTCACAGCTATCCAAATATCCACTTGCAGATTCTACAAAAAGAGTGTATCAAAACTGCTCTGCCAAAAGGAAGGTTCTTCTCTGTTAGGTGAGTGCATACGTCATAAAGGAGTTTCTGAGAATGTTTCAGTCTAGTGGTTATGGGAAGATATTTGTTTTTTCCCCGTAGGACTCAGAGCGCTCCAAATATCCACTTGCACATACTACAAAAAGAGTGCTTCAAAGCTGCTCTCTGAAACGGAATGTTCAACTCTATGAGTTGAATGCAAACATCACAAAGACGTTTCTGAGAATGCTTCTGTCTAGATTTGATATGAAGATATTCCCGTTTCCAAAGAAATCTTCAAATCTATCCAAATGTCCTCTTGCAGATTCAACAAAAAGTGTTTTTCAGAACTGCTCTATCAAAAGAAAGATCCACGTGTGTTAGCTGAGTTCACACATCACGAACAAGTTTATGAGAATGCTTCTGTCTAGTTTTTATTTGAAGATATTTCCTTTCTCACCATAGACCTGAAACCTGTCCTAATGTTCACTTCCAGATACTACAGAAAGAGTGTTTCAAAACTGCTGTACGAAAGGGAATGTTCAACTCTGTGACTTGAATGCACACATCACAAAGAAGTTTCTGAGGATGCTGCTGTCTACTTTTTATACGTAATCCCGTTTCCAACGAAATCCTCCAAGCTATCCAAATATCCACTTGCAGATTCCACAGAAAGACTGTTTCAAAACTGCTCTGTCAATAGAAAGGTTCAACTCTGTGAGCTGCGTGCATATATCCCAAAGAAGATTCTGAGATTGCTTCTGTCTAGTTTTTATGGGAAGATATTTCCCTTTTCACCGTAGGTGTCAAGGCGCTCCAAATGTCCACTTCCAGATACTACAAAAAGAGTGTTTCAAACCTACTCTGTGAAAGGCAATATTCAACTCTGTGACTTGAATGCAGATATCACAAAGAAGTTTCTGAGAATGATTCTGTCGAGATTTTATATGAAGATATTCCCGTTTCCAACGAAATCCTGAAATCTATCCAAATATCCCCTTGCAGATTCTACAAAAAGAGTGTTTCAAAACTGCTCTGTGAAAAGAAAGGTTCAACTCTGTTAGTTGAGTACACACATCACAAACAAGTTTCACAGAATGCTTCTTTCTAGCTTGTAGGGGAAGATATTCCCTTTATCACCATGGGCCTCCAACCGTCCGAAACATCCACTTCCATATACTACAAAAAGAGCGTTTCAAACCTGCTCTAAGAAAGGCAATGTTCAACTCTGTGACTTGAATGCAGACATCACAGAGCAGTTTCTGAGAATGCTTCTGTCTAGATTTTATAGGAAGATATTCCCGTTTCCAATGAAATCTTCACAGCTATCCAAATATCCACTTGCAGATTCTACAAAAAGAGTGTATCAAAAATGCTCTGTCAAAAGGAAGGTTCTTCTCCGTTAGTTGAGTACATACGTCATAAAGGAGTTTCTGAGAATGTTTCTGTCTAGTGGTTATGGGAAGATATTTGCTTTTCCACCGTAGGCCTCAGAGCGCTCCAAATATCCACTTGCACATACTACAAAAAGAGTGCTTCAAAGCTGCTCTCTGAAACGGAATGTTCAACTCTATGAGTTGAATGCAAACATCACAAAGACGTTTCCGAGAATGCTTCTGTCTAGATTTGATATGAAGATATTCCCGTTTCCAACGAAATCTTCAAATCTATCCAAATGTCCACTTGCAGATTCAACAAAAAGTGTTTTTCAGAACTGCTCTATCAAAAGAAAGATCCACCTCTGTTATCTGAGTTCACACATCACAAACAAGTTTATGAGAATGCTTCTGTCTAGTTTTTATTTGAAGATATTTCCTTTCTCACCATAGACCTGAAAGCTGTCCTAATGTTCACTTCCAGATGAGTGTTTCACAGAAAGAGTGTTTCAAAACTGCTGTACGAAAGGGAATATTCAACTCTGTGACTTGAATGCACACATCACAAAGAAGTTTCTGAGGATGCTGCTGTCTACTTTTTATACGTAATCCCGTTTCCAACGAAATCCTCCAAGCTATCCAAATATCCACTTGCAGATTCCACAGAAAGACTGTTTCAAAACTGCTCTGTCAATGGAAAGGTTCAACTCTGTTAGCTGCGTGCATATATCCCAAAGAAGATTCTGAGATTGCTTCTGTCTAGTTTTTATGGGAAGATATTTCCCTTTTCACCGTAGGCGTCAAGGCGCTCCAAATGTCCACTTCCAGATATTACAAAAAGAGTGCTTCAAACCTTCTCTGTGAAAGGGAATATTCAACTCTGTGACTTGAATGCACATATCACAAAGAAGTTTCTGAGAATGCTTCTGTCGAGATTTTATCTGAAGATATTCCCGTTTCCAACGAAATCCTGAAATCTATCCAAATATCCCCTCGCAGATTCTACAGAAAGAGTGTTTCAAAACTGCTCTGTAAAAAGAAAGGTTCAACTCTGTTACTTGAGTACACACATCACAAACAAGTTTCACAGAATGCTTCTTTCTAGCTTGTAGGGGAAGATATTCCCTTTATCACCATGGGCCTCCAACCGTCCGAAACGTCCACTTCCATATACTACAAAAAGAGCGTTTCAAACCTGCTCTAGGAAAGGCAATGTTCAACTCTGTGACTTGAATGCAGACATCACAGAGCAGTTTCTGAGAATGCTTCTGTCTAGATTTTATAGGAAGATATTCCCGTTTCCAACGAAATCTTCACAGCTATCCAAATATCCCCTCGCAGATTCTACAAAAAGAGTGTATCAAAACTGCTCTGTCAAAAGGAAGGTTCTTCTCTGTTAGGTGAGTGCATACGTCATAAAGGAGTTTCTGAGAATGTTTCTGTCTAGTGGTTATGGGAAGATATTTGCTTTTTCACCTTAGGCCTCAGAGCGCTCCAAATATCCCCTTGCACATACTACAAAAAGAGTGCTTCAAAGCTGCTCTCTGAAAGGGAATCTTCAACTCTATGAGTTGAATGCCAACATCACAAAGACGTTTCTGAGAATGCTTCTGTCTAGATTTGATATGAAGATATTCCCGTTTCCAACGAAATCTTCAAATCTATCCAAATGTCCACTTGCAGATTCAACAAAAAGTGTTTTTCAGAACTGCTCTATCAAAAGAAAGATCCACCTCCGTTAGCTGAGTTCACACTTCACAAACAAGTTTATCAGAATGCTTCTGTCTAGTTTTTATTTGAATATATTTCCATTCTCACCATAGACCTGAAAGCTGTCCTAATGTTCACTTCCAGATACTACAGAAAGAGTGTTTCAAAACTGCTGTACGAAAGGGAATGTTCAACTCTGTGACTTGAATGCACACATCACAAAGAAGTTTCTGAGGATGCTGCTGTCTACTTTTTATACGTAATCCCATTTCCAACGAAATCCTCCAAGCTATCCAAATATCCACTTGCAGATTCCACAGAAAGACTGTTTCAAAACTGCTCTGTCAATAGAAAGGTTCAACTCTGTTAGCTGCGTGCATATATCCCAAAGAAGATTCTGAGATTGCTTCTGTCTAGTTTTTATGGGAAGATATTTCCCTTTTCACCGTAGGTGTCAAGGCGCTCCAAATGTCCACTTCCAGATACTACAAAAAGAGTGTTTCAAACCTACTCTGTGAAAGGGAATATTCAACTCTGTGACTTAAAGGCAGATATCACAAAGAAGTTTCTGATAATGCTTCTGTCTAGATTTTATATGAAGATATTCCCGTTTCCAACGAAATCCTGAAATCTCTCCAAATATCCCCTCGCAGATTCTACAAAAAGAGTGTTTCAAAACTGCTCTGTAAAAAGAAAGGTTCAACTCTGTTAGTTGAGTACACACATCACAAACAAGTTTCACAGAATGCTTCTTTCTAGCTTGTAGGGGAAGATATTCCCTTTATCACCATGGGCCTCAAACCGTCCGAAACGTCCACTTCCATATACTACAAAAAGAGCGTTTCAAACCTGCTCTAGGAAAGGCAATGTTCAACTCTGTGACTTGAATGCAGACATCACAGAGCAGTTTCTGAGAATGCTTTCTGTCTAGATTTTATAGGAAGATATTCCCGTTTCCAACGAAGTCTTCACAGCTATCCAAATATCCACTTGCAGATTCTACAAAAAGAGTGTATCAAAACTGCTCTGTCAAAAGGAAGGTTCTTTTCTGTTAGGTGAGTGCATACGTCATAAAGGAGTTTCTGAGAATGTTTCTGTCTAGTGGTTATGGGAAGATATTTGCTTTTTCCCCTTAGGACTAAGGGCGCTCCAAATGTCCACTTGCAGATGCTAGAAAAAGAGTGCTTCAAAGCTGCTCTCTGGAAGGGAATGTTCAACTCTATGAGTTGAATGCAAACATCACAAAGACGTTTCTGAGAATGCTACTGTCTAGATTTGATATAAAGTTATTCCCGTTTCCAACGAAATCTTCAAATCTATCCAAATGTCCACTTGCAGATTCAACAAAAAGTGTTTTTCCGAACTGCTCTATCAAAAGAAAGATCCACCTCTGTTAGCTGAGTTCACACATCACAAACAAGTTTATGAGAATGCTTCTGTCTAGTTTTTATTTGAAGATATTTCCTTTCTCACCATAGACCTCAAAGCTGTCCTAATGTTCACTTCCAGATACTACAGAAAGAGTGTTTCAAAACTGCTGTACGAAAGGGAATGTTCAACTCTGTGACTTGAATGCACACATCACAAAGAAGTTTCTGAGGATGCTGCTGTCTACCTTTTATACTTAATCCCGTTTCCAACGAAATCCTCCAAGCTATCCAAATATCCACTTGCAGATTCCACAGAAAGACTGTTTCAAAACTGCTCTGTCAATAGAAAGGTTCAACTCTGTTAGCTGCGTGCATATATCCCAAAGAAGATTCTGAGATTGCTTCTGTCTAGTTTTTATCGGAAGATATTTCCCTTTTCACCGTAGGTGTCAAGGTGCTCCAAATGTCCACTTCCAGATACTACAAAAAGAGTGTTTCAAACCTACTCTGTGAAAGGGAATATTCAACTCTGTGACTTGAATGCAGATATCACAAAGAAGTTTCTGAGAATGCTTCTGTCGAGATTTTAAATGAAGATATTCCCGTTTCCAACGAAATCCTGAAATCTATCCAAATATCCCCTCGCAGATTCTACAAAAAGAGTGTTTCTAAACTGCTCTGTAAAAAGAAAGGTTCAACTCTGTTAGTTGAGTATACACATCACAAACAAGTTTCACAGAATGCTTCTTTCTAGCTTGTAGGGGAAGATATTCCCTTTATCACCATGGGCCTCCAACCGTCCGAAACATCCACTTCCATATACTACAAAAAGAGCGTTTCAAACCTGCTCTACGAAAGGCAATGTTCAACTCTGTGACTTGAATGCAGACATCACAGAGCAGTTTCTGAGAATGCTTCTGTCTAGATTTTATAGGAAGATATTCCCTGTTTCCAACGAAATCTTCACAGCTATCCAAATATCCACTTGCAGATTCTACAAAAAGAGTGCATCAAAACTGCTCTGTCAAAAGGAAGGTTCTTCTCTGTTAGGTGAGTGCATACATCATAAAGGAGTTTCTGAGAATGTTTCTGTCTAGTGGTTATGGGAAGATATTTGCTTTTTCCCCGTAGGCCTCAGAGCGCTCCAAATATCCACTTGCACATACTACAAAAAGAGTGCCTCAAAGCTGCTCTCTGAAACGGAATGTTCAACTCTATGAGTTGAATGCAAACATCACAAAGACGTTTCTGAGAATGCTTCTGTCTAGATTTGATATGAAGATATTCCCGGTTCCAACGAAATCTTCAAATCTATCCAAATGTCCACTTGCAGATTCAACAAAAAGTGTTTTTCAGAACTGCTCTATCAAAAGAAAGATCCACCTCTGTTAGCTGAGTTCACACATCACAAACAAGTTTATGAGAATGCTTCTGTCTAGTTTTTATTTGAAGATATTTCCTTTCTCACCATAGACCTGAAAGCTGTCCTAATGTTCACTTCCAGTTACTACAGAAAGAGTGTTTCAAAACTGCTGTACGAAAGGGAATGTTCAACTCTGTGACTTGAATGCGCACATCACAAAGAAGTTTCTGAGGATGCTGCTGTCTACTTTTTATACGTAATCCCGTTTCCAACGAAATCCTCCAAGCTCTCCAAATATCCACTTGCAGATTCCACAGAAAGAGTGTTTCAAAACTGCTCTGTCAATAGAAAGGTTCAACTCTGTTAGCTGCGTGCATATATCCCAAAGAAGATTCTGAGATTGCTTCTGTCTAGTTTTTATGGGAAGATATTTCCCTTTTCACCGTAGGCGTCAAGGCGCTCCAAATGTCCACTTCCAGATACTACAAAAAGAGTGTTTCAAACCTACTCTGTGAAAGGGAATATTCAACTCTGTGACTTGAATGCACATATCACAAAGAAGTTTCTGAGAATGCTTTCTGTCGAGATTTTATATGAAGATATTCCCGTTTCCAACGAAATCCTGAAATCTATCCAAATATCCCCTCGCAGATTCTACAAAAAGAGTGTTTCAAAACTGCTCTGTAAAAAGAAAGGCTCTGTTAGTTGAGTGCACACATCACAAACAAGTTTCACAGAATGCTTCTTTCCAGCTTGTAGGGAAAGATATTCCCTTTAACACCATGGGCCTCAAACCGTCCGAAACGTCCACTTCCATATACTACAAAAAGAGCGTTTCAAACCTGCTCTAGGAAAAGCAATGTTCAACTCTGTGACTTGAATGCAGACATCACAGAGCAGTTTCTGAGAATGCTTCTGTCTAGATTTTATAAGAAGATATTCCCGTTTCCAACGAAATCTTCACAGCTATCCAAATATCCACTTGCAGATTCTACAAAAAGAGTGTATCAAAACTGCTCTGTCAAAAGGAAGGTTCTTCTCTGTTAGGTGAGTGCATACGTCATAAAGGAGTTTCTGAGAATGTTTCTGTCTAGTGGTTATGGGAAGATATTTGATTTTTCACCTTAGGCCACAGAGCGCTCCAAATATCCCCTTGCACATACTACAAAAAGAGTGCTTCAAAGCTGCTCTCTGAAAGGGAATGTTCAACTCTATGGGTTGAATGCAAACATCACAAAGACGTTTCTGAGAATGCTTCTGTCTAGATTTGATATGAAGATATTCCCGTTTCCAACGAAATCTTCAAATCTATCCAAATGTCCACTTGCAGATTCAACAAAAAATGTTTTTCAGAACTGCTCTATCAAAAGAAAGATCCACCTGTGTTAGCTGAGTTCACACATCACAAACAAGTTAATGAGAATGCTTCTGTCTTGTTTTTATTTGAAGATATTTCCTTTCTCACCATAGAGCTGAAAGCTGTCCTAATGTTCACTTCCAGATACTACAGAAAGAGTGTTTGAAAACTGCTGTACGAAAGGGAATGTTCAACTCTGTGACTTGAATGCACACATCACAAAGAAGTTTCTGAGGATGCTGCTGTCTACTTTTTATACGTAATCCCGTTTCCAACGAAATCCTCCAAGCTATCCAAATATCCACTTGCAGATTCCACAGAAAGACTGTTTCAAAACTGCTCTGTCAATAGAAAGGTTCAACTCTGTTAGCCTGCGTGCATATATCCCAAAGAAGATTCTGAGATTGCTTCTGTCTACTTTTTATGAGAAGATATTTCCCTTTTCACCGTAGGCGTCAAGGCGCTCCAAATGTCCACTTCCAGATACTACAAAAGGAGTGTTTCAAACCTACTCTGTGAAAGGGAATATTCAACTCTGTGACTTGAATGCACATATCACAAAGAAGTTTCTGAGAATGCTTCTGTCGAGATTTTATATGAAGATATTCCCCTTTCCAAAGAAATCCTGAAATCTATCCAAATATCCCCTCGCAGATTCTACAAAAAGAGTGTTTCAAAACTGCTCTGTAAAAAGAAAGGTTCAACTCTGTTAGTTGAGTACACACATCACAAACAAGTTTCACAGAATGCTTCTTTCTAGCTTGTAGGGGAAGATATTCCCTTTATCACCATGGGCCTCAAACCGTCCGAAACGTCCACTTCCATATACTACAAAAAGAGCGTTTCAAACCTGCTCTATGAAAGGCAATGTTCAACTCTGTGACTTGAATGCAGACATCACAGAGCAGTTTACTGAGAATGCTTCTGTCCAGACTTTATAGGAAGATATTCCCGTTTCCAACGAAATCTTCACAGCTATCCAAATATCCACTTGCAGATACTAGAAAAAGAATGTATCAAAAATGCTCTGTCAAAAGGAAAGTTCTTCTCTGCTACTTGAGTACATACGTCATAAAGAAGTTTCTGAGAATGTTTCTGTCTAGTGGTTATGGGAAGATATTTGCTTTTTCACCTTAGGCCTCAGAGCGCTCCAAATATCCACTTGCACATACTACAAAAAGAGTGCCTCAAAGCTGCTCTTTGAAACGGAATGTTCAACTCTATGAGTTGAATGCAAACATCACAAAGACGTTTCTGAGAATGCTTCTGTCTAGATTTGATATGAAGATATTCCCGTTTCCAACGAAATCTTCAAATCTATCCAAATGTCCACTTGCAGATTCAACAAAAAGCGTTTTTAGTACTGCTCTATCAGAAGAAAGATCCACCTCTGTTAGCTGAGTTCAGACATCACAAACAAGTTTATGAGAATGCTTCTGTCTAGTTTTTATTTGAAGATATTTCCTTTTTCACCATAGAGCTGAAAGCTGTCCTAATGTTCACTTCCAGTTACTACAGAAAGAGTGTTTCAAAACTGCTGTACGAAAAGGAATGTTCAACTCTGTGACTTGAATGCACACATCACAAAGAAGTTTCTGAGGATGCTGCTGGCTACTTTGTATACGTAATCCCGTTTCCAACGAAATCCTCCAAGCTATCCAAATATCCACTTGCAGATTCCACAGAAAGACTGTTTCAAAACTGCTCTGTCAATAGAAAGGTTCAACTCTGTTAGCTGCGTGCATATATCCCAAAGAAGATTCTGAGATTGCTTCTGTCTAATTTTTATGGGAAGATATTTCCCTTTTCACCGTAGGTGTCAAGGCGCTCCAAATGTCCACTTCCAGATACTACAAAAAGAGTGTTTCAAACCTACTCTGTGAAAGGGAATATTCAACTCTGTGACTTGAATGCACATATCACAAAGAAGTTTCTGAGAATGCTTCTGTCGAGATTTTATGTGAAGATACTCCCGTTTCCAACGAAATCCTGAAATCTATCCAAATATCCCCTCGCAGATTCTACAAAAAGAGTGTTTCAAAACTGCTCTGTAAAAAGAAAGGTTCAACTCTGTTAGTTGAGTACACACATCACAAACAAGTTTCACAGAATGTTTCTTTCTAGCTTGTAGGGGAAGATATTCCCTTTATCACCACGGGCCTCCAACCGTCCGAAACATCCACTTCCATATACTACAAAAAGAGCGTTTCAAACCTGCTCTATGAAAGGCAATGTTCAACTCTGTGACTTGAATGCAGACATCACAGAGCAGTTTCTGAGAATGCTTCTGTCTAGATTTTATAGGAAGATATTCCCGTTTCCAACGAAATCTTCACAGCTATCCAAATATCCACTTGCAGATCCTACAAAAAGAGTGTATCAAAACTGCTCTGTCAAAAGGAAGGTTCTTCTCTGTTAGGTGAGTGCATACGTCATACAGGAGTTTCTGAGAATGTTTCTGTCTAGTGGTTATGGGAAGATATTTGCTTTTTCACCGAAGGCCTCAGAGCGCTCCAAATATCCACTTGCACATACTACAAAAAGAGTGCCTCAAAGCTGCTCTCTGAAACGGAATGTTCAACTCTATGAGTTGAATGCAAACATCACAACGACGTTTCTGAGAATGCTTCTGTCTAGATTTGATATGAAGATATTCCCGTTTCCAACGAAATCTTCAAATCTATCCAAATGTCCACTTGCAGATTCAACAAAAAGTGTTTTTCAGAACTGCTCTATCAAAAGAAACATCCACCTCTGTTAGCTGAGTTCTCACATCACAAACAAGTTTATGAGAATGCTTCTGTCTAGTTTTTATTTGAAGATATTTCCTTTCTCACCATAGATCTGAAAGCTGTTCTAATGTTCACTTCCATATGCTACAGAAAGAGTGTTTCAAAACTGCTGTACGAAAGGGAATGTTCAACTCTGTGACTTGAATGCACACATCACAAAGAAGTTTCTGAGGATGCTGCTGTCTACTTTTTATACGTAATCCCGTTTCCAACGAAATCCTCCAAGCTATCCAAATATCCACATGCAGATTCCAGAGAAAGACTGTTTCAAAACTGCTCTGTCAATAGAAAGGTTCAACTCTGTTAGCTGCGTGCATATATCCCAAAGAAGATTCTGAGATTGCTTCTGTCTAGTTTTTATGGGAAGATATTTCCCTTTTCACCGTAGGCGTCAAGGCGCTCCAAATGTACACTTCCAGATACTACAAAAGAGTGTTTCAAACCTACACTGTGAAAGGGAATATTCAACTCTGTGACTTGAATGCAGATATCACAAAGAAGTTTCTGAGAATGCTTCTGTCGAGATTTTATATGAAGATATTCCCGTTTCCAACGAAATCCTGAAATCTATCCATATATCCCCTCGCAGATTCTACAAAAAGAGTGTTTCAAAACTGCTCTGTAAAAAGAAAGGTTCAACTCTGTTAGTTGAGTACACACATCACAAACAAGTTTCACAGAATGCTTCTTTCTAGCTTGTAGGGGAAGATATTCCCTTTATCACCATGGGCCTCAAACCGTCCGAAACGTCCACTTTTATATACTACAAAAAGAGCGTTTCAAACCGGCTCTATGAAAGGCAATGTTCAACTCTGTGACTTGAATGCAGACATCACAGAGCTGTTTCTGAGAATGCTTCTGTCTAGATTTTATAGGAAGATATTCCCGTTTCCAACGAAATCTTCACAGCTATCCAAATATCCACTTGCAGATTCTACAAAAAGAGTGCATCAAAACTGCTCTGTCAAAAGGAAGGTTCTTCTCTGTTAGTTGAGTACATACGTCATAAAGGAGTTTCTGAGAATGTTTCTGTCTAGTGGTTATGGGAAGATATTTGCTTTTTCACCGTAGGCCTCAGAGCGCTCCAAATATCCACTTGCACATACTACAAAAAGAGTGCCTCAAAGCTGCTCTCTGAAACGGAATGTTCAACTCTATGAGTTGAATGCAAACATCACAACGACGTTTCTGAGAATGCTTCTGTCTAGATTTGATATGAAGATATTCCCGTTTCCAACGAAATCTTCAAATCTATTCAAATGTCCACTTGCAGATTCCACAAAAAGTGTTTTTCAGAACTGCTCTATCAAAAGAAAGATCCACCTCTGTTAGCTGAGTTCACACATCACAAACAAGTTTATGAGAATGCTTCTGTCTAGTTTTTATCTGAAGATATTTCCTTTCTCACCATAGAGCTGAAAGCTGTCCTAATGTTCACTTCCAGATACTACAGAAAGAGTGTTTCAAAACTGCTGTACGAAAGGGAATGTTCAACTGTGTGACTTGAATGCACACATCACAAAGAAGTTTCTGAGGATGCTGCTGTCTACTTTTTATACGTAATCCCGTTTCCAACGAAATCCTCCAAGCTATCCAAATATCCACTTGCAGATTCCACAGAAAGACTGTTTGAAAACTGCTCTGTCAATAGAAAGGTTCAACTCTGTTAGCTGCGTGCATATATCCCAAAGAAGATTCTGAGATTGCTTCTGTCTAGTTTTTATGGGAAGATATTTCCCTTTTCACCGTAGGTGTCAAGGCGCTCCAAATGTCCACTTCCAGATACTACAAAAAGAGTGTTTCAAACCTACTCTGAGAAAGGGAATATTCAACTCTGTGACTTGAAGGCAGATATCACAAAGAAGTTTCTGAGAATGCTTCTGTCGCGATTTTATATGAAGATATTCCCGTTTCCAACAAAATCCTGAAATCTATCCAAATATCTCCTCGCAGATTCTACAAAAAGAGTGTTTCAAAACTGCTCTGTAAAAAGAAAGGTTCAACTCTGTTAGTTGAGTACACACATCACAAACAAGTTTCACAGAATGCTTCTTTCTAGCTTGTAGGGGAAGATATTCCCTTTATCACCATGGGCCTCAGACCGTCCGAAACGTCCACTTCCATATACTTCAAAAAGAGGGTTTCAAACCTGCTCTATGAAAGGCAATGTTCAACTCTGTGACTTGAATGCAGACATCACAGAGCAGTTTCTGAGAATGCTTCTGTCTAGATTTTATAGGAAGATATTTCCGTTTCCAACGAAACCTTCACAGCTATCCAAATATCCACTTGGAGATTCTACAAAAAGAGTGTATCAAAACTGCTCTGTCAAAAGGAAGGTTCTTCTCTGTTAGGTGAGTGCATACGTCATAAAGGAGTTTCTGAGAATGTTTCTGTCTAGTGGTTATGGTAAGATATTTGCTTTTTCACCGTAGGCCTCAGAGCGCTCCAAATATCCACTTGCACATACTACAAAAAGAGTGCTTCAAAGCTGCTCTCTGAAACGGAATGTTCAACTCTATGAGTTGAATGCAAACATCACAAAGACGTTTCTGAGAATGCTTCTGTCTAGATTTGATATGAAGATATTCCCGTTTCCAACGAAATCTTCAAATCTATCCAAATATCCACTTGCAGATTCAACAAAAAGTGTTTTTCAGAACTGCTCTATCAAAAGAAAGATCCACCTCTGTTAGCTGAGTTTACACATCACAAACAAGTTTATGAGAATGCTTCTGTCTAGTTTTTATTTGAAGATATTTCCTTTCTCACCATAGACCTGAAAGCTGTCCTAATGTTCACTTCCAGATACTACAGAAAGAGTGTTTCAAAACTGCTGTACGAAAGGGAATGTTCAACTCTGTGACTTGAATGCACACATCACAAAGAAGTTTCTGAGGATTCTCTGTCTACTTTTTATACGTAATCCCGTTTCCAACGAAATCCTCCAAGCTATCCAAATATCCACTTGCAGATTCCACAGAAAGAATGTTTCAAAACTGCTCTGTCAATAGAAAGGTTCAACTCTGTTAGCTGCGTGCATATATCCCAAAGAAGATTCTGAGATTGCTTGCTGTCTAGTTTTTATGGGAAGATATTTCCCTTTTCACCGTAGGCGTCAAGGCGCTCCAAATGTCCACTTCCAGATACTACAAAAAGAGTGTTTCAAACCTACTCTGTGAAAGGGAATATTCAACTCTGTGACTTGAATGCAGATATCACAAAGAAGTTTCTGAGAATGCTTCTGTCGAGATTTTATATGAAGATATTCCCGTTTCCAACGAAATCCTGAAATCTATCCAAATATCCCCTCGCAGATTCTACGAAAAGAGTGTTTCAAAACTGCTCTGTAAAAAGAAAGGTTCAACTCTGTTAGTTGAGTACACACCTCACAAACAAGTTTCACAGAATGCTTCTTTCTAGCTTGTAGGGGAAGATATTCCCTTTATCACCATCGGCCTCAAACCGTCTGAAACGTCCACTTCCATATACTACAAAAAGAGCATTTCAAACCTGCTCTATGAAAGGCAATGTTCAACTCTGTGACTTGAATGCAGACATCACAGAGCAGTTTCTGAGAATGCTTCTGTCTAGATTTTATAGGAAGATATTCCCGTTTCCAACGAAATCTTCACAGCTATCCAAATATCCACTTGCAGATTCTACAAAAAGAGTGTATCAAAACTGCTCTGTCAAAAGGAAGGTTCTTCTCTGTTAGGTGAGTGCATACGTCATAAAGGAGTTTCTTAGAATGTTTCTGTCTAGTGGTTATGGGAAGATATTTGCTTTTTCCCCGTAGGCCTCAGGGCGCTCCAAATGTCCACTTGCACATGCTACAAAAAGAGTGCTTCAAAGCTGGTCTCTGAAAGGGAATGTTCAACTCTATGAGTTGAATGCAAACATCACAAAGACGTTTCTGAGAATGCTTCTGTCTAGATTTGATATGAAGATATTCCCGTTTCCAAAGCAAATCTTCAAACCTATCCAAATGTCCACTTGCAGATTCAACAAAAAGTGTTTTTCAGAACTGCTCTATCAAAAGAAAGATCCACGTCTCTTAGCTGAGTTCACACATCACAAACAAGTTTATGAGAATGCTTCTGTCTAGTTTTTATTTGAAGATATTTCCTTTCTCACCATAGACCTGAAAGCTGACCTAATGTTCACTTCCAGATACTACAGAAAGAGTGTTTCAAAACTGCTGTACGAAAGGTGATGTTCAACTCTGTGACTTGAATGCACACATCACAAAGAAGTTTCTGAGGATGCTGCTGTCTACTTCTTATACGTAATCCCGTTTCCAACGAAATCCTCCAAGCTATCCAAATATCCACTTGCAGATTCCACAGAAAGACTGTTTCAAAACTGCTATGTCAATAGAAAGGTTCAACTCTGTTAGCTGTGTGCATATATCCCAAAGAAAATTCTGAGATTGCTTCTGTCTAGTATTTATGGGAAGATATTTCCCTTTTCACTGTAGGTGTCAAGGAGCTCCAAATGTCCACTTCCAGATACTACAAAAAGAGTGTTTCAAACCTACTCTGCGAAAGGGAATATTCAACTCTGTGACTTGAAGGCAGATATCACAAAGAAGTTTCTGAGAATGCTTCTGTCGAGATTTTCTATGAAGATATTCCCGTTTGCAACGAAATCCTGAAATCTATCCAAATATCCCCTCGCAGATTCTACAAAAAGAGTGTTTCAAAACTGCTCTGTAAAAAGAAAGGTTCAACTCTGTTAGTTGAGTACACACATCACAAACAAGTTTCACAGAATGCTTCCTTCTAGCTTGTAGGGGAAGATATTCCCTTTATCACCATGGGCCTCAAACCGTCCGAAACTTCCACTTCCATATACTACAAAAAGAGCGTTTCAAACCTGCTCTAGGAAAGGCAATGTTCAACTCTGTGACTTGAATGCAGACATCACAGAGCAGTTTCTGAGAATGCTTCTGTCTAGATATTATAGGAAGATATTCCCGTTTCCAACGAAATCTTCACAGCTATCAAAATATCCACTTGCAGATTCTACAAAAAGAGTGTATCAAAACTGCTCTGTCAAAAGGAAGGTTCTTCTCTGTTAGGTGAGTGCATACGTCATAAAGGAGTTTCTGAGAATGTTTCTGTGTAGTGGTTATGGGAAGATATTTGCTTTTTCCCCGTAGGCCTCAGGGCGCTCCAAATGTCCACTTGCACATGCTACAAAAAGAGTGCTTCAAAGCTGCTCTCTGAAAGGGAATGTTCAACTCTATGAGTTGAATGCAAACATCACAAAGACGTTTCTGAGAATGCTCTGTCTAGATTTGATATGAAGATATTCCCGTTTCCAACGAAATCTTCAAATCTATCCAAATGTCCACTTGCAGATTCAACAAAAAGTGTTTTTCAGAACTGCTCTATCAAAAGAAAGATCCACCTCTGTTAGCTGAGTTCACACATCACAAACAAGTTTATGAGAATGCTTTCTGTCTAGTTTTTATTTGAAGATATTTCCTTTCTCACCATAGACCTGAAAGCTGTCCTAATGTTCTCTTCCAGATGCTACAGAAAAAGTGTTTCAAAACTGCTGTACGAAAGGGAATGTTCAATTCTGTGACTTGAATGCACACATCACAAAGAAGTTTCTGAGGATGCGGCTGTCTAGTTTTTATACGTAATCCCGTTTCCAACGAAATCCTCCAAGCTATCCAAATATCCACTTGCAGATTCCACAGAAAGACTGTTTCAAAACTGCTCTGTCAATAGAAAGGTTCAACTCTGTTAGCTGCGTGCATATATCCCAAAGAAGATTCTGAGATTGCTTCTGTCGAGATTTTATATGAAGATATTCCCGTTTCCAATGAAATCCTGAAATCTATCCAAATATCCCCTCGCAGATTCTACAAAAAGAGTGTTTCAAAACTGCTCTGTAAAAAGAAAGGTTCAACTCTGTTAATTGAGTACACACATCACAAACAAGTTTCACAGAATGCTTCTTTCTAGCTTGTAGGGGAAGATATTCCCTTTATCACCATGGGCCTCAAACCGTCCGAAAAGTCCACTTCCATATACTACAAAAAGAGCATTTCAAACCTGCTCTATGAAAGGCAATGTTCAACTCTGTGACTTGAATACAGACATCACAGAGCAGTTTCTGAGAATGCTTCTGTCTAGATTTTATAGGAAGATATTCCCGTTTCCAACGAAATCTTCACAGCTATCCAAATATCCACTTGCAGATTCTACAAAAAGAGTGTATCAGAACTGCTCTGTCAAAAGGAAGGTTCTTCTCTGTTAGGTGAGTGCATACGTCATAAAGGAGTTTCTGAGAATGTTTCTGTCTAGTGGTTATGGGAAGATATTTGCTTTTTCACTGTAGGCCTCAGAGCGCTCCAAATATCCACTTGCACATACTACAAAAAGAGTGCTTCAAAGCTGCTCTCTGAAACGGAATGTTCAACTCTATGAGTTGAATGCAAACATCACAAAGACGTTTCTGAGAATGCTTCTGTCTAGATTTGATATGAAGATATTCCCGTTTCCAACGAAATCTACAAATCTATCCAAATGTCCACTTGCAGATTCAACAAAAAGTGTTTTTCAGAACTGCTCTATCAAAAGAAAGGTCCACCTCTGTTAGCTGAGTTCACACATCACAAACAAGTTTATGAGAATGCTTCTGTCTAGTTTTTATTTGAAGATATTTCCTTTCTCACCATAGACCTGAAAGCTGTCCTAATGTTCACTTCCAGATACTACAGAAAGAGTGTTTCAAAACTGCTGTACGAAAGGGAATGTTCAACTCTGGGAGTTGAATGCATACATCACAAAGAAGTTTCTGAGGATGCTGCTGTCTACTTTTTATACGTAATCCCATTTCCAACGAAATCCTCCAAGCTATCCAAATATCCACTTGCAGATTCCACAGAAAGACTGTTTCAAAACTGCTATGTCAATAGAAAAGTTCAACTCAGTTAGCTGTGTGCATATATCCCAAAGAAAATTCTGAGATTGCTTCTGTCTAGTTTTTATGGGAAGATATTTCCATTTTCACCGTAGGCGTCAAGGCACTCCAAATGTCCACTTCCAGATACTACAAAAAGAGTGTTTCAAACCTACTCTGTGAAAGGGAATATTCAACTCTGTGACTTGAAGGCAGATATGACAAAGAAGTTTCTGAGAATGCTTCTGTCGAGATTTTATATGAAGATATTCCCGTTTCCAACGAAATGCTGAAATGTATCCAAATATCCCCTCGCAGATTCTACAAAAAGAGTGTTTCAAAACTGCTCTGTAAAAAGAAAGGTTCAACTCTGTTAGTTGAGTACACACATCACAAACAAGTTTCAAACAATGCTCTTTCTAGCTTGTAGGGGAAGATATTCCCTTTATCACCATGGGCCTCAAACCGTCCGAAACGTCCACTTCCATATACTACAAAAAGAGCGTTTCAAACCTGCTCTAGGAAAGGCAATGTTCAACTCTGTGACTTGAATGCAGACATCACATAGCAGTTTCTGAGAATGCTTTCTGTCTAGATTTTATAGGAAGATATTCCCGTTTCCAGCAAAATCTTCACAGCTATCCAAATATCCACTTGCAGATTCTACAAAAAGAGTGTATCAAAACTGATCTGTCAAATGGAAGGTTCTTCTCTGTTAGGTGAGTGCATACGTCATAAACGAGTTTCTGAGAATGTTTCTGTCTAGTGGTTATGGGAAGATATTTGCTTTTTCACCGTAGGCCTCAGAGCGCTCCAAATATCCACTTGCACATACTACAAAAAGAGTGCCTCAAAGCTGCTCTTTGAAACGGAATGTTCAACTCTATGAGTTGAATGCAAACATCACAAAGACGTTTCCTGAGAATGCTTCTGTCTAGATTTGATATGAAGATATTCCCGTTTCCAACGAAATCTTCAAATCTATCCAAATGTCCACTTGCAGATTCAAAAAAAAGTGTTTTTCAGAACTGCTCTATCAAAAGAAAGATCCACCTCTGTTAGCTGAGTTCACACATCACAAACAAGTTTATGAAAATGCTTCTGTCTAGTTTTTATTTGAAGATATTTCCTTTCTCACCATAGAGCTGAAAGCTGTCCTAATGTTCACTTCCAGATACTACAGAAAGAGTGTTTCAAAACTGCTGTACGAAAGGGAATGTTCAACTCTGTGACTTGAATGCACACATCACAAAGAAGTTTCAGAGGATGCTGCTGTCTACTTTTTATACGTAATCCCGTTTCCAACGAAATCCTCCAAGCTATCCAAATATCCACTTGCAGATTCCACAGAAAGACTGTTTCAAAACTGCTCTGTCAATAGAAAGGTTCAACTCTGTTAGCTGCGTGCATATATCCCAAAGAAGATTCTCAGATTGCTTCTGTCTAGTTTTTATGGGAAGATATTTCCCTTTTCACCGTAGGTGTCAAGGCGCTCCAAATGTCCACTTCCAGATACTACAAAAAGAGTGTTTCTAACCTACTCTGTGAAAGGGAATATTCAACTCTGTGACTCGAATGCACATATCACAAAGAAGTTTCTGAGAATGCTTCTGTCGAGATTTTATATGAAGATATTCCCGTTTCCATCGAAATCCTGAAATCTATCCAAATATCCCCTCGCAGATTCTACAAAAAGAGTGTTTCAAAACTGCTCTGTAAAAAGAAAGGTTCAACTCTGTTAGTTGACTACACACATCACAAACAAGTTTCACACAATGCTTCTTTCTAGCTTGTAGGGGAAGATATTCCCTTTATCACCATGGGCCTCCAACCGTCCGAAACATCCACTTACATATACTACAAAAAGAGCGTTTCAAACCTGCTCTATGAAAGGCAATGTTCAACTCTGTGACTTGAATACAGATATCACAGAG
This sequence comes from Homo sapiens, assembly GCF_000001405.40. Taxonomy (NCBI): domain Eukaryota; kingdom Metazoa; phylum Chordata; class Mammalia; order Primates; family Hominidae; genus Homo; species Homo sapiens. The sequence goes on along the minus strand of NC_000014.9, from coordinate 17,221,410 downwards.
CAGTTTCTGAAAATGCTTCTGTCTAGATTTTATAGGAAGATATTCCCGTTTCCAACGAAATCTTCACAGCTATCCAAATATCCACTTGCAGATTCTACAAAAAGAGTGTATCAAAACTGCTCTGTCAAAACGAAGGTTCTTCTCTGTTAGGTGAGTGCATACGTCATAGAGGAGTTTCTGAGAATGTTTCTGTCTAGTGGTTATGGGAAGATATTTGCTTTTTCACCGTAGGCCTCAGAGTGCTCCAAATATCCGCTTGCACATACTACAAAAAGAGTGCTTCAAAGCTGCTCTCTGAAACGGAATGTTCAACTCTATGAGTTGAATGCAAACATGACAAAGACGTTTCTGAGAATGCTTCTCTCTAGATTTCATATGAAGATATTCCCGTTTCCAAAGAAATCTTCAAATCTATCCAAATGTCCACTTGCAGATTCAACAAAAAGTGTTTTTCAGAACTGCTCTATCAAAAGAAAGATCCACGTCTCTTAGCTGAGTTCACACATCACAAACAAGTTTATGAGAATGCTTCTGTCTAGTTTTTATTTGAAGATATTTCCTTTCTCACCATAGACCGGAAAGCTGTCCTAATGTTCACTTCCAGATACTACAGAAAGAGTGTTTCAAAACTGCTGTACGAAAGGGAATGTTCAACTCTGTGACTTGAATGCACACATCACAAAGATGTTTCTGAGGATGCTGCTGTCTACTTTTTATACGTAATCCCGTTTCCAACGAAATCCTCCAAGCTATCCAAATATCCACTTCCAGATTCCACAGAAAGACTGTTTCAAAACTGCTCTGTCAATAGAAAGGTTCAACTCTATTAGCTGCGTACATATATCCCAAAGAAGATTCTGAGATTGCTTCTGTCTAGTTTTTATGGGAAGATATTTCCCTTTTCACCGTAGGCGTCAAGGCGCTCCAAATGTCCACTTCCAGATACTACAAAAAGAGTGTTTCAAACCTACTCTGTGAAAGGGAATATTCAACGGTGTGACTAGAATGCACGTATCACAAAGAAGTTTCTGAGAATGCTTCTGTCGAGATTTTATATGAAGATATTCCCGTTTCCAACGAAATCCTGAAATCTATCCAAATATCCCCTCGCAGATTCTACAAAAAGAGTGTTTCAAAACTGCTCTGTGAAAAGAAAGGTTCAACTCTGTTAGTTGAGTACACACATCACAAACAAGTTTCACAGAATGCTTTCTTTCTAGCTTGTAGGGGAAGATATTCCCTTTATCACCATGGGCCTCAAACCATCCGAAACGTCCACTTCCATATACTACAAAAAGAGCGTTTCAAACCTGCTCTATGAAAGGCAATGTTCAGCTCTGTGACTTGAATGCAGACATCACAGAGCAGTTTCTGAGAATGCTTCTGTCTAGATTTTATAGGAAGATATTCCCGTTTCCAACGAAATCTTCGCAGCTATCCAAATATCCACTTGCAGATTCTACAAAAAGAGTGTATCAAAACTGCTCTGTCAAAAGGAAGGTTCTTCTCTGTTAGGTGAGTGCATACGTCATAAAGGAGTTTCTGAGAATGTTTCTGTCTAGTGGTTATGGGAAGATATTTGCTTTTTCCCCGTAGGCCTCAGGGCCCTCCAAATGTCCACTTGCACATGCTACAAAAAGAGTGCTTCAAAGCTGCTCTCTGAAAGGGAATGTTCAACTCTATGAGTTGAATGCAAACATCGGAAAGACGTTTCTGAGAATGCTTCTGTCTAGATTTGAAATGAAGTTATTCCCGTTTCCAACGAAATCTTCAAATCTATCCAAATGTCCAATTGCAGATTCAACAAAAAGTGTTTTTCAGAACTGCTCTATCAAAAGAAAGATCCACCTCGGTTAGCTGAGTTCACACATCACAAAGAAGTTTATGAGAATGCTTCTGTCTAGTTTTTATTTGAAGATATTTCCTTTCTCACCATAGACCTGAAAGCTGTCCTAATGTTCACTTCCAGATACTACAGAAAGAGTGTTTCAAAACTGATGTACAAAAGGGAATGTTCAACTCTGTGACTTGAATGCACACATCACAAAGAAGTTTCTGAGGATGCTGCTGTCTACTTTTTATACGTAATCCCGTTTCCAACGAAAATCCTCCAAGCTATACAAATATCCACTTGCAGATTCCACAGAAAGACTGTTTCAAAACTGCTCTGTCAATAGAAAGGTTCAACTCTGTTAGCTGCGTGCATATATCCCAAAGAAGATTCTGAGATTGCTTCTGTCTAGTTTTTATGGGAAGATATTTCCGTTTTCACTGTAGGCGTCAAGGCGCTCCAAATGTCCACTTCCAGATACTACAAAAAGAGTGTTTCAAACCTACTCTGTGAAAGGGAATATTCAACTCTGTGACTTGAATGCACATATCACAAAGAAGTTTCTGAGAATGCTTCTGTCGAGATTTTATATGAAGATATTCCCCTTTCCAACGAAATCCTGAAATCTATCCAAATATGCCCTCGCAGATTCTACAAAAAGAGTGTTTCAAAACTGCTCTGTAAAAAGAAAGGTTCAACTCTGTGAGTTGAGTACACACATCACAAACAAGTTTCACAGAATGCTTCTTTCTAGCTTGTAGGGGAAGATATTCCCTTTATCACCATGGTCCTCAAACCGTCCGAAACGTCCTCTTCCATATAGTACAAAAAGAGCGTTTCAAACCTGCTCTATGAAAGGCAATGTTCAATTCTGTGACTTGAATGCAGACATCACAGCGCAGTTTCTGAGAATGCTTCTGTCTAGATTTTATAGGAAGATATTCCCGTTTCCAGCGAAATCTTCACAGCTATCCAAATATCCACTTGCAGATTCTACAAAAAGAGTGTATCAAAACTGCTCTGTCAAATGGAAGGTTCTTCTCTGTTAGGTGAGTGCATACGTCATAAAGGAGTTTCTGAGAATGTTTCTGTCTAGTGGTTATGGGAAGATATTTGCTTTTTCACCGTAGGCCTCAGGGCGCTCCAAATTTTCTCTTGCACATACTACAAAAAGAGTGCTTCAAAGCTGCTCTCTGAAAGGGAATGTTCAACTCTATGAGTTGAATGCAAACATCACAAAGACGTTTCTGAGAATGCTTCTGTCTAGATTTGATATGAAGATATTCCCGTTTCCAACGAAATCTTCAAATATATCCAAATGTCCACTTGCAGATTCAACAAAAGTGATTTTCAGAACTGCTCTATCAAAAGAAAGATCCACGTGTGTTAGCTGAGTTCACACATCACAAACAAGTTTATGAGAATGCTTCTGTCTAGTTTTTATTTGAAGATATTTCCTTTCTCACCATAGAGCTGAAAGCTGTCTTAATTTTCACTTCCAGATACTACAGAAAGAGTGTTTCAAAACTGCTGTACGAAAGGGAATATTCAACTCTGTGACTTGAATGCACACATCACAAAGAAGTTTCTGAGGATGCTGCTGTCTACTTTTTATACGTAATCCGGTTTCCAACGAAATCCTCCAAGCTATCCAAATATCCACTTGCAGATTCCACAGAAAGACTGTTTCAAAACTGCTATGTCAATAGAAAAGTTCAACTCTGTTAGCTGTGTGCATATATCCCAAAGAAAATTCTGAGATTGCTTCTGTCTAGTTTTTATGGGAAGATATTTCCCTTTTCACCGTAGGTGTCAAGGCGCTCCAAATGTCCACTTCCAGATACTACAAAAAGAGTGTTTCAAACCTACTCTGTGAAAAGGAATATTCAACTCTGTGACTTTAATGCACATATCACAAAGAAGTTTCTGAGAATGCTTCTGTCGAGATTTTATATGAAGATATTCCCGTTTCCAAAGAAATCCTGAAATCTATCCAAATATCCCTTCACAGATTCTACAAAAAGAGTGTTTCAAAACTGCTCTGTAAAAAGAAAGGTTCAACTCTGTTAGTTGAGTACACACATCACAAACAAGTTTCACAGAATGCTTCTTTCTAGCTTGTAGGGGAAGATATTCCCTTTATCACCATGGGCCTCAAACCGTCCGAAACGTCAACTTCCATATACTACAAAAAGAGCGTTTCAAACCTGCTCTATGAAAGGCAATGTTCAACTCTGTGACTTGAATGCAGACATCACAGTAGCAGTTTCTGAGAATGCTTCTGTCTAGATTTTATAGGAAGATATTCCCGTTTCCAACGAAATCTTCACAGCTATCCAAATATCCACTTTCAGATTCTACAAAAAGAGTGTATCAAAACTGCTCTGTCAAAAGGAAGGTTCTTCTCTGTTAGGTGAGTGCATACGTCATAAAGGAGTTTCTGAGAATGTTTCTGTCTAGTGGTTATGGGAAGATATTTGCTTTTTCACCGTAGGCCTCAGAGCGCTCCAAATATCCACTTGCAGATACTACAAAAAGAGTGCTTCAAAGCTGCTCTCTGAAACGGAATGTTCAACTCTATGAGTTGAATGCAAACATCACAAAGACGTTTCTGAGAATGCTTCTGTCTAGATTTGATATCAAGATATTCCCGTTTCCAACGAAATCTTCAAATCTATCCAAATGTCCACTTGCAGATTCAACAAAAAGTGTTTTTCAAAACTGCTGTATCAAAAGAAAGATCCACGTCTGTTAGCTGAGTTCACACATCACAAACAAGTTTATGAGAATGCTTCTGTCTAGTTTTTATTTGAAGATATATCCTTTCTCACCATAGACCTGAAAGCTGTCCTAATGCTCACTTCCAGATACTACAGAAAGAGTGTTTCAAAACTGCTGTACGAAAGGGAATGTTCAACTCTGTGACTTGAATGCACACATCACAAAGAAGTTTCTGAGGATGCTGCTGTCTACTTTTTATATGTAATCCCGTTTCCAACGAAATCCTCCAATCTATCCAAATATCCACTTGCAGATTCCACAGAAAGACTGTTTCAAAACTGCTCTGTCAATAGAAAGGTTCAACTCTGTTAGCTGCGTGCATATATCCCAAAGAAGATTCTGAGATTGCTTCTGTCTAGTTTTTATGGGAAGATATTTCCCTTTTCACCGTAGGCGTCAAGGCGCTCCAAATGTCCACTTCCAGATACTACAAAAAGAGTGTTTCAAACCTACTCTGTGAAAGGGTATATTCAACTCTGTGACTTGAAGGCAGATATCACAAAGAAGTTTCTGAGAATGCTTCTGTCGAGATTTTATATGAAGATATTCCCGTTTCCAAAGAAATCCTGAAATCTATCCAAATATCCCCTCGCAGATTCTACAAAAAGAGTGTCTCAAAACTGCTCTGTAAAAAGAAAGGTTCAACTCTGTTAGTTGAGTACACACATCACAAACAAGTTTCACAGAATGCTTCTTTCTAGCTTGTAGGGGAAGATATTCCCTTTATCACCATGGGCCTCAAACCGTCCGAAACGTCCACTTCCATATACTTCAAAAAGAGCGTTTCAAACCTGCTCTATGAAAGGCAATGTTCAACTCTGTGACTTGAATGCAGACATCACAGAGCAGTTTCTGAGAATGCTTCTGTCTAGATTTTATAGGAAGATATTCTCGTTTCCAACGAAATCTTCACAGCTATCCAAATATCCACTTTCAGATTCTACAAAAAGAGTGTATCAAAAGTGCTCTGTCAAAAGGAAGGTTCTTCTCTGTTAGGTGAGTGCATACGTCATAAAGGAGTTTCTGAAAATGTTTCTGTCTAGTCGTTATGGGAAGATATTTGCTTTTTCACCGTAGGCCTGAGAGCGCTACAAATATCCCCTTGCACATACTATCAAAAGAGTTCTTCAGAGCTGCTCTGTGAAAGGGAATGTTCAACTCTATGAGTTGAATGCAAACATCACAAAGACGTTTCTGAGAATGCTTCTGTCTAGATTTGATATGAAGGTATTCCCGTTTCCAACGAAATCTTCAAATCTATCCAAATGTCCACTTGCAGATTCAACAAAAAGTGTTTTTCAGAACTGCTCTATCAAAAGAAAGATCCACCTCTGTTAGCTGAGTTCACACATCACAAACAAGTTTATGAGAATGCTTCTGTCTAGTTTTTATTTGAAGATATTTCCTTTCTCACCATAGAGCTGAAAGCTGTACTAATGTTCACTTCCAGATACTACAGAAAGAGTGTTTCAAAACTGCTGTACGAAAGGGAATGTTCAACTCTGTGACTTGAATGCACACATCACAAAGAAGTTTCTGAGGATGCTGCTGTCTACTTTTTATACTTAATCCCGTTTCCAACGAAATACTCCAAGCTATCCAAATATCCACTTGCAGATTCCACAGAAAGACTGTTTCAAAACTGCTCTGTCAATAGTAAGGTTCAACTCTGTTAGCTGCGTGCATATATCCCAAAGAAGATTCTGAGATTGCTTCTGTCTAGTTTTTATGGGAAGATATTTCCCTTTTCACCGTAGGTGTTAAGGCGCTCCAAATGTCCACTTCCAGATACTACAAAAAGAGTGTTTCAAACCTACTCTGTGAAAGGGAATATTCAACTCTGTGACTTGAATGCAGATATCACAAAGAAGTTTCTGAGAATGCTTCTGTCGAGATTTTATATGAAGATATTCCCGTTTCCAAGGAAATCCTGAAATCTATCCAAATATCCCCTCACAGATTCTACAAAAAGAGTGTTTCAAAACTGCTCTGTAAAAAGAAAGGTTCAACTCTGTTAGTTGAGTACACACATCACAAACAAGTTTCACAGAATGCTTCTTTCTAGCTTGTAGGGGAAGATATTCCCTTTATCACCATGGGCCTCAAACCGTCCGAAACGTCCACTTCCATATACTACAAAAAGAGCGTTTCAAACCTGCTCTATGAAAGGCAATGTTCAACTCTGTGACTTGAATGTAGACATCACAGAGCAGTTTCTGAGAATGCTTCTGTCTAGATTTTATAGGAAGATATTCCCGTTTCCAACGAAATCTTCACAGCTATCCAAATATCCACTTGCAGATTCTACAAAAAGAGTGTATCAAAAATGCTCTGTCAAAAGGAAGGTTCTTCTCTGTTAGGTGAGTGCATACGTCATAAAGGAGTTTCTCAGAATGTTTCTGTCTAGTGGTTATGGGAAGATATTTGCTTTTTCACCGTAGGCCTCAGCAGCGCTCCAAATATCCACTTGCACATACTACAAAAAGTGTGCCTCAAAGCTGCTCTCTGAAACGGAATGTTCAACTCTATGAGTTGAATGCAAACATCACAAAGACGTTTCTGAAAATGCTTCTGTCTAGATTTGATATGAAGATATTCCTTTTTCCAAGGGAAATCTTCAAAACTATCCAAATGTCCACTTGCAGATTCAACAAAAAGTGTTTTTCAGAACTGCTCTATCAAAAGAAAGATCCACCGCTGTTTGCTGAGTTCACACATCACAAACAAGTTTATGAGAATGCTTCTGTCTAGTTTTTATTTGAAGATATTTCCTTTCTCACCATAGAGCTGAAAGCTGTCCTAATGTTCACTACCAGATACTCACAGAAAGAGTGTTTCAAAACTGCTGTACGAAAGGGAATGTTCAACTCTGTGACTTGAATGCACACATCACAAAGAAGTTTCTGAGGATGCTGCTGTCTACTTTTTATACGTAATCCCGTTTCCAACGAAATCCTCCAAGCTATCCAAATATCCACTTGCAGATTCCACAGAAAGACTGTTTCAAACCTGCTCTGTCAATAGAAAGGTTCAACTCTGTTAGCTGCGTGCATATATCCCAAAGAAGATTCTGAGATTGCTTCTGTCTAGTTTTTATCGGAAGATATTTCCCTTTTCACCGTAGGCGTCAAGGCACTCCAAATGTCCAATTGCAGATACTATAAAAAGAGTGTTTCAAACCTACTCTGTGAAAGGGAATATTCAACTCTGTGACTGGAATGCAGATATCACAAAGAAGTTTCTGAGAATGCTTCTGTCGAGATTTTGTATGAAGATATTCCCGTTTCCAAAGAAATCCTGAAATCTATCCAAATTTCCCCTCGCAGATTCTACAAAAAGAGTGTTTCAAAACTGCTCTGTAAAAAGAAAGGTTCAACTCTGTTAGTTGAGTACACACATCACAAACAAGTTTCACAGAATGCTTCTTTCTAGCTTGTAGGGGAAGATATTCCCTTTATCACCATGGGCCTCAAACCGTCCGAAACGTCTACTTCCATATACTACAAAAAGAGCGTTTCAAACCTGCTCTATGAAAGGCAATGTTCAACTCTGTGACTTCAATGCAGACATCACAGAGCAGTTTCTGAGAATGCTTCTGTCTAGATTTTATAGGAAGATATTCCCGTTTCCAACGAAATCTTCACAGATATCCAAATATCCACTTGCAGATGCTACAAAAAGAGTGTATCAAAAATGCTCTGTCAAAAGGAAGGTTCTTCTGTGTTAGGTGAGTGCATACGTCATAAAGGAGTTTCTGAGAATGTTCCTGTCTAGTGGTTATGGGAAGATATTTGCTTTTTCCCCGTAGGCCTCAAAGCGCTCCAAATGTCCACTTGCACATACTAAAAAAAGTGTGCTTCAAAGCTCCTCTCTGAAAGAGAATGTTCAACTCTATGAGTTGAATGCAAACATCACAAAGACGTTTCTGAGAATGCTTCTCTCTAGATTTGATATGAAGATATTCCCGTTTCCAAAGAAATCTTCAAATCTATCCAAATGTCCACTTGCAGATTCAACAAAAAGTGTTTTTCAGAACTGCTCTATCAAAAGAAAGATCCACGTCTCTTAGCTGAGTTCACACATCACAAACAAGTTTATGAGAATGCTTCTGTCTAGTTTTTATTTGAAGATATTTCCTTTCTCACCATAGAGCTTAAAGCTGTCCTAATGTTCACTTCCAGATACTACAGAAAGAGTGTTTCAAAACTGCTGTACGAAAGGGAATGTTCAACTCTGTGACTTGAATGCACACATCACAAAGAAGTTTCTGAGGATGCTGCTGTCTACTTTTTATACGTAATCCCGTTTCCAACGAAATCCTCCAAGCTATCCAAATATCCACTTGCAGATTCCACAGAACGACTGTTTCAAAACTGCTCTGTCAATAGAAATGTTCAACTCCGTTAGCTGCGTGCATATATCCCAAAGAATTTTCTGAGATTGCTTCTGTCTAGTTTTTATGGGAAGATATTTCCCTTTTCACCGTGGGCGTCAAGGCGCTCCAAATGTCCACTTCCAGATACTACAAAAAGAGTGTTTCAAACCTACTCTGTGAAAGGGAATATTCCACTCTGTGACTTGAATGCACATATCACAAGGAAGTTTCTGAGAATGCTTCTGTCGATATTTTATATGAAGATATTCCCATTTCCAACGAAATCCTGAAATGTATCCAAATATCCCCTCGCAGATTCTACAAAAAGAGTGTATCAAAACTGCTCTGTAAAAAGAAAGGTTCAACTCTGTTAGTTGAGTACACACATCACAAACAAGTTTCACAGAATGCTTCTTTCTAGCTTGTAGGGGAAGATTCCCCTTTATCACCATGGTCCTCAAACCGTCCGAAATGTCCACTTCCATATACTACAAAAAGAGCGTTTCAAACCTGCTGTATGAAAGGCAATGTTCAACTCTGTGACTTGAATGCAGACATCACAGAGCAGTTTCTGAGAATGCTTCTGTCTAGATTTTATAGGAAGATATTCCCGTTTCCAACGAAATCTTCACAGCTATCCAAATAACCACTTGCAGATTCTACAAAAAGAGTGTATCAAACCTGCTCTGTCAAAAGGAAGGTTCTTTTCTGTTAGGTGAGTGCATACGTCATAAAGGAGTTTCTGAGAATGTTTCTGTCTAGTGGTTATGGGAAGATATTTGCTTTTTCCCCGTAGGCCTCAGGGCGCTCCAAATGTCCACTTGCAAATGCTACAAAAAGAGTGCTTCAAAGCTGCTCTCTGAAAGGGAATGTTCAACTCTATGAGTTGAATGCAAACATCACAAAGACGTTTCTGAGAATGCTTTCTGTCTAGATTTGATATGAAGATATTCCCGTTTCCAACGAAATCTTCAAATCTATCCAAATGTCCTCTTGCAGATTCAACAAAAAGTGTTTTTCAGAACTGCTCTATCAAAAGAAAGATCCACGTGTGTTAGCTGAGTTCACACATCACGAACAAGTTTATGAGAATGCTTCTGTCTAGTTTTTATTTGAAGATATTTCCTTTCTCACCATAGACCTGAAAGCTGTCCTAATGTTCACTTCCACATACTACAGAAAGAGTGTTTCAAAACTGCTGTACGAAAGGGAATGTTCAACTCTGTGACATGAATGCACACATCACAAAGAAGTTTCTGAGGATGCTGCTGTCTACTTCTTATACGTAATCCCGTTTCCACCGAAATCCTCCAAGCTATCCAAATATCCACTTGCAGATTCCACAGAAAGACTGTTTCAAAACTGCTATGTCAATAGAAAGGTTCAACTCTGTTAGCTGTGTGCATATATCCCAAAGAAAATTCTGAGATTGCTTCTGTCTAGTTTTTATGGGAAGATATTTCACTTTTCACAGTAGGTGTCAAGGCGCTCCAAATGTCCACTTCCAGATACTACAAAAGGAGTGTTTCAAACCTACTCTGTGAAAGGGAATACTCAACTCTGTGACTTGAATGCACATATCACAAAGATGTTTCTGAGAATGCTTCTGTCGAGATTTTATATGAAGATATTCCCGTTTCCAACGAAATCCTGAAATCTATCCAAATATCCCCTCGCAGATTCTACAAAAAGAGTGTTTCAAAACTGCTCTGTAAAAAGAAAGGTTCAGCTCTGTTAGTTGAGTACACACATCACAAACAAGTTTCACACAATGCTTCTTTCTAGCTTGTAGGGGAAGATATTTCCTTTATCACCATGGTCCTCAAACCGTCCGAAACGTCCACTTCCATATACTAAAAAAAGAGTGTTTCAAACCTGCTCTATGAAAGGCAATGTTCAACTCTGTGACTTGAATGCAGATATCACAGAGCAGTTTCTGAGAATGCTTCTGTCTAGATTTTATAGGAAGATATTCCCGTTTCCAACGAAATCTTCACAGCTATCCAAATATCCACTTGCAGATTCTACAAAAAGCGTGTATCAAAACTGCTCTGTCAAAAGGAAGGTTCTTCTCTGTTAGGTGAGTGCATACGTCATAAAGGAGTTTCTGAGAATGTTTCTGTCTAGTGGTTATGGGAAGATATTTGCTTTTTCACCGTAGGCCTCAGAGCGCACCAAATATCCACTTGCACATACTACAAAAAGAGTGCTTCAAAGCTGGTCTCTGAAACGGAATGTTCAACTCTATGAGTTGAATGCAAACATCACAAAGACGTTTCTGAGAATGCTTCTGTCTAGATTTGATATGAAGATATTCCCGTTTCCAACGAAATCTTCAAAACTATCCAAATGTCCACTTGCAGATTCAACAAAAAGTGTTTTTCAGAACTGCTCTATCAAAAGATAGATCCACCTCTGTTAGCTGAGTTCACACATCACAAACAAGTTTATGAGAATGCTTCTGTCTAGTTTTTATTTGAAGATATTTCCTTTCTCACCATACAGCTGAAAGCTGTCCTAATGTTCACTTCCAGATACTACAGAAAGAGTGTTTCAAAACTGCTGTACGAAAGGGAATGTTCAACTCTGTGACTTGAATGCACACATCACAAAGAAGTTTCTGAGGATGCTTCTGTCCAGCCTTTATAGGAAGATATTCCTGTTTCCAACGAAATCTTCACAGCTATCCAAATATCCACTTGCAGATTCCACAGAAAGACTGTTTCTAAACTGCTCTTTCAATAGAAAGGTTCAACTGTGTTAGCTGCGTGCATATATCCCAAAGAAGATTCTGAGATTGCTTCTGTCTAGTTTTTATGGGAAGATATTTCCCTTTTCACCGTAGGTGTCAAGGAGCTCCAAATGTCCACTTCCAGATACTACAAAAAGAGTGTTTCAAACCTACTCTGTGGAAGGGAATATTCAACTCTGTGACTTGAATGCAGATATCACAAAGAAGTTTCTGAGAATGCTTCTGTCGAGATTTTATATGAAGATATTCCCGTTTCCAACGAAATCCTGAAATGTATCCAAATATCCCCTCTCAGATTCTACAAAAAGAGTGTTTCAAAACTGCTCTGTAAAAAGAAAGGTTCAACTCTGTTAGTTGAGTACACACATCACAAACAAGTTTCACAGAATGCTTCTTTCTAGCTTGTAGGGGAAGATATTTCCTTTATCACCATCATCCTCAAACCATCCGAATCGTCCACTGCCATATACTAAAAAAAGAGTGTTTGAAACCTGCTCTATGAAAGGCAATGTTCAACTCTGTGACTTGAATGCAGACATCACAGAGCAGTTTCTGAGAATGCTTCTGTCCAGACTTTATAGGAAGATATTCCCGTTTCCAACGAAATCTTCACAGCTATCCAAATATCCACTTGCAGATACTACAAAAAGTGTGTATCCAAAGTGCTCTGTCAAAAGGAAAGTTCTTCTCTGCTAGTTGAGTACATACCTCATAAAGAAGTTTCTGAGAATGTTTCTGTCTAGTGTTTATGGGAAGATATTTGCTTTTTCACCAGAGTTCTCAAAGCGCTCCAAATGTCCACTTCCACATACAACAAAAAGAGTGTTTCAAAACTGCTCTATGAAAGGGAGTGTTCAACACTAAGAGTTGAATGCAAACATCACAAACCAGTTTCTGAGAATGCTTCTGTCTAGATTTGATATGAAGATATTCCCGTTTCCAACGACATCTTCAAATCTATCCAAATGTCCACTTGCAGATTCAACAAAAAGTGTTTTTCAGAACTGCTCTATCAAAAGAAAGATCCACCTCTGTTAGCTGAGTTCACACATCACAAACAAGTTTATGAGAATGCTTCTGTCTAGTTTTTATTGGAAGATATTTCCTTTCTCACCATAGACCTGAAAGCTGTCCTAATGTTCACTTCCAGTTACTACAGAAAGAGTGTTTCAAAACTGCTGTACGAAAGGGAATGTTCAACTCTGTGACTTGAATGCACACATTACAAAGAAGTTTCTGAGGATGCTGCTGTTCTACTTTTTATACGTAATCCCGTTTCCAACGAAATCCTCCAAGCTATCCAAATATCCACTTGCAGATTCCACAGAAAGACTGTTTCAAAACTGCTCTGTCAATAGAAAGGTTCAACTCTGTTAGCTGCGTGCATATATCCCAAAGAAGATTCTGAGATTGCTTCTGTCTAGTTTTGATGGGAAGATATTTCCCTTTTCACCGTGGGCATCAAGGCGCTCCAAATGTCCACTTCCAGATACTACAAAAAGAGTGTTTCAAACCTACTCTGTGAAAGGGAATATTCAACTCTGTGACTTGAATGCACATATCACAAGGAAGTTTCTGAGAATGCTTCTGTCGAGATTTTATATGAAGATATTCCCGTTTCCAACGAAATCCTGAAATCTATCCAAATATCCCCTCGCAGATTCTACAAAAAGAGTGTTTCAAAACTGCTGTGTAAAAAGAAAGGTTCAACTCTGTTAGTTGAGTACACACATCACAAACAAGTTTCACAGAATGCTTCTTTCTAGCTTGTAGGGGAAGATATTCCCTTTATCACCATGGGCCTCAAACCGTCCGAAACGTCCACTTCCATATACTACAAAAAGAGCGTTTCAAACCTGCTCTATGAAAGGCAATGTTCAACTCTGTGACTTGAATGCAGACATCACAGAGCAGTTTCTGAGAATGATTCTGTCTAGATTTTATAGGAAGATATTCCCGTTTCCAACAAAATCTTCACAGCTATCCAAATATCCACTTGCAGATTCTACAAAAAGAGTGTATCAAAACTGCTCTGTCAAAAGGAAGGTTCTTCTCTGTTAGGTGAGTGCATACGTCATAAAGGAGTTTCTGAGAAAGTTTCTGTCTAGTGGTTATGGGAAGATATTTGCTTTTTCACCGAAGGCCTCAGAGAGCTCCAAATATCCACTTGCACATACTGCAAAATGAGTGCCTCAAAGCTGCTCTCTGAAACGGAATGTTCAACTCTATGAGTTGAATGCAAACATCACAAAGACGTTTCCGAGAATGCTTCTGTCTAGATTTGATATGAAGATATTCCCGTTTCCAACGAAATCTTCAAATCTATCCAAATGTCCACTTGCAGATTCAACAAAAAGTGTTTTTCAAAACTGCTGTATCAAAAGAAAGATCCACCTCTGTTAGCTGAGTTCACACATCACAAACAAGTTTATGAGAATGCTTCTGTCTAGTTTTTATTTGAAGATATTTCCTTTCTCACCATAGACCTGAAAGCTGTCCTAATGTTCACTTCCAGATACTACAGAAAGAGTGTTTCAAAATTGCTGTACGAAAGGGAATGTTCAACTCTGTGACTTGAATGCACACATCACAAAGAAGTTTCTGAGGATGCTGCTGTCTACTTTTTATACGTAATCCCGTTTCCAACGAAATCCTCCAAGCTATCCAAATATCCACTTGCAGATTCCACAGAAAGACTGTTTCAAAACTGCTCTGTCAATAGAAAGGTTCAACTCTGTTAGCTGCGTGCATATATCCCAAAGAAGTTTCTGAGATTACTTCTGTCTAGTTTTTATGGGAAGATATTTCCCTTTTCACCGTAGGCGTCAAGGCGCTCCAAATGTCCACTTCCAGATACTACAAAAAGAATGTTTCAAACCTACTCTGTGAAAGGGAATATTCAACTCTGTGACTTGAATGCACATATCACAAAGAAGTTTCTGAGAATGCTTCTGTCGAGATTTTATATGAAGATATTCCCGTTTCCAACGAAATCCTGAAATCTATCCAAATATCCCCTCGCAGATTCTAGAAAAAGAGGGTTTCAAAACTGCTCTGTAAAAAGAAAGGTTCAACTCTGTTAGTTGAGTACACACATCACAAACAAGTTTCACAGAATGCTTCTTTCTAGCTTGTAGGGGAAGATATTCCCTTTATCACCACGGGCCTCAAACCGTCCGAAACGTCCACTTCCATATACTACAAAAAGAGCGTTTCAAACCTGCTCTATGAAAGGCAATGTTCAACTCTGTGACTTGAATGCAGACATCACAGAGCAGTTTCTGAGAATGCTTCTGTCTAGATTTTATAGGAAGATATTCCCGTTTCCAGCGAAATCTTCACAGGTATCCAAATATCCACTTGCAGATTCTACAAAAAGAGTGTATCAAAACTGCTCTGTCAAAAGGAAGGTTCTTCTCTGTTAGGTGAGTGCATACGTCATAAAGGAGTTTCTGAGAATGTTTCTGTCTAGTGGTTATGGGAAGATATTTGCTTTTTCACCTTAGGCCTCAGGAGCGCTCCAAATATCCCCTTGCACATACTACAAAAAGAGTGCTTCAAAGCTGCTCTCTGAAAGGGAATGTTCAACTCTATGAGTTGAATGCAAACATCACAAAGACGTTTCTGAGAATGCCTCTGTCTAGATTTGATATGAAGATATTCCCGTTTCCAACGAAATCTTCAAATCTATCCAAATGTCCACTTGCAGATTCAACAAAAAGTGTTTTTCAGAACTGCTCTATCAAAAGAAAGATGCACCTCTGTTAGCTGAGTTCAGACATCACAAACAAGTTTATGAGAATGCTTCTGTCTAGTTTTTATTTGAAGATATTTCCTTTCTCACCATAGACCTGAAAGCTGTCCTAATGTTCACTTCCAGATACTACAGAAAGAGTGTTTCAAAACTGCTGTACGAAAGGGAATATTCAACTCTGTGACTTGAATGCACACATCACAAAGAAGCTTCTGAGGATGCTGCTGTCTACTTTTTATACGTAATCCCGTTTCCAACGAAATCCTCCAAGCTATCCAAATATCCACTTGCAGATTCCACAGAAAGACTGTTTCAAAACTGCTATGTCAATAGAAAAGTTCAACTCTGTTAGCTGTGTGCATATATCCCAAAGAAAATTCTGAGATTGCTTCTGTCTAGTTTTTATGGGAAGATATTTCCCTTTTAACCATAGGCGTCAAGGCGCTCCAAATGTCCACTTCCAGATACTACAAAAAGAGTGTTTCAAACCTACTCTGTGAAAGGGAATATTCACCTCTGTGACTTGAATGCAGATATCACAAAGAAGTTTCTGAGAATGCTTCTGTCGAGATTTTATATGAAGATATTCCCGTTTCCAACAAAATCCTGAAATCTATCCAAATATCCCCTCGCAGATTCTACAAAAAGAGTGTTTCAAAACTGCTCTGTAAAAAGAAAGGTTCAACTCTGTTAATTGAGTACACACATCACAAACAAGTTTCACAGAATGCTTCTTTCTAGCTTGTAGGGGAAGATATTCCCTTTATCACCATGGGCCTCAAACCGTCCGAAACGTTTACTTCCATATACTACAAAAAGAGCGTTTCAAACCTGCTCTATGAAAGGCAATGTTCAACTCTGTGACTTGAATGCAGACATCACAGAGCAGTTTCTGAGAATGCTTCTGTCTAGATTTTATAGGAAGATATTTCCGTTTCCAACGAAACCTTCACATCTATCCAAATATCCACTTGCAGATTCTACAAAAAGAGTGTATCAAAACTGCTCTGTCAAAAGGAAGGTTCTTCTCTGTTAGGTGAGTGCATACGTCATAAAGGAGTTTCTGAGAATGTTTCTGTCTAGTGGTTATGGGAAGATATTTGCTTTTTCCCCTTAGGCCTCAAAGCGCTCCAAATGTCAACTTGCACATACTACAAAAAGAGTGCTTCAAAGCTGCTCTCTGAAAGGGAATGTTCAACTCTATGAGTTGAATGCAAACATCACAAAGACGTTTCTGAGAATGCTTCTGTCTTGATTTGATATGAAGATATTCCCGTTTCCAACGAAATCTTCAAATCTATCCAAATGTCCACTTGCAGATTCAACAAAAAGTGTTTTTCAGAACTGCTCTATCAAAAGAAAGATCCACCTCTGTTAGCTGAGTTCACACATCACAAACAAGTTTATGAGAATGCTTCTGTCTAGTTTTTATTTGAAGATATATCCTTTCTCACTATAGACCTGAAAGCTCTCCTAAAGTTCACTTCCAGATACTACAGAAAGAGTGTTTCAAAACTGCTGTACGAAAGGTAATGTTCAACTCTGTGACTTGAATGCACACATCACAAGGATGTTTCTGAGGATGCTGCTGTCTAATTTTTATACGTAATCCCGTTTCCAACGAAATCCTCCAAGCTATCCAAATATCCACTTGCAGATTCCACAGAAAGACTGTTTCAAAACTGCTCTGTCAATAGAAAGGTTCAACTCTGTTAGCTGCGTGCATATATCCGAAAGAAGATTCTGAGATTGCTTCTGTCTACTTTTTATGAGAAGATATTTTCCTTTTCACCGTAGGCATCAAGGCGCTCCAAATGTCCACTTCCAGATACTACAAAAAGAGTGTTTCAAACCTACTCTGTGAAAGGGAATATTCAACTCTGTGACTTGAATGCACATATCACAAAGAAGTTTCTGAGAATGCTTCTGTCGAGATTTTATATGAAGTTATTCCCGTTTCCAACGAAATCCTGAAATCTATCCAAATATCCCCTCGCAGATTCTACAAAAAGAGTGTTTCAAAACTGCTCTGTAAAAGGAAAGGTTCAACTCTGTTAGTTGAGTACACACATCACAAACAAGTTTCACAGAATGCTTCTTTCTAGCTTGTAGGGGAAGATATTCCCTTTATCACCATGGGCCTGAAACCGTCCGAAACGTCTACTTCCATATACTACAAAAAGAGCGTTTCAAACCTGCTCTATGAAAGGCAATGTTCAACTCTGTGACTTGAATGCAGACATCACAGAGCAGTTTCTGAGAATGCTTTCTGTCTAGATTTTATAGGAAGATATTCCCGATTCCAACGAAATCTTCGCAGCTATCCAAATATCCACTTGCAGATTCTACAAAAAGCGTGTATCAAAACTGTTCTGTCAAAAGGAAGGTTCTTCTCTGTTAGGTGAGTGCATACGTCATAAAGCAGTTTCTGAGAATGTTTCTGTCTAGTGGTTATGGGAAGATATTTGCTTTTTCCCCGTAGGCCTCAGGGCGCTCCAAATGTCCACTTGCACATGCTACAAAAAGAGTGCTTCAAAGCTGCTCTCTGAAAGGGAATGTTCAACTCTATGAGTTGAAGGCAAACATCACAAAGACGTTTCTGAGAATGTTTCTGTCTAGATTTGATATGAAGATATTCCCGTTTCCAACGAAATCTTCAAATCTATCCAAATGTCCACTTGCAGATTCAACAAAAAGTGTTTTTCCGAACTGCTCTATCAAAAGAAAGATCCACCTCTGTTAGCTGAGTTCACACATCACAAACAAGTTTATGAGAATGCTCCTGTCTAGTTTTTATTTGAAGATATTTCCTTTCTCACCATAGACCTGAAAGCTGTCCTAATGTTCACTTCCAGATACTACAGAAAGAGTGTTTCAAAACTGCTGCACGAAAGGGAATGTTCAACTCTGTGACTTGAATGCACACATCACAAAGAAGTTTCTGAGGATGCTGCTGTCTACTTTTTATACGTAATCCCGTTTCCAACGAAATCCTCCAAGCTATCCAAATATCCACTTGCAGATTCCACAGAAAGACTGTTTCAAAACTGCTCTGTCAATAGAAAGGTTAAACTCTGTTAGCTGCGTGCATATATCCCAAAGAAGATTCTGAGATTGCTTCTGTCTAGTTTTTATGGGAAGATATTTCCCTTTTCACCGTAGGCGTCAAGGCGCTCCAAATGTCCAATTCCAGATACTATAAAAAGAGTGTTTCAAACCTACTCTGTGAAAGGGAATATTCAACTCTGTGACTTGAATGCAGATATCACAAAGAAGTTTCTGAGAATGCTTCTGTTGAGATTTTATATGAAGATATTCCCGTTTCCAACGAAATCCTGAAATCTATCCAAATATCCCCTCGCAGATTCTACAAAAAGAGTGTTTCAAAACTGCTCTGTAAAAAGAAAGGTTCAACTCTGTTACTTGAGTACACACATCACAAACAAGTTTCACAGAATGCTTCTTTCTAGCTTGTAGGGGAAGATATTCCCTTTATCACCATGGGCCTCAAACCGTCCGAAACGTCCACTTCCATATACTACAAAAAGAGCGTTTCAAACCTGCTCTATGAAAGGCAATGTTCAGCTCTGTGACTTGAATGCAGACATCACAGAGCAGTTTCTGAGAATGCTTCTGTCTAGTTTTTATAGGAAGATATTCCCGTTTCCAACGAAATCTTCACAGCTATCCAAATATCCACTTGCAGATTCTACAAAAAGAGTGTATCAAAACTGCTCTGTCAAAAGGAAGGTTCTTCTCTGTTAGGTGAGTGCATACGTCATAAAGGAGTTTCTGAGAATGTTTCTGTCTAGTGGTTATGGGAAGATATTTGCTTTTTCACCGTAGGCCTCAGAGCGCTCCAAATATCCACTTGAACATACTACAAAAAGAGTGCTTCAAAGCTGCTCTCTGAAACGGAATGTTCAACTCTATGAGTTGAATGCAACCATCACAAAGACGTTTCTGAGAATGCTTCTGTCTAGATTTGATATGAAGATATTCCCGTTTCCAACGAAATCTTCAAATCTATCCAAATGTCCACTTGCAGATTCAACAAAGTGTTTTTCAAAACTGCTCTATCAAAAGAAAGATCCACCACTGTTAGCTGAGTTCACACTTCACAAACAAGTTTATCAGTATTCTTCTGTCTAGTTTTTATTTGAAGATATATCCTTTCTCACTATAGACCTGAAAGCTTTCCTAAAGTTCACTTCCAGATACTACAGAAAGAGTGTTTCAAAACTGCTGTACGAAAGGGAATGTTCAACTCTGTGACTTGAATGCACACATCACAAGGATGTTTCTGAGGATGCTGCTGTCTACTTTTTATACGTAATCCCGTTTCCAACGAAATCCTCCAAGCTATCCAAATATCCACTTGCAGATTCCACAGAAAGACTGTTTCAAAACTGCTCTGTCAATAGAAAGGTTCAACTCTGTTAGCTGCGTGCATATATGCCAAAGAAGATTCTGAGATTGCTTCTGTCTAGTTTTTATGGGAAGATATTTCCCTTTTCACCGTAGGCGTCGAGGCGCTCCAAATGTCCACTTCCAGATACTACAAAAAGAGTGTTTCAAACCTACTCTGTGAAAGGGAATATTCAACTCTGTGACTTGAATGCACATATCACAAAGTAGTTTCTGAGAATGCTTCTGTCGAGATTTTATATGAAGATATTCCCGTTTCCAACGAAATCCTGAAATCTATCCAAATATCCCCTCGCAGATTCTACAAAAAGAGTGTTTCAAAACTGCTCTGTAAAAAGAAAGGTTCAACTCTGTTAGTTGAGTACACACATCACAAACAAGTTTCACAGAATCCTTCTTTCTGGCTTGTAGGGGAAGATATTCCCTTTATCACCATGGGCCTCAAACCGTCCGAAACGTCCACTTCCATATACTACAAAAAGAGCATTTCAAACCTGCTCTAGGAAAGGCAATGTTCAACTCTGTGACTTGAATGCAGACATCGCAGAGCAGTTTCTGAGTATGCTTCTGTCCAGACTTTATAGGAAGATATTCCCGTTTCCAACGAAATCTTCACAGCTATCCAAATATCCACTTGCAGATAGTACAAAAAGAGTGTATCGAAAATGCTCTGTCAAAAGGAAAGTTCTTCTCTGCTAGTTGAGTACATACGTCATAAAGAAGTTTCGGAGAATGTTTCCTGTTTAGTGGTTATGGGAAGATATTTGCTTTTTCACCTTAGGCCTCAGAGCGCTCCAAATATCCCCTTGCACATACTACAAAAAGAGTGCTTCAAAGCTGCTCTCTGAAACGGAATGTTCAACTCTATGAGTTGAATGCAAACATGACAAAGACGTTTCCGAGAATGCTTTCTGTCTAGATTTGATATGAAGATATTCCCGTTTCCAACGAAATCTTCAAATCTATCCAAATGTCCACTTGCAGATTCAACAAAAGTGTTTTTCAGAACTGCTCTATCAAAAGAAAGATCCACGTGTGTTAGCTGAGTTCACACATCACAAACAAGTTTATGAGAATGCTTCTGTCTAGTTTTTATTTGAAGATATTTCCTTTCTCACCATAAACCTGAAAGCTGTCCTAATGTTCACTTCCAGATACTACAGAAAGAGTGTTTCAAAACTGCTGTACGGAAGGGAATGTTCAACACTGTGACTTGAATGCACACATCACAAAGAAGTTACCTGAGGATGCTGCTGTCTACTTTTTATATGTAATCCCGTTTCCAACGAAATCCTCCAAGCTATCCAAATATCCACTTGCAGATTCCACAGAAAGACTGTTTCAAAAGTGCTCTGTCAATAGAAAGGTACAACTCTGTTAGCTGCGTGCATATATCCCAAAGAAGATTCTGAGATTGCTTCTGTCTAGTTTTTAATGGGAAGATATTTCCCTTTTCACCGTAGGTGTCAAGGCGCTCCAAATGTCCACTTCCAGATACTACAAAAAGAGTGTTTCCAACCTACTCTGTGAAAGGGAATATTCAACTCTGTGACTTGAATGCACATATCACAAAGAAGTTTCTGAGAATGCTTCTGTCGAGATTTTATATGAAGATATTCCCGTTTCCAACGAAATCCTGAAATCTATCCAAATATCCCCTCGCAGATTCTACAAAAAGAGTGTTTCAAAACTGCTCTGTAAAAAGAAAGGTTCAACTCTGTTACTTGACTACACACATCACAAACAAGTTTCACAGAATGCTTCTTTCTAGCTTGTAGGGAAGATATTCCCTTTATCACCATGGGCCTCCAACCGTCCGAAACATCCACTTCCATATACTACAAAAAGAGCGTTTCAAACCTGCTCTATGAAAGGCAATGTTCAACTCTGTGACTTGAATGCAGACATCACAGAGCAGTTTCTGAGAATGCTTCTGTCCAGACTTTATAGGAAGATATTCCCGTTTCCAACGAAATCTTCACAGCTATCCAAATATCCACTTGCAGATAGTACAAAAAGAGTGTATCAGAAATGCTCTGTCAAAAGGAAAGTTCTTCTCTGCTAGTTGAGTACATACGTCATAAAGAACTTTCTGAGAATGTTTCTGTCTAGTGGTTATGGGAAGATATTTGCTTTTTCCCCGTAGGCCTCAGGGCGCTCCAAATGTCCACTTGCACATGCTACAAAAAGAGTGCTTCAAAGCTGCTCTCTGAAACGGAATGTTCAACTCTATGAGTTGAATGCAAACATCGCAAAGACGTTTCTGAGAATGCTTCTGTCTAGATTTGATATGAAGATATTCCCGTTTCCAACGAAATCTTCAAATCTATCCAAATGTCCACTTGCAGATTCAACAAAAAGTGTTTTTCAGAAGTGCTCTATCAAAAGAAAGATCCACCTCTGTTAGCTGAGTTCACACATCACAAACAAGTTTATGAAAATGTTTCTGTCTAGTTTTTATTTGAAGATATATCCTTTCTCACTATAGACCTGAAAGCTGTCCTAAAGTTCACTTCCAGATACAAAGAAAGAGTGTTTCAAAACTGCTGTACGAAAGGGAATGTTCAACTCTGTGACTTGAATGCACACATCACAAGGATGTTTCTGAGGATGCTGCTGTCTACTTTTTATACGTAATCCCGTTTCCAACGAAATCCTCCAAGCTATCCAAATATCCACTTGCAGATTCCACAGAAAGACTGTTTCAAAACTGCTCTGTCAATAGAAAGGTTCAAATCTGTTAGCTGCGTGCATATATCCCAAAGAAGATTCTGAGATTCCTTTCTGTCTAGTTTTTATTGGAAGATATTTCCCTTTTCACCGTAGGTGTCAAGGCGCTCCAAATGTCCACTTCCAGATACTACAAAAAGAGTGTTTCAAACCTACTCTGTGAAAGGGAATATTCAACTCTGTGACCTGAATGCACATATCACAAGGAAGTTTCTGAGAATGCTTCTGTCGAGATTTTATATGAAGATATTCCCGTTTCCAACGAAATGCTGAAATGTATCCAAATATCCCCTCGCAGATTCTACAAAAAGAGTGTTTCAAAACTGCTCTGTAAAAAGAAAGGTTCAACTCTGTTAGTTGAGTACACACATCACAAACAAGTTTCACAGTAATGCTTCTTTCTAGCTTGTAGGGGAAGATATTCCCTTTATCACCATGGGCCTGAAACCGTCCGAAACGTCTACTTCCATATACTACAAAAAGAGCGTTTCAAATCTGCTCCATGAAAGGCAATGTTCAACTCTGTGACTTGAATGCAGACATCACAGAGCAGTTTCTGAGAATGCTTCTGTCTAGATTTTATAGGAAGATATTCCCGTTTCCAACGAAATCTTCACAGCTATCCAAATATCCACTTGCAGATTCTACAAAAAGAGTGTATCAAAACTGCTCTGTCAAAAGGAAGGTTCTTTTCTGTTAGGTGAGTGCATACGTCATAAAGGAGTTTTTGAGAATGTTTCTGTCTAGTGGTTATGGGCAAGATATTTGCTTTTTCACCGTAGGCCTCAGAGCGCTCCAAATATCCACTTGCACATACTACAAAAAGAGTGCTTCAAAGCTGCTCTCTGAAACGGAATGTTCAACTCTATGAGTTGAATGCAAACATCACAAAGACGTTTCTGAGAATGCTTCTGTCTAGATTTGATATGAAGATATTCCCGTTTCCAACGACATCTTCAAATCTATCCAAATGTCCACTTGCAGATTCAACAAAACGTGTTTTTCAGAACTGCTCTATCAAAAGAAAGATCCACCTCTGTTAGCTGAGTTCACACATCACAAACAAGTTTATGAGAATGCTTCTGTCTAGTTTTTATTTGAAGATATTTCCTTTCTCACCATAGACCTGAAAACTGTCCTAATGTTCACTTGCAGATACTACAGAAAGAGTGTTTCAAAACTGCTGTACGAAAGGGAATGTTCAACTCTGTGACTTGAATGCACACATCACAAAGAAGTTTCTGAGGATGCTGCTGTCTACTTTTTATACGTAATCCCGTTTCCAACGAAATCCTCCAAGCTATCCAAATATCCACTTGCAGATTCCACAGAAAGACTGTTTCAAAACTGCTCTGTCAATAGAAAGGTTCAACTCTGTTAGCTGCGTGCATATATCCCAAAGAAGATTGCTGAGATTGCTTCTGTCTAGTTTTTATGGGAAGATATTTCCCTTTTCACCGTAGGCGTCAAGGCGCTCAAAATGTCCACTTCCAGATACTACAAAAAGAGTGTTTCAAACCTACTCTATGAAAGGGAATATTCAACTCTGTGACTTGAATGCACATATCACAAAGAAGTTTCTGAGAATGCTTCTGTCGAGATTTTATGTGAAGATATTCCCGTTTCCAACGAAATCCTGAAATCTATCCAAATATCCCCTCGCAGATTCTACAAAAAGAGTGTTTCAAAACTGCTCTGTAAAAAGAAAGGTTCAACTCTGTTAGTTGAGTACACACATCACAAACAAGTTTCACAGAATGCTTCTTTCTAGCTTGTAGGGGAAGATATTCCCTTTATCACCATGGGCCTCAAACCGTCCGAAACGTCCATTTCCATATACTACAAAAAGAGCGTTTCAAACCTGCTCCATGAAAGGCAATGTTCAACTCTGTGACTTGAATGCAGACATCACAGAGCAGTTTCTGAGAATGCTTCTGTCTAGATTTTATAGGAAGATATTACCGTTTCCAACGAAATCTTCACAGCTATCCCAATATCCACTTGCAGATTCTACAAAAAGAGTGTATCAAAACTGCTCTGTCAAAAGGAAGGTTCTTCTCTGTTAGTTGAGTACATACGTCATAAAGGAGTTTCTGAGAATGTTTCTGTCTAGTGGTTATGGGAAGATATTTGCTTTTTCACCGTAGACCTCAGAGCGCTCCAAATATCCACTTGCACATACTACAAAAAGAGTGCTTCAAAGCTGCTCTCTGAAACGGAATGTTCAACTCTATGAGTTGAATGCAAACATCACAAAGACGTTTCTGAGAATGCTTCTGTCTAGATTTGATGTGAAGATATTCCCGTTTCCAACGAAATCTTCAAATCTATCCAAATGTCCACTTGCAGATTCAACAAAAAGTGTTTTTCCGAACTGCTCTATCAACAGAAAGATCCGCCTCTGTTAGCTGAGTTCACACATCACAAACAAGTTTATGAGAATGCTTCTGTCTAGTTTTTATTTGAAGATATTTCCTTTCTCACCATAGACCTGAAAGCTGTCCTAATGTTCACTTCCAGATACTACAGAAAGAGTGTTTCAAAACTGCTGTACGAAAGGGAATGTGCAACTCTGTGACTTGAATGCACACATCACAAGGAAGTTTCTGAGGATGCTGCTGTCTACTTTTTATACGTAAACCCGTTTCCAACGAAATCCTCCAAGCTATCCAAATATCCACTTGCAGATTCCACAGAAAGACTGTTTCAAAACTGCTCTGTCAATAGAAAGGTTCAACTCTGTTAGCTGCATGCATATATCCCAAAGAAGATTCTGAGATTGCTTCTGTCTAGTTTTTATGGGAAGATATTTCCCTTTTCACCGTAGGCGTCAAGGCGCTCCAAATGTCCACTTCCAGATACTACAAAAAGAGTGTTTCAAACCTACTCTGTGGAAGGGAATATTCAACTCTGTGACTTGAATGCACATATCACAAAGAAGTTTCTGAGAATGCTTCTGTCGAGATTTTATATGAAGATATTCCCGTTTCCAACAAAATCCTGAAATCTATCCAAATATCCCCTCGCAGATTCTACAAAAAGAGTGTTTCAAAACTGCTCTGTAAAAAGAATGGTTCAACTCTGTTAGTTGAGTACACACATCACAAACAAGTTTCACAGAATGCTTCTTTCTAGCTTGTAGGGGAAGATATTCCCTTTATCACCATGGGCCTCAAACCGTCCAAAAAGTCTACTTCCATATACTACAAAAAGAGCGTTTCAAACCTACTCTATGAAAGGCAATGTTCAACTCTGTGACTTGAATGCAGACATCACAGAGCAGTTTCTGAGAATGCTTCTGTCTGGATTTTATAGGAAGATATTCCCGTTTCCAACGAAATCTTCACAGCTATCCAAATATCCACTTGCAGATTCTACAAAAAGAGTGTATCAAAACTGCTCTGTCAAAAGGAAGGTTCTTCTCTGTTAGTTGAGTACATACGTCATAAAGGAGTTTCTGAGAATGTTTCTGTCTAGTGGTTATGGGAAGATATTTGCTTTTTCACCTTAGGCCTCAGAGCGCTCCAAATATCCACTTGCACATACTACAAAAAGAGTGCTTCAAAGCTGCTCTCTGAAACGGAATGTTCAACTCTATGGGTTGAATGCAAACATCACAAAGACGTTTCTGAGAATGCTTCTGTCTAGATTTGATATGAAGATATTCCCGTTTCCAACGAAATCTTCAAATCTATCCAAATGTCCACTTGCAGATTCAACAAAAAGTGTTTTTCAGAACTGCTCTATCAAAAGAAAGATCCACCTCTGTTAGCTGAGTTCACACATCACAAACAAGTTGATGAGAATGCTTCTGTCTAGTTTTTATTTGAAGATATTTCCTTTCTCACCATAGACCTGAAAGCTGTCCTAATGTTCACTTCCAGATACTACAGAAAGAGTGTTTCAAAACTGCAGTACGAAAGGGAATGTTCAACTCTGTGACTTGAATGCACACATCACAAAGAAGTTTCTGAGGATGCTGCTGTCTACTTTTTATACGTAATCCCGTTTCCAACGAAATCCTCCAAGCTATCCAAATATCCACTTGCAGATTCCACAGAAAGACTGTTTCAAAAGTGCTCTCTCAATAGAAAGGTTCAACTCTGTTAGCTGCGTGCATATATCCCAAAGACGATTCTGAGATTGCTTCTCTCTAGTTTTTATGGGAAGATATTTCCCTTTTCACCGTAGGTGTCAAGGCGCTCCAAATGTCCACTTCCAGATACTACAAAAAGAGTGTTTCAAACCTACTCTGTGAAAGGGAATATTCAACTCTGTGACTTGAATGCACATATCACAAAGAAGTTTCTGAGAATGCTTCTGTCGAGATTTTATATGAAGATATTCCCGTTTCCAACGAAATCCTGAAATCTATCGAAATATCCCCTCGCAGATTCTACAAAAAGAGTGTTTCAAAACTGCTCTGTAAAAAGAAAGGTTCAACTCTGTTAGTTGAGTACACACATCACAAACAAGTTTCACAGAATGCTTCTTTCTAGCTTGTAGGGGAATATATTCCCTTTATCACCATGGGTCTCAAACCGTCCGAAACGTCCACTTCCATACACTACAAAAAGAGCGTTTCAAACCTGCTCTATGAAAGGCAATGTTCAACTCTGTGACTTGAATGCAGACATCACAGAGCTGTTTCTGAGAATGCTTCTGTCTAGATTTTATAGGAAGATATTCCCGTTTCCAACGAAATCTTCACAGCTATCCAAATATCCACTTGCAGATTCTACAAAAGGAGTGTATCAAAACTGCTCTGTCAAAAGGAAGGTTCTTCTCTGTTAGGTGAGTGCATACGTCATAAAGCAGTTTCTGAGAATGTTTCTGTCTAGTCGTTATGGGAAGATATTTGCTTTTTCACCGTAGGCCTCAGAGCGCTCCAAATATCCACTTGCACATACTACAAAAAGAGTGCTTCAAAGCTGGTCTCTGAAACGGAATGTTCAACTCTATGAGTTGAATGCAAACATCACAAAGACGTTTCTGAGAATGCTTCTGTCTAGATTTGATATGAAGATATTCCCGTTTCCAAAGAAAATCTTCAAATCTATCCAAATGTCCACTTGCAGATTCAACAAAAAGTGTTTTTCAGAACTGCTCTATCAAAAGAAAGATCCACCTCTGTTAGCTGAGTTCACACATCAGAAACAAGTTTATGAGAATGCTTCTGTCTAGTTTTTATTTGAAGATATTTCCTTTCTCACCATAGAGCTGAAAGCTGTCCTAATGTTCACTTCCAGATACTACAGAAAGAGTGTTTCAAAACTGCTGTACGAAAGGGAATGTTCAACTCTGTGACTTGAATGCACACATCACAAAGAAGTTTTCTGAGGATGCTGCTGTCTACTTTTGATACGTAATCCCGTTTCCAACGAAATCCTCAAAGCTATCCAAATATCCACTTGCAGATTCCACAGAAAGACTGTTTCAAAACTGCTCTGTCAATAGAAAGGTTCAACTCTGTTAGCTGCGTGCATATATCCCAAAGAAGATTCTGAGATTGCTTCTGTCTAGTTTTTATGGGAAGATATTTCCCTTTTCACTGTAGGCGTCAAGGCGCTCCAAATGTCCACTTCCAGATACTACAAAAAGAGTGTTTCAAACCTACTCTGTGAAAGGGAATATTCAACTCTGTGACTTGAATGCAGATATCACAAAGAAGTTTCTGAGAATGCTTCTGTCGAGATTTTATATGAAGATATTCCCGTTTCCAACGAAATCCTGAAATCTATCCAAATATCCCCTCGCAGATTCTACAAAAAGAGTGTTTCAAAACTGCTCTGTAAAAAGAAAGGTTCAACTCTGTTAGTTGAGTACACACATCACAAACAAGTTTCACAGAATGCTCTTTCTAGCTTGTAGGGGAAGATATTCCCTTCATCACCATGGGCCTCCAACCGTCCGAAACATCCACTTCCATATACTACAAAAAGAGCGTTTCAAACCTGCTCTATGAAAGGCAATGTTCAACTCTGTGACTTGAATGCAGACATCACAGAGTAGTTTCTGAGAATGCTTCTGTCTAGATTTTATAGGAAGATATTCCCGTTTCCAACGAAATCTTCACAGCTATCCAAATATCCACTTGCAGATTCTACAAAAAGAGTGTATCAAACTGCTCAGTCAAAAGGAAGGTTCTTCTCTGTTAGGTGAGTGCATACGTCATAAAGGAGTTTCTGAGAATGTTTCTGTCTAGTGGTTATGGGAAGATATTTGCTTTTTCCCCGTAGGCCTCAGGGCGCTCCAAATGTCCACTTGCACATGCTACAAAAAGAGTGCTTCAAAGCTGCTCTCTGAAAGGGAATGTTCAACTCTATGAGTTGAATGCAAACATCACAAAGACGTTTCTGAGAATGTTTCTGTCTAGATTTATGACGATATTCCCGTTTCCAACGAAATCTTCAAATCTATCCAAATGTCCACTTGCAGATTCAACAAAGTGTTTTTCAGAACTGCTCTATCAAAAGAAAGATCCACCTCTGTTAGCTGAGATCACACTTCACAAACAAGTTTATCAGAATGCTTCTGTCTAGTTTTTATTTGAAGATATATCCTTTCTCACTATAGACCTGAAAGCTCTCCTAAAGTTCACTTCCAGATACTACAGAAAGAGTGTTTCAAAACTGCTGTACGAAAGGGAATGTTCAACTCTGTGACTTGAATGCAGACATCACAGAGCAGTTTCTGAGAATGCTCTGTCTACTTTTTATACGTAATCCCGTTTCCAACGAAATCCTCCAAGCTATCCAAATATCCACTTGCAGATTCCACAGAAAGACTGTTTCAAAACTGCTCTGTCAATAGAAAGGTTCAACTCTGTTAGCTGCATGCATATATCCCAAAGAAGATTCTGAGATTGCTTTCTGTCTAGTTTTTATGGAAGATATTTCCCTTTTCACCGTAGGCGTCAAGGCGCTCCAAATGTCCACTTCCAAATACTACAAAAAGAGTGTTTCAAACCTACTCTGTGAAAGGGAATATTCAACTCTGTGACTTGAATGCACATATCACAAAGAAGTTTCTGAGAATGCTTCTGTCGAGATTTTATATGAAGATATTCCCGTTTCGAACGAAATCCTGAAATCTATCCAAATATCCCCTCGCAGATTCTACAAAAAGAGTGTTTCAAAACTGCTCTGTAAAAAGTAAGGTTCAACTCTGTTAGTTGAGTACACACATCACAAACAAGTTTCACAGAATGCTTCTTTCTAGCTTGTAGGGGAAGATATTCCCTTTATCACCATGGGCCTCAAACCATCCGAAACGTCCACTTCCATATACTACAAAAAGAGCGTTTCAAACCTGCTCTAGGAAAGGCAATGTTCAACTCTGTGACTTGAATGCAGACATCACAGAGTAGTTTCTGAGAATGCTTCTGTCTAGATTTTATAGGAAGATATTCCCGTTTCCAACGAAATCTTCACAGCTATCCAAATATCCACTTGCAGATTCTACAAAAAGAGTGTATCAAAACTGCTCTGTGAAAAGGAAGGTTCTTCTCTCTTAGTTGAGTACATACGTCATAAAGGAGTTTCTGAGAATGTTTCTGTCTAGTGGTTATGGGAAGATATTTGCTTTTTCACCGTAGGCCTCACAGCGCTCCAAATATCCACTTGCACATACTACAAAAAGAGTGCTTCAAAGCTGCTCTCTGAAAGTGAATGCTCAACTCTATGAGTTGAATGCAAACATCACAAAGACGTTTCTGAGAATGCTTCTGTCTAGATTTGATATGAAGATATTCCCGTTTCCAACGAAATCTTCAAATCTATCCAAATATCCACTTCCAGATTCAACAAAAAGTGTTTTTCAGAACTGCTCTATCAAAAGAAAGATCCACCTCTGTTAGCTGAGTTCACACATCACAAACAAGTTTATGAGAATGCTTCTGTCTAGTTTTTACTTGAGGATATTTCCTTTCTCACCATAGACCTGAAAGCTGTCCTAATGTTCACTTCCAGATACTACAGAAAGAGTGTTTCAAAACTGCTGTACGAAAGGGAATGTTCAACTCTGTGACTCCAATGTACACATCACAAAGAAGTTTCTGAGGATGCTGCTGTCTACTTTTTATACGTAATCCCGTTTCCAACAAAATCCTCCAAGCTATCCAAATATCCACTTGCAGATACCACAGAAAGACTGTTTCAAAACTGCTCTGTCAATAGAAAGGTTCAACTCTGTTAGCTGCGTGCATATATCCCAAAGAGGATTCTGAGATTGCTTCTGTCTAGTTTTTATGGGAAGATATTACCCTTTTCACCGTAGGTGTCAAGGCGCTCCAAATGTCCACTTCCAGATACTACAAAAAGAGTGTTTCAAACCTACTCTGTGAAAGGGAATATTCAACTCTGTGACTTAAAGGCAGATATCACAAAGAAGTTTCTGAGAATGCTTCTGTCGAGATTTTATATGAAGATATTCCCCTTTCCAACGAAATCCTGAAATCTATCCAAATATCCCCTCGCAGATTCTACAAAAAGAGTGTTTCAAAACTGCTCTGTAAAAAGAAAGGTTCAACTCTGTTAGTTGAGTACACACATCACAAACAAGTTTCACAGAATTCTTCTTTCTAGCTTGTAGGGGAAGATATTCCCTTTATCACCATGGGCCTCAAACCGTCCGAAACGTCCACTTCCATATACTACAAAAAGAGCGTTTCAAACCTGCTCTATCAAAGGCAATGTTCAACTCTGTGACTTGAATGCAGACATCACAGAGCAGTTTCTGAGAATGCTTCTGTCTAGATTTTATAGGAAGATATTCCCGTTTCCAGCGAAATCTTCACAGCTATCCAAATATCCACTTGCAGATTCTACAAAAAGAGTGTATCAAAACTGCTCTGTCAAAAGGAAGGTTCTTCTCTGTTAGGTGAGTGCATACGTCATAAAGGAGTTTCTGAGAATGTTTCTGTCTAGTTGTTATGGGAAGATATTTGCTTTTTCACCGTAGGCCTCAGAGCGCTCCAAATATCCACTTGCACATACTACAAAAAGAGTGCCTCAAAGCTGCTCTCTGAAACGGAATGTTCAACTCTATGAGTTGAATGCAAACATCACAAAGACGTTTCTGAGAATGCTTCTATCTAGATTTGATATGAAGATATTCCCGTTTCCAACGAAATCTTCAAATCTATCCAAATGTCCACTTGCAGATTCAACAAAAAGTGTTTTTCAAAACTGCTGTATCAAAAGAAAGATCCACGTCTGTTAGCTGAGTTCACATATCACAAACAATTTTATGAGAATGCTTCTGTCTAGTTTTTATTTGAAGATATTTCCTTTCTCACCATAGACCTGAAAACTGTCCTAATGTTCACTTCCAGATACTACAGAAAGAGTGTTTCAAAACTGCTGTACGAAAGGGAATGTTCAACTCTGTGACTTGAATGCACACATCACAAAGAAGTTTCTGAGGATGCTGCCGTCTACTTTTTATACGTAATCCCGTTTCCAACGAAATCCTCCAAGCTATCCAAATATCCACTTGCAGATTCCACAGAAAGACTGTTTCAAAACTGCTCTGTCAATAGAAAGGTTCAACTCTATTAGCTGCGTACATATATCCCAAAGAAGATTCTGAGATTGCTTCTGTCTAGTTTTTATGGGAAGATATTTCCCTTTACACCGTAGGTGTCAAGGCGCTCCAAATGTCCACTTCCAGATACTACAAAAAGAGTGTTTCAAACCTACTCTGTGAAAGGGAATATTCAACTCTGTGACTTGAATGCACATATCACAAAGAAGTTTCTGAGAATGCTTCTGTCGAGATTTTATATGAAGATATTCCCGTTTCCAACGAAATCCTGAAATCTATCCAAATATCCCCTCGCAGATTCTACAAAAAGAGTGTTTCAAAACTGCTCTGTAAAAAGAAAGGTTCAATTCTGTTAGTTGAGTACACACATCACAAACAAGTTTCACAGAATGCTTCTTTCTAGCTTGTAGGGGAAGATATTTCCTTTATCACCATGGTTCTCAAACCGTCCGAAACGTCCACTTCCATATACTAAAAAAAGAGTGTTTGAAACCTGCTCTATGAAAGGCAATGTTCAACTCTGTGACTTGAATGCAGACATCACAGAGCAGTTTCTGAGAATGCTTCTGTCCAGACTTTATAGGAAGATATTCCCGTTTCCAACGAAATCTTCACAGCTATCCAAATATCCACTTGCAGATAGTACAAAAAGAGTGTATCAAAAATGCTCTGTCAAAAGGAAAGTTCTTCTCTGCTAGTTGAGTACATACGTCATAAAGAAGTTTCTGAGAATGCTTCTGTCTAGTGGTTATGGGAAGATATTTGCTTTTTCACCGTAGGCCTCAGAGCGCTCCAAATATCCTCTTGCACATACTACAAAAAGAGTGCTTCAAAGCTGCTCTCTGAAACGGAATGTTCAACTCTATGAGTTGAATGCAAACATCAGAAAGACGTTTCTGAGAATGCTTCTGTCTAGTATTTGATATGAAGATATTCCCGTTTCCAACGAAATCTTCAAATCTATCCAAATGTCCACTTGCAGATTCAACAAAAAGTGTTTTTCAGAACTGCTCTATCAAAAGAAAGATCCACCTCTGTTAGCTGAGTTCAGACATCACAAACAAGTTTATGAGAATGCTTCTGTCTAGTTTTTATTTGAAGATATTTCCTTTCTCACCATAGACCTGAAAGCTGTCCTAATGTTCACTTCCAGATACTACAGAAAGAGTGTTTCAAAACTGCTGTACGAAAGGGAATGTTCAACTCTGTGACTTGAATGCACACATCACAAAGAAGTTTCTGAGGATGTTGCTGTCTACTATTTATACGTAATCCCGTTTCCAACGAAATCCTCCAATCTAACCAAATATCCACTTGCAGATTACACAGAAAGACTGTTTCAAAACTGCTCTGTCAATAGAAAGATTCAACTCTGTTAGCTGCGTGCATATATCCCAAAGAAGATTCTGAGATTGCTTCTGTCTAGTTTTTATGGGAAGATATTTCCCTTTTCACCATAGGCGTCAAGGCGCTCCAAATGTCCACTTCCAGATACTACAGAAAGAGTGTTTCAAACCTACTCTGTGAAAGGGAATATTCAACTCTGTGACTTGAATGCAGATATCACAAAGAAGTTTCTGAGAATGCTTCTGTCGAGATTTTATATGAAGATATTCCCGTTTCGAACGAAATCCTGAAATCTATCCAAATATCCCCTCGCAGATTCTACAAAAAGAGTGTTTCAAAACTGCTCTGTAAAAAGAAAGGTTCAACTCTGTTAGTTGAGTACACACATCACAAACAAGTTTCACAGAATGCTTCTTTCTAGCTTGTAGGGGAAGATATTCCCTTTATCACCATGGGCCTCAAACCGTCCGAAACGTCCACTTCCATATACTACAAAAAGAGCGTTAAAACCTGCTCTAGGAAAGGCAATGTTCAACTCTGTGACTTGAATGCAGACATCACAGAGCAGGTTCTGAGAATGCTTCTGTCTACATTTTATAGGAAGATATTCCCGTTTCCAACGAAATCTTCACAGCTATCCAAATATCCACTTGCAGATTCTACAAAAAGAGTGTATCAAAACTGCTCTGTCAAAAGGAAGGTTCTTCTCTGTTAGGTGAGTGCACACGTCATAAAGGAGTTTCTGAGAATGTTTCTGTCTACTGGTTATGGGAAGATATTTGCTTTTTCACCGTAGGCCTCAGAGCGCTCCAAATATCCTCTTGCACATACTACAAAAAGAGTGCTTCAAAGCTGCTCTCTGAAACGGAATGTTCAACTCTATGAGTTGAATGCAAACATCACAAAGACGTTTCTGAGAATGCTTCCGTCTAGATTTGATATGAAGATATTCCCGTTTCCAACGAAATCTTCAAATCTATCCAAATGTCCACTTGCAGATTCAACAAAAAGTGTTTTTCAGAAATGCTCTATCAAAAGAAAGATCCAACTCTGTTATCTGAGTTCACACTTCACAAACAAGTTTATCAGAATGCTTCTGTCTAGTTTTTATTTGAAGATATTTCCTTTCTCACTATAGACCTGAAAGCTCTCCTAAAGTTCACTTCCAGATACTACAGAAAGAGTGTTTCAAAACTGCTGTACGAAAGGGAATATTCAACTCTGTGACTTGAATGCACGCATCACAAGGAAGTTTCTGAGGATGCTGCTGTCTACTTTTTATACGTAATCCCGTTTCCAACGAAATCCTCCAAGCTATCCAAATATCCACTTGCAGATTCCACAGAAAGACTGTTTCAAAACTGCTCTGTCAATAGAAATGTTCAACTCTGTTAGCTGCATGCATATATTCCAAAGAAGATTCTGAGATTGCTTCTGTCTACTTTTTATGAGAAGATATTTTCCTTTTCACCGTAGGCGTCAAGGCGCTCCAAATGTCCACTTCCAGATACTACAAAAAGAGTGTTTCAAACCTACTCTGTGAAAGGGAATATTCAACTCTGTGACTTGAATGCACATATCACAAAGAAGTTTCTGAGAATGCTTCTGTCGAGATTTTCTATGAAGATATTCCCGTTTCCAACGAAATCCTGAAATCTATTCAAATATCCCCTCGCAGATTCTACAAAAAGAGTGTTTCAAAACTGCTCTGTAAAAAGAAAGGTTCAACTCTGTTAGTTGAGTACACACATCACAAAGAAGTTTCACAGAATGCTTCTTTCTAGCTTGTAGGGGAAGATATTCCCTTTATCACCATGGGCCTCCAACCGTCCGAAACATCCACTTCCATATACTACAAAAAGAGCGTTTCTAACCTGCTCTATGAAAGGCAATGTTCAACTCTGTGACTTGAATGCAGACATCACAGAGCAGTTTCTGAGAATGCTTCTGTCTAGATTTTATAGGAAGATATTCCCGTTTCCAACGAAATCTTCACAGCTATCCAAATATCCACTTGCAGATTCTACAAAAAGAGTGTATCAAAACTGC
Organism: Homo sapiens; assembly: GCF_000001405.40. Lineage (NCBI taxonomy): Eukaryota > Metazoa > Chordata > Mammalia > Primates > Hominidae > Homo > Homo sapiens. The sequence goes on along the minus strand of NC_000014.9, from coordinate 17,185,817 downwards.
TCTGTCAAAAGGAAGGTTCTTCTCTGTTAGGTGAGTGCAAACGTCATAAAGGAGTTTCTGACAATATTTCTGTCTAGTGGTTATGGGAAGATATTTGCTTTTTCACCGCAGGCCTCAGAGCGGTCCAAATATCCACTTGCACATACTACAAAAAGAGTGCCTCAAAGCTGCTCTCTGAAACGGAATGTTCAACTCTATGAGTTGAATGCAAACATCACAAAGACGTTTCTGAGAATGCTTCTGTCTAGATTTGATATGAAGATATTCCCGTTTCCAACGAAATCTTCAAATCTATCCAAATGTCCACTAGCAGATTCAACAAAAAGTGTTTTTCAGAACTGCTCTATCAAAAGAAAGATCCACCTCTGTTAGCTGTGTTCACACATCACAAACAAGTTTATGAGAATGCTTCTGTGTAGTTTTTATTTGAAGATATTTCCTTTCTCACCATAGAGCTGAAAGCTGTCCTAATGTTCACTTCCAGATACTACAGAAAGAGTGTTTCAAAACTGCTGTACGAAAGGGAATGTTCAACTCTGTGACTTGAATGCACACATCACAAAGAAGTTTCGGAGGATGCTGCTGTCTACTTTTTATACGTAATCCCGTTTCCAACGAAATCCTCCAAGCTCTCCAAATATCCACTTGCAGATTCCACAGAAAGACTGTTTCAAAACTGCTCTGTCAATAGAAAGGTTCAACTCTGTTAGCTGCGTGCATATATCCCAAAGAAGATTCTGAGATTGCTTCTGTCTAGTTTTTATGGGAAGATATTTCCCTTTTCACCGTAGGCGTCAAGGCGCTCCAAATGTCCACTTCCAGATACTACAAAAAGAGTGTTTCAAACCTACTCTGTGAAAGGGAATATTCAACTCTGTGACTTGAATGCACCTATCACAAAGAAGTTTCTGAGAATGCTTCTGTCGAGATTTTATATGAAGATATTCCCGTTTCCAACGAAATCCTGAAATCTATCCAAATATCCCCTCGCAGATTCTACAAAAAGAGAGTTTCAAAACTGCTCTGTAAAAAGAAAGGTTCAACTCTGTTAGTTGAGTACACACATCACAAACAAGTTTCACAGAATGCTTCTTTCTAGCTTGTAGGGGACGATATTCCCTTTATCACCATGGGCCTCAAACCGACTGAAACGTCCACTTCCATATACTACAAAAAGAGCATTTCAAACCTGCTCTATGAAAGGCAATGTTCAACTCTGTGACTTGAATGCAGACATCACAGAGCAGTTTCTGAGAATGCTTCTGTCTAGATTTTATAGGAAGATATTCCCGTTTCCAACGAAATCTTCACAGCTATCCAAATATCCACTTGCAGATTCTACAAAAAGAGTGCATCAAAACTGCTCTGTCAAAAGGAAGGTTCTTCTCTGTTAGGTGAGTGCATACGTCATAAAGGAGTTTCTGAGAATGTTTCTGTCTAGTGGTTATGGGAAGATATTTGCTTTTTCACCGTAGGCCTCAGAGCGCTCCAAATATCCTCTTGCACATACTACAAAAAGAGTGCTTCAAAGCTGCTCTCTGAAACGGAATGTTCAACTCTATGAGTTGAATGCAAACATCACAAAGACGTTTCTGAGAATGCTTCTGTCTAGATTTGATATGAAGATATTCCCGTTTCCAACGAAATCTTCAAATCTATCCAAATGTCCACTTGCAGATTCAACAAAACGTGTTTTTCAGAACTGCTCTATCAAAAGAAAGATCCACCTCTGTTAGCTGAGTTCACACATCACAAACAAGTTGATGAGAATGCTTCTGTCTAGTTTTTATTTGAAGATATAACCTTTCTCACTATAGACCTGAAAGCTCTCCTAAAGTTCACTTCCAGATACTACAGAAAGAGTGTTTCGAAACTGCTGTATGAAAGGGAATGTTCAACTCTGTGACTTGAATGCACACATCACAAAGAAGTTTCTGAGGATGCTGCTGTCTACTTTTTATACGTAATCCCGTTTCCAACGAAATCCTCCAAGCTATCCAAATATCCACTTGCAGATTCCACAGAAAGACTGTTTCAAAACTGCTCTGTCAATAGAAAGGTTCAACTCTGTTAGTTGCGTGCATATATCCCAAAGAAGATTCTGAGATTGCTTCTGTCTAGTTTTTATGGGAAGATATTTCCCTTTTCACCATAGGCGTCAAGGCGCTCCAAATGTCCACTTCCAGATACTACAAAAAGAGTGTTTCAAACCTACTCTGTGAAAGGGAATATTCAACTCTGTGACTTGAAGGCAGATATCACAAAGAAGTTTCTGAGAATGCTTCTGTCGAGATTTTATATGAAGATATTCCCGTTTCCAACGAAATCCTGAAATCTATCGAAATATCCCCTCGCAGATTCTACAAAAAGAGTGTTTCAAAACCGCTCTGTAAAAAGAAAGGTTCAACTCTGTTAGTTGAGTACACACATCACAAACAAGTTTCACAGAATGCTCTTTCTAGCTTGTAGGGGAAGATATTCCCTTTATCACCATGGGCCTCAAACCGTCTGAAACGTCCACTTCCATATACTACAAAAAGAGCATTTCAAACCTGCTCTATGAAAGGCAATGTTCAACTCTGTGACTTGAATGCAGACATCACAGAGCAGTTTCTGAGAATGCTTTCTGTCTATACTTTATAGGAAGATATTCCCGTTTCCAAAGAAATCTTCACAGCTATCCAAATATCCACTTGCAGATTCTACAAAAAGAGTGTATCAAAACTGCTCTGTCAAAAAGAAGGTTCTTCTCTGTTAGGTGAGTGCATACGTCATAAAGGAGTTTCTGAGAATGTTTCTGTCTAGTGGTTATGGGAAGATATTTGCTTTTTCACCGTAAGCCCCAGAGCACTCCAAATATCCACTTGCACATACTACAAAAAGAGTGCTTCAAAGCTGCTCTCTGAAACGGAATGTTCAACTCTATGAGTTGAATGCAATCATCACAAAGACGTTTCTGAGAATGCTTCTGTCTAGATTTGATATGAAGATATTCCCGTTTCCAACGAAATCTTCAAATCTATCCAAATGTCCACTTGCAGATTCAACAAAAAGTGTTTTTCAGAACTGCTCTATCAAAAGAAAGATCCAACCTCTGTTAGCTGAGTTCACACATCACAAACAAGTTTATGAGAATGCTTCCGTCTAGTTTTTATTTGAAGATATTTCCTTTCTCACCATAGACCTGAAAGCTGTCCTAATGTTCACTTCCAGATACTACAGAAAGAGTGTTTCAAAACTGCTGTACGAAAGGGAATGTTCAACTCTGTGACTTGAATGCACACATCACAAGGATGTTTCTGAGGATGCTGCTGTCTACTTTTTATACGTAATCCCGTTTCCAACGAAATCCTCCAAGCTATCCAAATATCCACTTGCAGATTCCACAGAAAGACTGTTTCAAAACTGCTCTGTCAATAGAAAGGTTCAACTCTATTAGCTGCGTACATATATCCCAAAGAAAATTCTGAGATTGCTTCTGTCTAGTTTTGATGGGAAGATATTTCCCTTTTCACCGTAGGTGTCAAGGCGCTCCAAATGTCCACTTCCAGATACTACAAAAAGAGTGTTTCAAACCTACTCTGTGAAAGGGAATATTCAACTCTGTGACTTGAATGCACATATCACAAAGAAGTTTCCTGAGAATGCTTCTGTCGAGATTTTATATGAAGATATTCCCGTTTCCAACGAAATCCTGAAATCTATCCAAATATCCCCTCGCAGATTCTACAAAAAGAGTGTTTCAAAACTGCTGTGTAAAAAGAAAGGTTCAACTCTGTTAGTTGAGTACACACATCACAAACAAGTTTCACACAATGCTTCTTTCTAGCTTGTAGGGGAAGATATTTCCTTCATCACCATGGGCCTCAAACCGTCCGAAACGTCCACTTCCATATACTACAAAAAGAGCGTTTGAAACCTGCTCTATGAAAGGCAATGTTCAACTCTGTGACTTGAATGCAGACATCACAGAGCAGTTTCTGAGAATGCTTCTGTCTAGATTTTATAGGAAGATATTCCCGTTTCCAACGAAATCTTCACAGCTATCCAAATATCCACTTGCAGATTCTACAAAAAGAGTGTATCAAAACTGCTCTGTCAAAAGGAAGGTTCTTCTCTGTTAGGTGAGTGCATACGTCATAAAGGAGTTTCTGAGAATGTTCTGTCTAGTGGTTATGGGAAGATATTTGCTTTTTCACCGTAGGCCTCAGAGCGCTCCAAATATCCCCTTGCACATACTACAAAAAGAGTGCTTCACAGCTGCTCTCTGAAACGGAATGTTCAAATCTATGAGTTGAATGCAAACATCACAAAGACGTTTCTGAGAATGCTTCTGTCTGGACTTGATATGAAGATATTCCCGTTTCCAACGAAATCTTCAAATCTATCCAAATGTCCACTTGCAGATTCAACAAAAAGTGTTTTTCAAAACTGCTGTATCAAAAGAAAGATCCACGTCCGTTAGCTGAGTTCACACATCACAAACAAGTTTATGAGAATGCTTCTGTCTAGTTTTTATTTGAAGATATTTCCTTTCTCACCATAGAGCTGAAAGCTGTCTTAGTGTTCACTTCCAGATACTACAGAAAGAGTGTTTCAAAACTGCTGTACGAAAGGGAATGTTCAACTCTGTGACTTGAATGCACACATCACAAAGAAGTTTCTGAGGATGCTGCTGTCTACTTTTTATACGTAATCCCGTTTCCAACGAAATCCTCCAAGCTATCCAAATGTCCACTTGCAGATTCCACAGAAAGACTGTTTCAAAACTGCTCTGTCAATAGAAAGGTTCAACTCTGTTAGCTGCGTGCATATATCCCAAAGAAGATTCTGAGATTGCTTCTGTCTAGTTATTATGGGAAGATATTTCCCTTTTCACCGTAGGCGTCAAGGCGCTCCAAATGTCCACTTCCAGATACTACAAAGAGAGTGTTTCAAACCTACTCTGTGAAAGGGAATATTCAACTCTGTGACTTGAATGCACATATCACAAAGAAGTTTCTGAGAATGCTTCTGTCGAGATTTTATATGAAGATATTCCCGTTTCCAACGAAATCCTGAAATCTCTCCAAATATCCCCTCGCAGATTCTACAAAAAGAGTGTTTCAAAACTGCTCTGTAAAAAGAAAGGTTCAACTCTGTTACTTGAGTACACACATCACAAACAAGTTTCACAGAATGATTCTTTCTAGCTTGTAGGGGAAGATATTCCCTTTATCACCATGGGCCTCAAACCGTCCGAAACGTCCACTTCCATATACTACAAAAAGAGCGTTTCAAACCTGCTCTATGAAAGACAATGTTCAACTCTGTGACTTGAATGCAGACATCAGAGAGCAGTTTCTGAGAATGCTTCTGTCTAGATTTTATAGGAAGATATTCCCGTTTCCAACGAAATCTTCACAGCTATCCAAATATCCACTTGCAGATTCTACAAAAAGAGTGTATCAAAACTGCTCTGTCAAAAGGGAAGGTTCTTCTCTGTTAGGTGAGTGCATACGTCATAAAGGAGTTTCTGAGAATGTTTCTGTCTAGTGGTTATGGGAAGATATTTGCTTTTTACCCGTAGGCCTCAGGGCGCTCCAAATGTCCACTTGCACATGCTACAAAAAGAGTGCTTCAAAGCTACTCTCTGGAAGGGAATGTTCAACTCTATGAGTTGAATGCAAATATCACAAAGACGTTTCTGAGAATGCTTCTGTCTAGATTTGATATGAAGATATTCCCGTTTCCAACGAAATCTTCAAATCTATCCAAATGTCCACTTGCAGATTCAACAAAAAGTGTTTTTCAAAACTGCTGTATCAAAAGAAATATCCACGTCTGTTAGCTGAGTTCAGACATCACAAACAAGTTTATGAGAATGCTTCTGTCTAGTTTTTATTGGAAGGTATTTCCTTTCTCACCATAGACCTGAAAGCTGTCCTAATGTTCACTTCCAGATACTACAGAAAGAGTGTTTCAAAACTGCTGTACGAAAGGGAATGTTCAACTCTGTGACTTGAATGCACACATCACAAAGATGTTTCGGAGGATGCTGCTGTCTACTTTTTATACGTAATCCCGTTTCCAACGAAATCCTCAAAGCTATCCAAATATCCACTTGCAGATTCCACAGAAAGACTGTTTCAAAACTGCTCTGTCAATAGAAAGGTTCAACTCTGTTAGCTGCGTGCATATATCCCAAAGAAGATTCTGAGATTGCTTCTGTCTAGTTTTTATGGGAAGATATTTCCCTTTTCACCGTAGGCGTCAAGGCGCTCCAAATGTCCACTTCCAGATACTACAAAAAGAGTGTTTCAAACCTACTCTGTGAAAGGGAATATTCAACTCTGTGACCTGAATGCACATATCACAAGGAAGTTTCTGAGAATGCTTCTGTCGAATTTTTATATGAAGATATTCCCGTTTCCAACGAAATCCTGAAATCTATCCAAATATCCCCTTGCAGATTCTACTAAAAGAGTGTTTCAAAACTGCTCTGTAAAAAGAAAGGTTCAACTCTGTTAGTTGAGTACACACATCACAAACAAGTTTCACACAATGCTTCTTTCTAGCTTGTAGGGGAAGATATTCCCTTTATCACCATGGGCCTCAAACTGTCCGAAACGTCCACTTCCATATACTACAAAAAGAGCGTTTCAAACCTGCTCTATGAAAGGCAATGTTCAACTCTGTGACTTGAATGCAGACATCACAGAGCAGTTTCTGAGAATGCTTCTGTGTAGATTTTATAGGAAGATATTCCCGTTTCCAACGAAATCTTCACAGCTATCCAAATATCCACTTGCAGATTCTACAAAAAGAGTGTATCAAAACTGCTCTGTCAAAAGGAAGGTTCTTCTCTGTTAGGTAAGTGCATACGTCATAAAGGAGTTTCTGAGAATGTTTCTGTCTAGTGGTTATGGGAAGATATTTGCTTTTTCACCGTAGGCCTCAGAGCGCTCCAAATATCCACTTGCAGATACTACAAAAAGAGTGCCTCAAAGCTGCTCTCTGAAACGGAATGTTCAACTCTATGAGTTGAATGCAAACATCGCAAAGACGTTTCTGAGAATGCTTCTGTCTAGATTTGATATGAAGATATTCCCGTTTCCAACGGAAATCTTCAAATCTATCCAAATGTCCACTTGCAGATTCAACAAAAAGTGTTTTTCCGAACTGCTCTATCAAAAGAAAGATCCGCCTCTGTTAGCTGAGTTCACACATCACAAACAAGTTTATGAGAATGCTTCCGTCTAGTTTTTATTTGAAGATATATCCTTTCTCACTATAGACCTGAAAGGTGTCCTAAAGTTCACTTCCAGATACTACAGAAAGAGTGTTTCAAAACTGCTGTACGAAAGGGAATGTTCAACTCTGTGACTTGAATGCACACATCACAAGGATGTTTCTGAGGATGCTGCTGTCTACTTTTTATACGTAATCCCGTTTCCAACGAAATCCTCCAAGCTATCCAAATATCCACTTGCAGATTCCACCGAAAGACTGTTTCAAAACTGCTCTGTCAATAGAAAGGTTCAACTCTGTTAGCTGCGTGCATATATCCCAAAGAAGATTCTGAGATTGCTTCTGTCTAGTTTTTATGGGAAGATATTTCCCTTTTCACCGTAGGCGTCAAGGGGCTCCAAATGTCCACTTCCAGATACTACAAAAAGAGTGTTTCAAACCTACTCTGTGAAAGGGAATATTCAACTCTGTGACTTGAATGCACATATCACAAAGAAGTTTCTGAGAATGCTTCTGTCGAGATTTTATATGAAGATATTCCCGTTTCCAACGAAATCCTGAAATCTCTCCAAATATCCCCTCGCAGATTCTACAAAAAGAGTGTTTCAAAACTGCTCTGTAAAAAGAAAGGTTCAACTCTGTTACTTGAGTACACACATCACAAACAAGTTTCACAGAATGCTTCTTTCTAGCTTGTAGGGGAAGATATTCCCTTTATCACCATGGGCCTCAAACCGTCCGAAACGTCCACTTCCATATAGTACAAAAAGAGCGTTTCAAACCTGCTCTATGAAAGGCAATGTTCAACTCAGTGACTTGAATGCAGACATCACAGAGCAGTTTCTGAGAATGCTTCTGTCTAGATTTTATAGGAAGATATTCCCGTTTCCAACGAAATCTTCACAGCTATCCAAATATCCACTTGCAGATTCTACAAAAAGAGTGTATCAAAACTGCTCTGTCAAAAGGAAGGTTCTTCTCTCTTAGGTGAGTGCATACGTCGTAAAGGAGTTTCTGAGAATGTTTCAGTCTAGTGGTTATGGGAAGATATTTGCTTTTTCACCGTAGACCTCACAGCGCTCCAAATATCCACTTGCACATACTACAAAAAGAGTGCTTCAAAGCTGCTCTCTGAAACGGAATGTTCAACTCTATGAGTTGAATGCAAACATCACAAAGACGTTTCTGAGAATGCTTCTGTCTAGATTTGATATGAAGATATTCCCGTTTCCAACGAAATCTTCAAATTTATCCAAATGTCCACTTGCAGATTCAACAAAAAGTGTTTTTCAGAACTGCTCTATCAAAAGAAAGATCCACCTCCGTTAGCTGAGTTCACACTTCACAAACAAGTTTATCAGAATGCTTCTGTCTAGTTTTTATTTGAAGATATTTCCTTTCTCACCATAGAGCTGAAAGCTGTCCTAATGTTCACTTCCAGATACTACAGAAAGAGTGTTTGAAAACTGCTGTACGAAAGGGAATGTTCAACTCTGTGACTTGAATGCACACATCACAAAGAAGTTTCTGAGGATGCTGCTGTCTACTTTTTATACGTAATCCCGTTTCCAACGAAATCCTCCAAGCTATCCAAATATCCACTTGCAGATTCCACAGAAAGACTGTTTCAAAACTGCTCTGTCAATAGAAACGTTCAACTCTGTTAGCTGCGTGCATATATCCCAAAGAAGATTCTGAGATTGCTTCTGTCTAGTTTTTATGGGAAGATATTTCCCTTTTCACCGTAGGTGTCAAGGCGCTCCAAATGTCCACTTCCAGATACTACAAAAAGAGTGTTTCAAACCTACTCTGTGAAAGGGAATATTCAACTCTGTGACTTGAATGCACATATCACAAAGAAGTTCCTGAGAATGCTTCTGTCGAGATTTTATATGAAGATATTCCCGTTTCCAACGAAATCCTGAAATCTATCCAAATATCCCCTCGCAGATTCTACAAAAAGAGTGTTTCAAAACTGCTCTGTAAAAAGAAAGGTTCAACTCTGTTACTTGAGTACACACATCACAAACAAGTTTCACAGAATGCTTCTTTCTAGCTTGTAGGGGAAGATATTCCCTTTATCACCATGGGCCTCAAACCGTCCGAAACGTCCACTTCCATATACTACAAAAAGAGCGTTTCAAACCTGATCTAGGAAAGGCAATGTTCAACTCTGTGACTTGAATGCAGACATCACAGAGCAGTTTCTGAGAATGCTTCTGTCTAGATGTTATAGGAAGATATTCCCGTTTCCAACGAAATCTTCACAGGTATCCAAATATCCACTTGCAGATTCTACAAAAAGAGTGTATCAAAACTGCTCTGTCAAAAGGAAGGTTCTTCTCTGTTAGGTGAGTGCATACGTCATAAAGGAGTTTCTGAGAATGTTTCTGTCTAGTGGTTATGGGAAGATATTTGCTTTTTCCCCGTAGGCCTCAGGGCGCTCCAAATGTCCACTTGCACATGCTACAAAAAGAGTGCTTCAAAGCTGCTCTCTGAAAGGGAATGTTCAACTCTATGAGTTGAATGCAAACATCACAAAGACGTTTACTGAGAATGCTTCTGTCTAGATTTGATATGAAGATATTCCCGTTTCCAACGAAATCTTCAAATCTATCCAAATGTCCACTTGCAGATTCAACAAAAAGTGTTTTTCAGAACTGCTCTATCAAAAGAAAGATCCACCTCTGTAAGCTGAGTTCACACATCACAAACAAGTTTATGAGAATGCTTCTGTCTAGTCTTTATTTGAAGATATTTCCTTTCTCACCATAGACCTGAAAGCTGTCCTAATGTTCACTTCCAGATACTACACAAAGAGTGTTTCAAAACTGCTGTACGAAAGGGAATGTTCAACTCTGTGACTTGAATGCACACATCACAAAGAAGTTTCTGAGGATGCTGCTGTCTACTTTTTATACGTAATCCCGTTTCCAACGAAATCCTCCAATCTATCCAAATATCCACTTGCAGATTCCACAGAAAGACTGTTTCAAAACTGCTCTGTCAATAGAAAGGTTCAACTCTGTTAGCTGCGTGCATATATCCCAAGGAAGATTCTGAGATTGCTTCTGTCTAGTTTTTATGGGAAGATATTTCCCTTTTCACCGTAGGCGTCAAGGCGCTCCAAATGTCCACTTCCAGATACTACAAAAAGAGTGTTTCAAACCTACTCTGTGAAAGGGAGTATTCAACTCTGTGACTTGAACACACATATCACAAAGAAGTTTCTGAGAATGCTTCTGTCGAGATTTTATATGAAGATATTCCGGTTTCCAACAAAATCCTGAAATCTATCCAAATATCCCCTCGCAGATTCTACAAAAAGAGTGTTTCAAAACTGCTCTGTAAAAAGAAAGGTTCAACTCTGTTAGTTGAGTACACACATCACAAACAAGTTTCACACAATGCTTCTTTCTAGCTTGTAGGGGAAGATATTCCCTTTATCACCATGGGCCTCAAACCGTCCGAAACGTCCACTTCCATATACTACAAAAAGAGCGCTTCAAACCTGCTGTATGAAAGACAATGTTCAACTCTGTGACTTGAATGCAGACATCACAGAGCAGTTTCTGAGAATGCTTCTGTCTAGATTTTATAGGAAGATATTTCCGTTTCCAACGAAACCTTCACAGCTATCCAAATATCCACTTGCAGATTCTACAAAAAGAGTGTATCAAAACTGCTCTGTCAAACGGAATGTTCTTCTCTGTTAGTTGAGTACATACGTCATAAAGGAGTTTCTGAGAATGTTTCTGTCTAGTGGTTATGGGAAGATATTTGCTTTTTCACCGTCGGCCTCAGAGCGCTCCAAATATCCCCTTGCACATACTACAAAAAGAGTGCTTCAAAGCTGCTCTCTGAAAGGGAATGTTCAACTCTATGAGTTGAATGCAAACATCACAAAGACGTTTCTGAGAATGCTTCTGTCTAGATTTGATATGAAGATATTCCCGTTTCCAACGAAATCTTCAAATCTATCCAAATGTCCACTTTCAGATTCAACAAAAAGTGTTTTTCAGAACTGCTCTATCAAAAGAAAGATCCACCTCTGTTAGCTGAGTTCACACATCACAAACAAGTTTATGAGAACGCTTCTGTCTAGTTTTTATTTGAAGATATTTCCTTTCTCACCATAGACCTGAAAGCTGTCCTAATGTTCACTCCCAGATACTACAGAAAGAGTGTTTCAAAACTGCTGTACGAAAGGGAAAGTTCAACTCTGTGACTTGAATGCACACATCACAAAGAAGTTTCTGAGGATGCTGCTGTCTACTTTTTATACGTAATCCCGTTTCCAACGAAATCCTCCAATCTATCCAAATATCCACTTGCAGATTCCACAGAAAGACTGTTTCAAAACTGCTCTGTCAATAGAAAGGTTCAACTTTGTTAGCTGCGTGCATATATCCCAAAGAAGATTCTGAGATTGCTTCTGTCTAGTTTTGATGGGAAGATATTTCCCTTTTCACCGTGGGCGTCAAGGCGCTCCAAATGTCCACTTCCAGATACTACAAAAAGAGTGTTTCAAACCTACTCTGTGAAAGGGAATATTCAACTCTGTGACTTGAATGCACATATCACAAAGAAGTTTCTGAGAATGCTTCTGTCGAGATTTTATATGAAGATATTCCCCTTTCCAACGAAATCCTGAAATCTATCCAAATATCCCCTCGCAGATTCTACAAAAAGAGTGTTTCAAAACTGCTCTGTAAAAAGAAAGGTTCAACTCTGTTAGTTGACTACACACATCACAAACAAGTTTCACAGAATGCTTCTTTCTAGCTTGTAGGGGAAGATATTCCCTTTATCACTATGGGCCTCAAACCGTCCGAAACGTCCACTTCCATATACTACAAAAAGAGCGTTTCAAACCTGCTCTAGGAAAGGCAGTGTTCAACTCTGTGACTTGAATGCAGACATCACAGAGCAGTTTCTGAGAATGCTTCTGTGTAGATTTTATAGAAAGATATTCCCGTTTCCAACGAAATCTTCACAGCTATCCAAATATCCACTTGCAGATTCTACAAAAAGAGTGTATCAAAACTGCTCTGTCAAAAGGAAGGTTCTTCTCTGTTAGGTGAGTGCATACGTCATAAAGGAGTTTCTGAGAATGTTTCTGTCTAGTGGTTATGGGAAGATATTTGCTTTTTCACCTTAGGCCTCAGAGCGCTCCAAATATCCACTTGCACATACTACAAAAAGAGTGCTTCAAAGCTGCTCTCTGAAAGGGAATGTTCAACTCTATGAGTTGAATGCAAACATCACAAAGACGTTTCTGAGAATGCTTCTGTCTAGATTTGATATGAAGATATTCCCGTTTCCAACGACATCTTCAAATCTATCCAAATGTCCACTTGCAGATTCAACAAAACGTGTTTTTCAGAACTGCTCTATCAAAAGAAACATCCACCTCTGTTAGCTGAGTTCACACATAACAAACAAGTTCTTGAGAATGCTTCTGTCTAGTTTTTATTTGAAGATATTTCCTTTCTCACCATAGACCTGAAAGCTGTCCTAATGTTCACTTCCAGATACTACAGAAAGTGTGTTTCAAAACTGCTCTACGAAAGGGAATGTTCAACTCTGTGACTTGAATGCACACATCACAAAGAAGTTTCTGAGGATGCTGCTGTCTACTTTTTATACGTAATCCCGTTTCCAACGAAATCCTCCTAGCTATCCAAATATCTACTTGCAGATTCCACAGAAAGACTATTTCAAAACTGCACTGTCAATAGAAAGGTTCAACTCTGTTAGCTGCGTGCATATATCCCAAAGAAGATTCTGAGATTGCTTCTGTCTAGTTTTTATGGGAAGATATTTCCCTTTTCACCGAAGGCGTCAAGGCGCTCCAAATGTCCACTTCCAGATACTACAAAAAGAGTGTTTCAAACCTACTCTGTGAAAGGGAATATTCAACTCTGTGACTTGAATGCACATATCACAAAGAAGTTTCTGAGAATGCTTCTGTCGAGTATTTTATATGAAGATATTCCCGTTTCCAACGAAATGCTGAAATGTATCCAAATATCCCATCGCAGATTCTACAAAAAGAGTGTTTCAAAACTGCTCTGTAAAAAGAAAGGTTCAACTCTGTTAGTTGAGTACACACATCACAAACAAGTTTCACAGAATGCTTCTGTCTAGTTTTTATGGGAAGATATTTCCCTTTTCACCGTAGGCGTCAATGCACTCCAAACGTCTACTTCCATATACTACAAAAAGAGCGTTTCAAACCTGCTCTATGAAAGGCAATGTTCAACTCTGTGACTTGAATGCAGACATCACAGAGCAGTTTCTGAGAATGCTTCTGTCTAGGTTTTATAGGAAGATATTCCCGTTTCCAACGAAATCTTCACAGCTATCCAAATATCCACTTGCAGATTCTACAAAAAGAGTGTATCAAAACTGCTCTGTCAAAAGGAAGGTTCTTCTCTGTTAGGTGAGTGCATACGTCGTAAAGGAGTTTCTGAGAATGTTTCTGTCTAGTGGTTATGGGAAGATATTTGCTTTTTCACCGTAGGCCTCAGAGCGCTCCAAATATCCACTTGCACATACTACAAAAAGAGTGCTTCAAAGCTGCTCTCTGAAACGGAATGTTCAACTCTATGAGTTGAATGCAAACATGACAAAGACGTTTCTGAGAATGCTTCTGTCTAGATTTGATATGAAGAAATTCCCGTTTCCAACGAAATCTTCAAATCTATCCAAATGTCCACTTGCAGATTCAACAAAGTGTTTTTCAGAACTGCTCTATCAAAAGAAAGATCCACCTCTGTTAGCTGAGATCACACTTCACAAACAAGTTTATCAGAATGCTTCTGTCTAATTTTTATTTGAAGATATTTCCTTTCTCACCATAGACCTGAAAGCTGTCCTAATGTTCACTTCCAGATACTACAGAAAGAGTGTTTCAAAACTGCTGTACGAAAGGGAATGTTCAACTCTGTGACTTGAATGCACACATCACAAAGAAGTTTCTGAGGATGCTGCTGTCTACTTTTTGTACGTAATCCCGTTTCCAAGGAAATCCTCCAAGCTATCCAAATATCCACTTGCAGATTCCACAGAAAGACTGTTTCAAAACTGCTCTGTCAATAGAAAGGTTCAACTCTGTTAGCTGCGTGCATATATCCCAAAGAAGATTCTGAGATTGCTTCTGTCTACTTTTTATGAGAAGATATTTCCCTTTTCACCGTAGGCGTCAAGGCGCTCCAAATGTCCACTTCCAGATACTACAAAAAGAGTGTTTCAAACCTACTCTGTGAAAGGGAATATTCAACTCTGTGACTTGAATGCACATATCACAAAGAAGTTTCTGAGAATACTTCTGTCGAGATGTTTTATGAAGATATTCCCGTTTCCAACGAAATCCTGAAATCTATCCAAAAATCCCCTCGCAGATTCTACAAAAAGAGTGTTTCAAAACTGCTCTGTAAAAAGAAAGGTTCAACTCTGTTAGTTGAGTACACACATCACAAACAAGTTTCACAGAATGCTTCTTTCTAGCTTGTAGGGGAAGATATTCCCTTTATCACCATGGGCCTCAAACCGTCCGTAACGTCCACTTCCATATACTACAAAAAGAGCGTTTCAAACCTGCTCTATGAAAGGCAATGTTCAACTCTGTGACTTGAATGCAGACATCACAGAGCAGTTTCTGAGAATGCTTCTGTCTAGATTTTATAGGAAGATATTCCCGTTTCCAACGAAATCTTCACAGCTATCCAAATATCCACTTGCAGATTGTACAAAAAGAGTGTATCAAAACTGCTCTGTCAAAAGGAAGGTTCTTTTCTGTTAAGTGAGTGCATACGTCATAAAGGAGTTTCTGAGAATGTTTCTGTCTAGTGGTTATGGGAAGATATTTTCTTTTTCACCGTAGGCCTCAGAGCGCTCCAAATATCCAGTTGCACATAGTACAAAAAGAGTGCCTCAAAGCTGCTCTCTGAAACGGAATGTTCAACTCTGTGAGTTGAATGCAAACATCGCAAAGACGTTTCTGAGAATGCTTCTGTCTAGATTTGATATGAAGATATTCCCGTTTCCAACGAAATCTTCATATCTATCCAAATGTCCACTTGCAGATTCAACAAAAAGTGTTTTTCAAAACTGCTCTATCAAAAGAAACATCCACCTCTGTTAGCTGAGTTCACACATAACAAACAAGTTCTTGAGAATGCTTCTGTCTAGTTTTTATTTGAAGATATTTCCTGTCTCACCATAGACCTGAAAGCTGTCCTAATGTTCACTTCCAGATACTACAGAAAGAGTGTTTCAAAACTGCTGTACGAAAGGGAATGTTCAACTCTGTGACTTGAATGCCCACATCACAAAGATGTTTCTGAGGATGCTGCTGTCTACTTTTTATACGTAATCCCGTTTCCAACGAAATCCTCCAAGCTATCGAAATATCCACTTGCAGATTCCACAGAAAGACTGTTTCAAAACTGCTCTGTCGATAGAAAGGTTCAACTCTGTTAGCTGCGTGCATATATCCCAAAGAAGATTCTGAGATTGCTTCTGTCTAGTTTTTATGGGAAGATATTTCCCTTTTCACCGTAGGCGTCAAGGCGCTCCAAATGTCCACTTCCAGATACTACAAAAAGAGTGTTTCAAACCTACTCTGTGAAAGGGAATATTCAACTCTGTGTCTTGAATGCACATATCACAAAGAAGTTTCTGAGAATGCTTCTGTCGAGATTTTATATGAAGATATTCCCGTTTCCAACGAAATCCTGAAATCTATCCAAATATCCCCTCTCAGATTCTACAAAAAGAGTGTTTCAAAACTGTTCTGTAAAAAGAAAGGTTCAACTCTGTTAGTTGAGTACACACATCACAAACAAGTATCACAGAATGCTTCTTTCTAGCTTGTAGGGGAAGATATTCCCTTCATCACCATGGGCCTCAAACCGTCCGAAACGTCCACTTCCATATACTACAAAAAGAGCGTTTCAAACCTGCTCTAGGAAAGGCAATGTTCAACTCTGTGACTTGAATGCAGACATCACAGAGCAGTTTCTGAGAATGCTTCTGTCTAGATTTTATAGGAAGATATTCCAGTTTCCAACGAAATCTTCACAGCTATCCAAATATCCACTTGCAGATTCTACAAAAAGAGTCTATCAAAACTGCTCTGTCAAAAGGAAGGTTCTTCTCTGTTAGTTGAGTACATACGTCATAAAGGAGTTTCTGAGAATGTTTCTGTTAGTGGTTATGGGAAGATATTTGCTTTTTCACCGTAGGCCTCAGAGCGCTTCAAATATCCACTTGCACATACTACAAAAAGAGTGCCTCAAAGCTGCTCTCTGAAACGGAATGTTCAACTCTATGAGTTGAATGCAAACATCGCAAAGACGTTTCTGAGAATGCTTCTGTCTAGATTTGATATGAAGATATTCCCGTTTCCAAAGAAATCTTCAAATCTATCCAAATGTCCACTTGCAGATTCAACAAAAAGTGTTTTTCAGAACTGCTCTATCAAAAGAAAGATCCACCTCTGTTAGCTGAGTTCACACATCACAAACAAGTTTATGAGAATGCTTCTCTCTAGTTTTTATTTGAAGATATTTCCTTTCTCACCATAGAGCTGAAAGCTGTCCTAATGTTCACTTCCAGATACTACAGAAAGAGTGTTTGAAAACTGCTGTACGAAAGGGAATGTTCAACTCTGTGACTTGAATGCACACATCACAAAGAAGTTTCTGAGGATGCTGCTGTCTACTTTTTATACGTAATCCCGTTTCCAACGAAATCCTCCAAGCTATCCAAATATCCACTTGCAGATTCCACAGAAAGACTGTTTCAAAACTGCTCTGTCAATAGAAAAGTTCAACTCTGTTAGCTGTGTCCATATATCCCAAAGAAGATTCTGAGACTGCTTCTGTCTAGTTTTTATGGGAAGATATTTCCCTTTTCACCGTAGGCGTCGAGGCGCTCCAAATGTCCACTTCCAGATACTACAAAAAGAGTGTTTCAAACCTACTCTGTGAAAGGGAATATTCAACTCTGTGACTTGAATGCACATGTCACAAAGAAGTTTCTGAGAATGCTTCTGTCGAGATTTTATATGAAGATATTCCCGTTTCCAACGAAATCCTGAAATCTATCCAAATATCCCCTCGCAGATTCTACAAAAACAGTGTTTCAAAACTGCTCTGTAAAAAGAAAGGTTCAACTCTGTTAGTTGAGTACACACCTCACAAACAAGTTTCACAGAATGCTTCTTTCTAGCTTGTAGGGGAAGATATTCCCTTTATCACCATGGGCCTCCAACCGTCCGAAACATCCACTTCCATATACTACAAAAAGAGCGTTTCAAACCTGCTCTATGAAAGGCAATGTTCAACTCTGTGACTTGAATGCAGACATCACAGAGCAGTTTACTGAGAATGCTTCTGTCTAGATTTTATAGGAAGATATTCCCGTTTCCAACGAAATCTTCACAGCTATCCAAATATCCACTTGCAGATTCTACAAAAAGAGTGTATCAAAACTGCTCTGTCAGAAGGAAGGTTCTTCTCTGTTAGGTGAGTGCATACGTCATAAAGGAGTTTCTGAGAATGTTTCTGTTTAGTGGTTATGGGAAGATATTTGCTTTTTCACCTTAGGCCTCAGAGCGCTCCAAATATCCCCTTGCACATACTACAAAAAGAGTGCTTCAAAGCTGCTCTCTGAAACGGAATGTTCAACTCTATGAGTTGAATGCAAACATGACAAAGACGTTTCCGAGAATGCTTCTGTCTAGATTTGATATGAAGATATTCCCGTTTCCAACGAAATCTTCAAATCTATCCAAATGTCCACTTGCAGATTCAACAAAACGTGTTTTTCAGAACAGCTCTATCAAAAGAAAGATCCACGTCTCTTAGCTGAGTTCACACATCACAAACAAGTTTATGAGAATGCTTCTGTCTAGTTTTTATTTGAAGATATTTTGTTTCTCACCATAGAGCTGAAAGCTGTCCTAATGTTCACTTCCAGATACTACAGAAAGAGTGTTTCAAAACTGCTGTACGAAAGGGAATGTTCAACTCTGTGACTTGAATGCACACATCACAAAGAAGTTTCTGAGGATACTGCTGTCTACTTATTATACGTAATCCCGTTTCCAACGAAATCCTCCAAGCTATCCAAATATCCACTTGCAGATTCCACAGAAAGACTGTTTCAAAACTGCTCTGTCAATAGAAAGGTTCAACTCTGTTAGCTGCGTGCATATATCCCAAAGAAGATTCTGAGATTGCTTCTGTCTAGTTTTTATGGGAAGATATTTCCCTTTTCACCGTAGGTGTCAAGGCGCTCCAAATGTCCACTTCCAGATACTACAAAAAGAGTGTTTCAAACCTACTCTGTGAAAGGGAATATTCAACTCTGTGACTTGAATGCACATATCACAAAGTAGTTTCTGAGAATGCTTCTGTCGAGTATTTTATATGAAGATATTCCCGTTTCCAACGAAATGCTGAAATCTATCCAAATATCCCCTCGCAGATTCTACAAAAAGAGTGTTTCAAAACTGCTCTGTGAAAAGAAAGGTTCAACTCTGTTAGTTGAGTACACACATCACAAACAAGTTTCACAGAATGCTTCTTTCTAGCATGTAGGGGAAGATATTCCCTTTATCACCATGGGCCTCAAACCGTCCGATAAGTCCACTTCCATATACTACAAAAAGAGCGTTTCAAACCTGCTCTATGAAAGGCAATGTTCAACTCTGTGACTTGAATGCAGACATCACAGAGCAGTTTCTGGGAATGCTTCTGTCTAGATTTTATAGGAAGATATTCCCGTTTCCAACGAAATCTTCACAGCTATCCAAATATCCACTTGCAGATTCTACAAAAAGAGTGTATCGAAACTGCTCTGTCAAAAGGAAGGTTCTTTTCTGTTAGGTGAGTGCATACGTCATAAAGGAGTTTCTGAGAATGTTTCTGTTAGTGGTTATGGGAAGATATTTGCTTTTTCACCGTAGGCCTCAGAGCGCTCCAAATATCCACTTGCACATACTACAAAAAGAGTGCCTCAAAGCTGCTCTCTGAAACGGAATGTTCAACTCTATGAGTTGAATGCAAACATCGCAAAGACGTTTCTGAGAATGCTTCTGTCTAGATTTGATATGAAGATATTCCCGTTTCCAAGGAAATCTTCAAAACTATCCAAATGTCCACTTGCAGATTCAACAAAAAGTGTTTTTCAGAACTGCTCTATCAAAAGAAAGATCCACCGTTGTTAGCTGAGTTCACACATCACAAACAAGTTTATGAGAATGCTTCTGTCTAGTTTTCATATGAAGATATTTCCTTTCTCACCATAGACCTGAAAGCTGTCCTAATGTACACTTGCAGATACTACAGAAAGAGTGTTTCAAAACTGCTGTACGAAAGGGAATGTTCAACTCTGTGACTTGAATGCACACATCACAAAGAAGTTTCTGAGGATGCTGCTGTCTACTTTTTATACGTAATCCCGTTTCCAACGAAATCCTCCCAGCTATCCAAATATCCACTTGCAGATTCCACAGAAAGACTGTTTCAAAACTGCTCTGTCAATAGAAAGGTTCAACTCTGTTAGCTGCATGCATATATCCCAAAGAAGATTCTGAGATTGCTTCTGTCTAGTTTTTATGGGAAGATATTTCCCTTTTCACCGTAGGTGTCAAGGCGCTCCAAATGTCCACTTCCAGATACTATAAAAAGAGTGTTTCAAACCTACTCTGTGAAAGGGAATATTCAACTCTGTGACTTGAATGCACATATCACAAAGAAGTTTCTGAGAATGCTTCTGTCGAGATTTTCTATGAAGATATTCCCGTTTCCAACGAAATCCTGAAATCTATCCAAATATCCCCTCGCAGATTCTACAAAAAGATTGTTTCAAAACTGCTCTGTAAAAAGAAAGGTTGAACCCTGTTAGTTGAGTACACACATCACAAACAAGTTTCACAGAATGCTTCTTTCTAGCTTGTAGGGGAAGATATTCCCTTTATCACCATGGGCCTCAAAACGTCCGAAACGTCCACTTCCATATACTACAAAAAGAGCGTTTCAAACCTGCTCTAGGAAAACCAATGTTCAACTCTGTGACTTGAATGCAGACATCACAGAGCAGTTTCTGAGAATGCTTCTGTCTAGATTTTATAGGAAGATATTCCCGTTTCCAACGAAATCTTCATAGCTATCCAAATATCCACTTGCAGATTCTACAAAAAGAGTGTATCAAAACTGCTCTGTCAAAAGGAAGGTTCTTCTCTGTTAGTTGAGTACATACTTCATAAAGGAGTTTCTGAGAATGTTTCTGTCTAGTGGTTATGGGAAGATATTTGCTTTTTCACCGTAGGCCTCAGAGCGCTCCAAATATCCACTTGCACATACTACAAAAAGAGTGCTTCAAAGCTGCTCTCTGAAACGGAATGTTCAACTCTATGAGTTGAATGCAAACATCACAAAGACTGTTTCTGAGAATGCTTCTGTCTAGATTTGATATGAAGATATTCCCGTTTCCAACGAAATCTTCAAATCTATCCAAATGTCCACTTGCAGATTCAAAAAAAAGTGTTTTTCAGAACTGCTCTATCAAAAGAAAGATCCACCTCTGTTAGCTGAGTTCAGACATCACAAACAAGTTTATGAGAATGCTTCTGTCTAGTTTTTATTTGAAGGTATTTCCTTTCTCACCCTAGACCTGAAAGCTGTCCTAATGTTCACTTCCAGATACTACAGAAAGAGTGTTTCAAAACTGCTGTACGAAAGGGAATGTTCAACTCTGTGACTTGAATGCACACATCACAAAGAAGTTTCTGAGGATGCTGCTGTCTACTTTTTATGCGTAATCCCGTTTCCAACGAAATCCTCCAAGCTATCCAAATATCCACTTGCAGATTCCACAGAAAGACTGTTTCAAAACTGCTCTGTCAATAGTAAGGTTCAACTCTGTTAGCTGCGTGCATATATCCCAAAGAAGATTCTGAGATTGCTTCTGTCTAGTTTTTATGGGAAGATATTTTCCTTTTCACCATAGGCGTCACAGAGCTCCAAATGTCCACTTCCAGATACTACAAAAAGAGTGTTTCAAACCTACTATGTGAAAGGGAATATTCAACTCTGTTACTTGAATGCAGATATCACAAAGAAGTTTCTGAGAATGCTTCTGTCGAGATTTTATATGAAGATATTCCCGTTTCCAACGAAATCCTGAAATCTATCCAAATATCCCCTCGCAGATTCTACAAAAAGACTGTTTCAAAACTGCTCTGTAAAAAGAAAGGTTCAACTCTGTTAGTTGAGTACACACCTCACAAACAAGTTTCACAGAATGCTTCTTTCTAGCTTGTAGGGGAAGATATTCCCTTTATCACCATGGGCCTCAAACCGTCCGATAAGTCCACTTCCATATACTACAAAAAGAGGGTTTCAAACCTGCTCTATGAAAGGCAATGTTCAACTCTGTGACTTGAATGCAGACATCACAGAGCAGTTTCTGAGAATGCTTCTGTCGAGATTTTATATGAAGATATTCCCGTTTCCAACGAAATCTTCACAGCTATCCCAATATCCACTTGCAGATTCTACAAAAAGAGTGTATCAAAACTGCTCTGTCAAAAGGAAGGTTCTTCTCTGTTAGGTGAGTGCATACGTCATAAAGGAGTTTCTGAGAATGATTCTGTCTAGTGGTTATGGGAAGATATTTGCTTTTTCACCGTAGGCCTCAGAGCACTCCAAATATCCACTTGCACATACTACAAAAAGAGTGCCTCAAAGCTGCTCTCTGAAACGGAATGTTCAACTCTATGAGTTGAATGCAAACATCGCAAAGACGTTTCTGAGAATGCTTCTGTCTAGATTTGATATGACGATATTCCCGTTTCCAACGAAATCTTCAAATCTATCCAAATGTCCACTTGCAGATTCAACAAAACGTGTTTTTCAGAACTGCTCTATCAAAAGAAAGATCCACCTCTGTTAGCTGAGTTCACACATCACAAACAAGTTTATGACAATGCTTCTGTCTAGTTTTTATTTGAAGATATTTCCTTTCTCACCATAGACCTGAAAGCTGTCCTAATGTTCACTTCCAGATACTACAGAAAGAGTGTTTCAAAACTGCTGTACTAAAGGGAATGTTCAACTCTGTGACTTGAATGCACACATCACAAAAAAGTTTCTGAGGATGCTGCTGTCTACTTTTTATACGTAATCCCGTTTCCAACGAAATCCTCCAAGCTATCCAAATATCCACTTGCAGATTCCACAGAAAGACTGTTTCAAAACTGCTATGTCAATAGAAAAGTTCAACTCTGTTAGCTGTGTGCATATATCCCAAAGAAAATTCTGAGATTGCTTCTGTCTAGTTTTTATGGGAAGATATTTCCCTTTTCACCGTAGGCGTCAAGGCGCTCCAAATGTCCACTTCCAGATACTACAAAAAGAGTTTTTCAAACCTACTCTGTGAAAGGGAGTATTCAACTCTGTGACTTGAATACACATATCACAAAGAAGTTTCTGAGAATGCTTCTGTCGAGATTTTATATGAAGATATTCCCGTTTCCAACGAAATCCTCAAATCTATCCAAATATCCCCTCACAGATTCTACAAAAAGAGTGTTTCAAAACTGCTCTGTAAAAAGAAAGGTTCAACTCTGTTAGTTGAGTACACACATCACAAACAAGTTTCACAGAATGCTTCTTTCTAGCTTGCAGGGGAAGATATTCCCTTTATCACCATGGGCCTCAAACCGTCCGAAACGTCTACTTCCATATACTACAAAAAGAGCGTTTCAAACCTGCTCTACGAAAGGCAATGTTCAACTCTGTGACTTGAATGCAGACATCACAGATCAGTTTCTGAGAATGCTTCTGTCTAGATTTTATAGGAAGATATTCCCGTTTCCAACGAAATCTTCACAGCTATCCAAATATCCACTTGCAGATGCTACAAAAAGAGTGTATCAAAAATGCTCTGTCAAAAGGAAGGTTATTCTCTGTTAGGTGAGGGCATACGTCATAAAGGAGTTTCTGAGAATGTTTCTGTCTAGTGGTTATGGGAAGATATTTGCTTTTTCACCGTAGGCCTCAGAGCGCTCCAAATATCCACTTGCACATACTACAAAAAGAGTGCTTCAAAGCTGCTCTCTGAAACGGAATGTTCAACTCTATGAGTTGAATGCAAACATCGCAAAGACGTTTCTGAGAATGCTTCTGTCTAGATTTGATATGAAGATATTCCCGTTTCCAACGAAATCTTCAAATCTATCCAAATGTCCACTTGCAGATTCAACAAAAAGTGTTTTTCAGAACTGCTCTATCGAAAGATCCACCTCTGTTAGCTGAGTTCACACATCACAAACAAGTTTATGAGAATGCTTCTGTCTAGTTTTTATTTGAAGATATTTCCTTTCTCACCATAGGCCTGAAAGCTCTCGAAATGTTCACTTCCAGATACTACAGAAAGAGTGTTTCAAACCTGTTCTACAAAAGGGAATGTTCAACTCTGTGACTTGAATGCACACATCACAAAGAAGTTTCTGAGAATGCTGCTGTCTACTTTTTATACGTAATCCCGTTTCCAACGAAATCCTCCAAGCTATCCAAATATCCACTTGCAGATTCCACAGAAAGACTGTTTCAAAACTGCTCTGTCAGTAGAAAGGTTCAACTCTGTTAGCTGCGTGCATATATCCCAAAGAAGATTCTGAGATTGCTTCTGTCTAGTTTTTATGGGAAGATATTTCCCTTTTCACCGTAGGCGTCAAGGCGCTCCAAATGTCCACTTCCAGATACTACAAAAAGAGTGTTTCAAACCTACACTGCGAAAGGGAATATTCAACTCTGTGACTTGAATGCACATATCACAAAGAAGTTTCTGAGAATGCTTCTGTCGAGATTTTATATGAAGATATTCCCGTTTCCAACGAAATCCTGAAATCTATCCAAATATCCCCTCGCAGATTCTACAAAAAGAGTGTTTCAAAACTCCTCTGTAAAAAGAAAGGTTCAACTCTGTTAGTTGAGTACACACATCACAAACAAGTTTCACAGAATGCTTCTTTCTAGCTTGTAGGGGAAGATATTCCCTTTATCACCATGGGCCTCAAACTGTCCGAAACGTCCACTTACATATACTACAAAAAGAGCGTTTCAAACCTGCTCTATGAAAGGCAATGTTCAACTCTGTGACTTGAATGCAGACATCACAGAGCAGTTTCTGAGAATGCTTCTGTCTAGATTTTATAGGAAGATATTCCCGTTTCCAACGAAATCTTCACAGCTATCCAAATATCCACTTGCAGATTCTACAAAAAGAGTGTATCAAAAATGCTCTGTCAAAAGGAAGGTTCTTCTCGGTTAGGTGAGTGCATACGTCATAAAGGAGTTTCTCAGAATGTTTCTGTCTAGTGGTTATGGGAAGATATTTGCTTTTTCCCCATAGGCCTCAGGGCGCTCCAAATGTCCACATGCACATGCTACAAAAAGAGTGCTTCAAAGCTGCTCTCTCAAAGGGAATGTTCAACTCTATGAGTTGAATGCAAACATCACAAAGACGTTTCTGAGAATGCTTCTGTCTAGATTTCATATGAAGATATTCCCGTTTCCAACGAAATCTTCAAATCTATCCAAATGTCCACTTGCAGATTCAACAAAAAGTGT
The DNA here is from genome assembly GCF_000001405.40 of Homo sapiens. NCBI lineage: Eukaryota > Metazoa > Chordata > Mammalia > Primates > Hominidae > Homo > Homo sapiens. The sequence goes on along the minus strand of NC_000014.9, from coordinate 17,160,936 downwards.
TTTTCAAAACTGCTGTATCAAAAGAAAGATCCACGTCTGTTAGCTGAGTTCAGACATCACAAACAAGTTTATGAGAATGCTTCTGTCTAGTTTTTATTTGAAGATATTTCCTTTCTCACCATAGACCTGAAAGCTGTCCTAATGTTCACTTCCAGATACTACAGAAAGAATGTTTCAAAACTGCTGTACGAAAGGGAATGTTCAACTCTGTGACTTGAATGCACACATCACAAAGAAGTTTCTGAGGATGCTGCTGTCTACTTTTTATACATAATCCCTTTTCCAACGAAATCCTCCAAGCTATCCAAATATCCACTTGCAGATTCCACAGAAAGACTGTTTCAAAACTGCTCTGTCAATAGAAAGGTTCAACTCTGTTAGCTGCGTGCATATATCCCAAAGAAGATTCGGAGATTGCTTCTGTCTAGTTTTTATGGGAAGATATTTCCCTTTTCACCGTAGGCGTCAAGGCGCTCCAAATGTCCACTTCCAGATACTGCAAAAAGAGTGTTTCAAACCTACTCTGTGAAAGGGAATATTCAACTCTGTGACTGGAATGCAGATATCACAAAGAAGTTTCTGAGAATGCTTCTGTCGAGATTTTATATGAAGATATTCCCGTTTCCAACGAAATCCTGAAATCTATCCAAATATCCCCTCGCAGATTCTACAAAAAGAGTGTTTCAAAACTGCTCTGTGAAAAGAAAGGTACAACTCTGTTAGTTGAGTACACACATCACAAACAAGTTTCACAGAATGCTTCTTTCTAGCTTGTAGGGGAAGATATTCCCTTTATCACCATGGTCCTCAAACCGTCCGAAACGTCCACTGCCATATATTACAAAAAGAGCGTTTCAAACCTGCTCTATGAAAGGCAATGTTCAACTCTGTGACTTGAATGCAGACATCACAGAGCAGTTTCTGAGAATGCTTCTGTCTAGATTTTATAGGAAGATATTCCCATTTCCAACGAAATCTTCACAGCTATCCAAATATCCACTTGCAGATTCTACAAAAAGAGTGTATCAAAACTGCTCTGTCAAAAGGAAGGTTCTTCTCTGTTAGGTGAGTGCATACGTCATAAAGGAGTTTCTGAGAATGTTTCTGTCTAGTGGTTATGGGAAGATATTTGCTTTTTCCCCGTATGCCTCAAAGCGCTCCAAATGTCCACTTGAACATACTACAAAAAGAGTGCTTCAAAGCTGCTCTCTGAAAGGGAATGTTCAACTCTATGAGTTGAATGCAAACATCACAAAGACGTTTCTGAGAATGCTTCTGTCTAGATTTGATATGAAGATATTCCCGTTTCCAACGAAATCTTCAAATCTATCCAAATGTCCACTTGCAGATTCAACAAAGTGTTTTTCAAAACTGCTGTATCAAAAGAAAGATCCACCTGTGTTAGCTGAGTTCACACTTCACAAACAAGTTTATCAGAATTCTTCTGTCTAGTTTTTATTTGAAGATATATCCTTTCTCACTATAGACCTGAAAGCTCTCCTAAAGTTCACTTCCAGATACTACAGAAAGAGTTTTTCAAAACTGCTGTACGAAAGGGAATGTTCAACTCTGTGACTTGAATGCACACGTCACAAGGAAGATTCTGAGGATGCTGCTGTCTACTTTTTATACGTAATCCCGTTTCCAACGAAATCCTCCAATCTATCCAAATATCCACTTGCAGATTCCACAGAAAGACTGTTTCAAAACTGCTCTGTCAATAGAAAGGTTAAACTCTGTTAGCTGCGTGCATATATCACAAAGAAGATTCTGAGATTGCTTCTGTCTAGTTTTTATGGGAAGATATTTCCCTTTTCACCATAGGCGTCAAGGCGCTCCAAATGTCCACTTCCAGATACTAAAAAAAGAGTGTTTCAAACCTACTCTGTGAAAGGGAATATTCAACTCTGTGACTTGAATGCACATATCACAAAGAAGTTTCTGCTAATGCTTCTGTCGAGTATTTTATATGAAGATATTCCCGTTTCCAACGAAATCCTGAAATCTATCCAAATATCCCCTCGCAGATTCTACAAAAAGAGTGTTTCAAAACTGCTCTGTAAAAAGAAAGGTTCAACTCTATTAGTTGAGTACACACATCACAAACAAGTTTCACAGAATGCTTCTTTCTAGCTTGTAGGGGAAGATATTCCCTTTATCACCGTGGGCCTCCAACCGTCCGAAACGTCCACTTCCATATACTACAAAAAGAGCGTTTCAAACCTGCTCTATGAAAGGCAATGTTCAACTTCTGTGACTTGAATGCAGACATCACAGAGCAGTTTCTGAGAATGCTTCTGTCTAGATTTTATAGGAAGATATTCCCGTTTCCAACGAAATCTTCACAGCTATCCAAATATCCACTTGCAGATTCTACAAAAAGAGTGTATCAAAACTGCTCTGTCAAAAGGAAGGTTCTTCTCTGTTAGGTGAGTGCATACGTTTAAAGGAGTTTCTGAGAATGTTTCTGTCTAGTGGTTATGGGAAGATATTTGCTTTTTCACCTTAGGCCTCAGAGCGCTCCAAATATCCACTTGCACATACTACAAAAAGAGTGTTTCAAAGCTGCTCTCTGAAAGGGAATGTTCAACTCTATGAGTTGAATGCAAACATGACAAAGACGTTTCTGAGAATGCTTTCTGTCTAGATTTGATATGAAGATATTCCCATTTCCAACGAAATCTTCAAATCTATTCAAATGTCCACTTGCAGATTCAACAAAAAGTGTTTTTCGAAACTGCTGTTTCGAAAGAAAGATCCACCTCTGTTAGCTGAGTTCACACTTCACAAACAAGTTTATCAGAATACTTCTGTCTAGTTTTTATTTGAAGATATATCCTTTCTCACCATAGACCTGAAAGCTCTCCTAATGCTCACTTCCAGATACTACAGAAAGAGTGTTTCAAAACTGCTGTACGAAAGGGAATGTTCAACTCTGTGACTTGAATGCACACATCACAAAGAAGTTTCTGAGGATGCTGCTGTCTACTTTTTATACGTAATCCCGTTTCCAACGAAATCCTCTAATCTATCCAAATATCCACTTGCAGATTCCACAGAAAGACTGTTTCAAAACTGCTCTGTCAATAGAAAGGTTCAACTCTGTTAGCTGCGTGCATATATCCCAAAGAAGATTCTGAGATTGCTTCTGTCTAGTTTTTATGGGAAGATATTTCCCTTTTCACCGTAGGCGTCAAGGTGCTCCAAATGTCCCCTTCCAGATACTACAAAAAGAGTGTTTCAAACCTACTCTGTGAAAGGGAATATTCAACTCTGTGACTTGAATATACATATCACAAAGACGTTTCTGAGAATGCTTCTGTCGAGATTTTATATGAAGATATTCCCGTTTCCAACGAAATCCTGAAATCTATCCAAATATCCCCTCGCAGATTCTACAAAAAGAGTGTTTCAAAACTGCTCTGTGAAAAGAAAGGTTCAACTCTGTTAGTTGAGTACACACATAACAAACAAGTTTCACAGAATGCTTCTTTCTAGCTTGTAGGGGAAGATATTCCCTTTATCACCATGGGCCTCAAACCGTCCGAAACGTCCACTTCCATATACTACAAAAAGAGTGTTTCAAACCTGCTCTATGAAAGGCAATGTTCAACTCTGTGAGTTGAATGCAGACATCACAGAGCAGTTTCTGAGAATGCTTCTGTCTAGATTTTATAGGAAGATATTCCCGTTTCCAACGAAATCTTCACAGCTATCCAAATATCCACTTGCAGATTCTACAAAAAGAGTGTATCAAAACTGCACTGTCAAAAGGAAGGTTCTTCTCTGTTAGGTGAGTGCATACGTCATAAAGGAGTTTCTGAGAATGTTTCTGTCTAGTGGTTATGGGAAGATATTTGCTTTTTCACCGTAGGCCTCAGAGCACTCCAAATATCCCCTTGCACATACTACAAAAAGAGTGCTTCAAAGCTGCTCTCTGAAAGGGAATGTTCAACTCTATGAGTTGAATGCAAACATCACAAAGACGTTTCTGGGAATGCTTCTGTCTAGATTTGATATGAAGATATTCCCGTTTCCAACGAAATCTTCAAATCTATCCAAATGTCCACTTGCAGATTCAACAAAAAGTGTTTTTCAGAACTGCTCTATCAAAAGAAAGATCCACCTGTTAGCTGAGTTCAGACATCACAAACAAGTTTATGAGAATGCTTCTGTCTAGTTTTTATTTGAAGATATTTCCTTTCTCACCATAGACCTGAAAGCTGTCATAATGTTCACTTCCAGATACTACAGAAAGAGTGTTTCAAAACTGCTGTACGAAAGGGAATGTTCAACTCTGTGACTTGAATGCACACATCACAAAGAAGTTTCTGAGGATGCTGCTGTCTACTTTTTATACGTAATCCCGTTTCCAACGAAATCCTCCAAGCTATCCAAATATCCACTTGCAGATTCCACAGAAAGACTGTTTCAAAACTGCTCTGTCAATAGAAAGGTTCAACTCTGTTAGCTGCGTGCATATATACCAAAGAAGATTCTGAGATTGCTTCTGTCTACTTTTTATGAGAAGATATTTCCCTTTTCACCGTAGGCGTCAAGGCGCTCCAAATGTCCACTTCCAGATACTACAAAAAGAGTGTTTCAAACCTACTCTGTGAAAGGGAATATTCAACTCTGTGACTTGAATGCACATATCACAAAGAAGTTTCAGAGAATGCTTCTGTCGAGATTTTATATGAAGATATTCCCGTTTCCAACGAAATCCTGAAATCTATCCAAATATCCCCTCGCAGATTCTACGAAAAGAGTGTTTCAAAACTGCTCTGTAAAAAGAAAGGTTCAACTCTGTTAGTTGAGTACACACATCACAAACAAGTTTCACAGAATGCTTCTGTCTAGTTTTTATGGGAAGATATTTCCCTTTTCACCGTAGGCGTCAAGGCGCTCCAAATGTCCACTTCCAGATACTACAAAAAGAGTGTTTCAAACCTACTCTGTGAAAGGGAATATTCAACTCTGTGACTTGAATGCAGACATCACAGAGCAGTTTCTGAGAATGCTTCTGTCTAGATTTTATAGGAAGATATTCCCGTTTCCAACGAAATCTTCACAGCTATCCAAATATGCACTTGCAGATTCTACAAAAAGAGTGTATCAAAACTGCTCAGTCAAAAAGAAGGTTCTTCTCTGTTAGTTGAGTACATACGTCATAAAGGAGTTTCTGAGAATGTTTCTGTCTAGTGGTTATGGGAAGATATTTGCTTTTTCACCGTAGGCCTCAGAGTTCTCCAAATATCCACTTGCACATACTACAAAAAGAGTGCTTCAAAGCTGCTCTCTGAAAGGGAATGTTCAACTCTATGAGTTGAATGCAAACATCACAAAGACGTTTCTGAGAATGCTTCTGTCTAGATTTGATATGAAGATATTCCCGTTTCCAACGAAATCTTCAAATCTATCCAAATGTCCACTTGCAGATTCAACAAAGTGTTTTTCAGAACTGCTCTATCAAAAGAAAGATCCACCTCTGTTAGCTGAGTTCACACTTCACAAACAAGTTTATCAGAATGCTTCTGTCTAGTTTTTATTTGAAGATATTTCCTTTCTCACCATAGACCTGAAAGCTGTCCTAATGTTCACTTCCAGATACTACAGAAAGAGTGTTTCAACACTGCTGTACGAAAGGGAATGTTCAACTCTGTGACTTGAATGCACACATCACAAAGAAGTTTCTGAGGATGCTGCTGTCTACTTTTTATACGTAATCCCGTTTCCAACGAAATCCTCCAAGCTATCCAAATATCCACTTGCAGATTCCACAGAAAGACTGTTTCAAAACTGCTCTGTCAATAGAAAGGTTCAACTCTGTTAGCTGGGTGCATATATCACAAAGAAGATTCTGAGATTGCTTCTGTCTAGTTTTTATGGGAAGATATTTCCCTTTTCACCGTAGGCGTCAAGGCGCTCCAAATGTCCACTTCCAGATACTACAAAAGGAGTGTTTCAAACCTACTCTGTGAAAGGGAATATTCAACTCTGTGACTTGAATGCACATATCACAAAGAAGTTTCTGAGAATGCTTCTGTCGAGATTTTATATGAAGATATTCCCGTTTCCAACGAAATCCTGAAATCTATCCAAATATCCCCTCGCAGATTCTACAGAAAGAGTGTTTCAAAACTGCTCTGTAAAAAGAAAGGTTGAACTCTGTTAGTTGAGTACACACATCACAAACAAGTTTCACAGAATGCTTCTTTCTAGCTTGTAGGGTAAGATATTCCCTTTATCACCATGGGCCTCAAACCGTCCGAAACGTCCACTTCCATATACTACAAAAAGAGCGTTTCAAACCTGCTCTAGGAAAGGCAATGTTCAACTCTGTGACTTGAATGCAGACATCACAGAGCAGTTTCTGAGAATGCTTCTGTCTAGATTTTATAGGAAGATATTCCCGTTTCCAACGAAATCTTCACAGCTATCCAAATATCCACTTGCAGATTCTACAAAAAGAGTGTATCAAAACTGCTCTGTCAAAAGGAAGGTTCTTCTCTGTTGGGTGAGTGCATACGTGATAAAGGAGTTTCTGAGAATGTTTCTGTCTAGTGGTTATGGGAAGATATTTGCTTTTTCACCGTAGGCCTCAGAGCGCTCCAAATATCCACTTGCACATACTACAAAAAGAGTGCTTCAAAGCTGCTCTCTGAAACGGAATGTTCAACTGTATGAGTTGAATGCAAACATCCCAAAGACGTTTCTGAGAATGCTTCTGTCTAGATTTGATATGAAGATATTCCCGTTTCCAACGAAATCTTCAAATCTATCCAAATGTCCACTTGCAGATTCATCAAAAAGTGTTTTTCAAAACTGCTGTATCAAAAGAAAGATCCACGTCTGTTAGCTGAGTTCACACATCACAAACAAGTTTATGAGAATGCTTCTGTCTAGTTTTTATTTGAAGATATTTCCTTTCTCACCATAGACCTGAAAGCTGTCCTAATGTTCACTTCCAGATACTACAGAAAGAGTGTTTCAAAACTGCTGTACGAAAGGGAATGTTCAACTCTGTGACTTGAATGCACACATCACAAAGAAGTTTCTGAGGAGGCTGCTGTCTACTTTTTATACGTAATCCCGTTTCCAACGAAATCGTCCAAGCTATCCAAATATCCACTTGCAGATTCCACAGAAAGACTGTTTCAAAACTGCTCTGTCAATAGAAAGGTTCAACTCTGTTAGCTGCGTGCATATATCCCAAAGAAGATTCTGAGATTGCTGCTGTCTACTTTTTATGAGAAGATATTTCCCTTTTCAACGTAGGCGTCAAGGCGCTCCAAATGTCCACTTCCAGATACTACAAAAAGAGTGTTTCAAACCTACTCTGTGAAAGGGAATATTCAACTCTGTGACTTGAATGCACATATCACAAAGAAGCTTCTGAGAATGCTTCTGTCGGGATTTTATATGAAGATATTCCCGTTTCCAACGAAATCCTGAAATGTATCCAAATATCCCCTCGCAGATTCTACAAAAAGAGTGTTTCAAAACTGCTCTGTAAAAAGAAAGGTTCAACTCTGTTAGTTGAGTACACACATCACAAACAAGTTTCACAGAATGCTTCTTTCTAGCTTGTAGGGGAAGATATTCCCTTTATCACCATGGGCCTCAAACCGTCCGAAACGTCCACTTCCATATACTACAAAAAGAGCATTTCAACCCTGCTCTAGGAAAGGCAATGTTCAACTCTGTGACTTGAATGCAGACATCACAGAGCAGTTTCTGAGAATGCTTCTGTCTAGATTTTATAGGAAGATATTCCCGTTTCCAACGAAATCTTCACAGCTATCCAAATATCCACTTGCAGATTCTACAAAAAGAGTGTATCAAAACTGCTCTGTGAAAAGGAAGGTTCTTTTCTGTTAGGTGAGTGCATACGTCACAAAGGAGTTTCTGAGAATGTTTCTGTCTAGTGGTTATGGGAAGATATTTGCTTTTTCACCGTAGGCCTCAGAGGGCTCCAAATATCCACTTGCACATACTACAAAAAGAGTGCCTCAAAGCTGCTCTCTGAAACGGAATGTTCAACTCTATGAGTTGAATGCAAACATCGCAAAGACGTTTCTGAGAATGCTTCTGTCTAGATTTGATATGAAGATATTCCCGTTTCCAACGAAATCTTCTAATCTATCCAAATGTCCACTTGCAGATTCAACAAAAAGTGTTTTTCAGAACTGCTCTATCAAAAGAAAGATCCACCTCTGTTAGCTGAGTTCACACATCACAAACAAGTTTATGAGAATGCTTCTGTCTAGTTTTTATTTGAAGATATTTCCTTTCTCACCATAGACCTGAAAGCTGTCCTAATGTTCACTTCCAGATACTACAGAAAGAGTGTTTCAAAACTGTTGTACGAAAGGGAATGTTCAACTCTGTGACTTGAATGCACACATCACAAAGAAGTTTCTGAGGATGCTGCTGTCTACTTTTTATACGTAATCCCGTTTCCAACGAAATCCTCCAAGCTATCCAAATATCCACTTGCATATTCCACAGAAAGACTGTTTCAGAACTGCTCTGTCAGTAGAAAGGTTCAACTCTGTTAGCTGCGTGCATATATCCCAAAGAAGATTCTGAGATTGCTTCTGTCTAGTTTTTATGGGAAGATATTTGCCTTTTCACCGTAGGTGTCAAGGCGCTCCAAATGTCCACTTCCAGATACTACAAAAAGAGTGTTTCAAACCTACTCTGTGAAAGGGAATATTCAACTCTGTGACTTGAATGCAGATATCACAAAGAAGTTTCTGAGAATGCTTCTGTCGAGATTTTATATGAAGATATTCCCGTTTCCAACGAAATGCTGAAATGTATCCAAATATCCCCTCGCAGATTCTACAAAAAGAGTGTTTCAAAACTGCTCTGTAAAAAGAAAGGTTCAACTCTGTTAGTTGAGTACACACATCACAAACAAGTTTCACAGAATGCTTTCTTTCTAGCTTGTAGGGGAAGATATTCCCTTTATCACCATGGGCCTCAAACCGTCCGAAACGTCCACTTCCATATACTACAAAAAGAGCGTTTCAAACCTGCTCTATGAAAGGCAATGTTCAACTCTGTGAGTTGAATGCAGACATCACAGAGCAGTTTCTGAGAATGCTTCTGTCGAGATTTTATAGGAAGATATTCCCGTTTCCAACGAAATCTTCACAGCTATCCAAATATCCACTTGCAGATTCTACAAAAAGAGTGTATCAAAACTGCTCTGTCAAAAGGAAGGTTCTTTTCTGTTAGGTGAGTGCATACGTCATAAAGGAGTTTCTGAGAATGTTTCTGTCTAGTGGTTATGGGAAGATATTTGCTTTTTCCCCGTAGACCTCAGAGCGCTCCAAATGTCCACTTGCACATGCTACAAAAAGAGTGCTTCAAAGCTGCTCTCTGAAAGGGAATGTTCAACTCTATGAGTTGAATGTAAACATCACAAAGACGTTTCTGAGAATGCTTCTGTCTAGATTTGATATGAAGATATTCCCGTTTCCAACGAAATCTTCAAATCTATCCAAATGTCCACTTGCAGATTCAACAAAAAGTGTTTTTCAAAACTGCTGTATCAAAAGAAAGATCCACGTCTGTTAGCTGAGTTCACACATCACAAACAAGTTTAGGAGAATGCTTCTGTCTAGTTTTTATTTGAAGATATTTCCTTTCTCACTATAGACCTGAAAGCTCTCCTAAAGTTCACTTCCAGATACTACAGAAAGAGTGTTTCAAAACTGCTGTACGAAAGGGAATGTTCAATTCTGTGACTTGAATGCACACATCACAAAGAAGTTTCTGAGGATGCTGCTGTGTACTTTTTATACGTAATCCCGTTTCCAACGAAATCCTCCAAGCTATCCAAATATCCACTTGCAGATTCCACAGAAAGACTGTTTCAAAACTGCTCTGTCAATAGAAAGGTTCAACTCTGTTAGCTGCGTGCATATATCCCAAAGAAGATTCTGAGATTGCTTGTGTCTACTTTTTATGAGAAGATATTTCCCTTTTCACCGTAGGCGTCAAGGCGCTCCAAATGTCCACTTCCAGATACTACAAAAAGAGTGTTTCAAACCTACTCTGTGAAAGGGAATATTCAACTCTGTGACTTGAATGCACATATCACAAAGAAGCTTCTGAGAATGCTTCTGTCGAGATTTTCTATGAAGATATTCCCGTTTCCAACGAAATCCTGAAATCTATCCAAATATCCCCTCGCAGATTCTACAAAAAGAGTGTTTCAAAACTGCTCTGTAAAAAGAAAGGTTCAACTCTATTAGTTGAGTACACACATCACAAACAAGTTTCACAGAATGCTTTCTTTCTAGCTTGTAGGGGAAGATATTCCCTTTATCACCATGGGCCTCAAACCGTCCGAAACGTCCACTTCCATATACTACAAAAAGAGCGTTTCAAACCTGCTCTAGGAAAGGCAATGTTCAACTCTGTGACTTGAATGCAGACATCACAGAGCAGTTTCTGAGAATGCTTCTGTCTAGATTTTATAGGAATGTATTCCCGTTTCCAACGAAATCTTCACAGCTATCCAAATATCCACTTGCAGATTCTACAAAAAGAGTGTATCAAAACTGCTCTGTCAAAAGGAAGGTTCTTCTCTGTTAGTTGAGTACATACGTCATAAAGGAGTTTCTGAGAATGTTTCTGTCTAGTGGTTATGGGAAGATATTTGCTTTTTCACCGTAGGCCTCAGAGCGCTCCAAATATCCACTTGCACATAGTACAAAAAGAGTGCCTCAAAGCTGCTCTCTGAAACGGAATGTTCAACTCTATGAGTTGAATGCAAACATCACAAAGACGTTTCTGAGAATGCTTCCGTCTAGATTTGATATGAAGATATTCCCGTTTCCAACGAAATCTTGAAATCTATCCAAATGTCCACTTGCAGATTCAACAAAAAGTGTTTTTCAGAACTGCTCTATCAAAAGAAAGATCCACCTCTGTTAGCTGAGTTCACACATCACAAACAAGTTTATGAGAATGCTTCTGTCTAGTTTTTATTTGAAGATATTTCCTTTCTCACCATAGACCTGAAAGCTGTCGTAATGTTCACTTCCAGATACTACAGAAAGAGTGTTTCAAAACTGCTGTACGAAAGGGAATGTTCAACTCTGTGACTTGAATGCACACATCACAAAGAAGTTTCTGAGGATGCTGCTGTCTACTTTTTATACGTAATCCCGTTTCCAACGAAATCCTCCAAGCTATCCAAATATCCACTTGCAGATTCCACAGAAAGACTGTTTCAAAACTGCTCTGTCAATAGAAAGGTTCAACTCTGTTACCTGCGTGCATATATCCCAAAGAAGATTCTGAGATTGCTTCTGTCTAGTTTTATGGGAAGATATTTCCCTTTTCACCGTAGGTGTCAAGGCGCTCCAAATGTCCACTTCCAGATACTACAAAAAGAGTGTTTCAAACCTACTCTGTGAAAGGGAATATTCAACTCTGTGACTTGAATGCACATATCACAAAGAAGTTTCTGAGAATGCTTCTGTCGAGATTTTATATGAAGATATTCCCGTTTCAAACGAAATCATGAAATCTATCCAAATATCCCCTCGCAGATTCTACAAAAAGAGTGTTTCAAAACTGCTCTGTAAAAAGAAAGGTTCAACTCTGTTAGTTGAGTACACACATCACAAACAAGTTTCACAGAATGCTTCTTTCTAGCTTGTAGGGGAAGATATTCCCTTTATCACCATGGGCCTCAAACCGTCCGAAACGTCCACTTACATATACTACAAAAAGAGCGTTTCAAACCTGCTCTATGAAAGGCAATGTTCAGCTCTGTGACTTGAATGCAGACATCACAGAGCAGTTTCTGAGAATGCTTCTGTCTAGATTTTATAGGAAGATATTCCCGTTTCCAACGAAATCTTCACAGCTATCCAAATATCCACTTGTAGATTCTACAAAAAGAGTGTATCAAAACTGCTCTGTCAAAAGGAAGGTTCTTCTCTGTTAGGTGAGTGCATACGTCATAAAGGAGTTTCTGAGAATGTTTCTGTGTAGTGGTTATGGGAAGATATTTGCTTTTTCACCGTAGGCCTCAGAGCGCTCCAAATATCCACTTGCACATACTACAAAAAGAGTGCTTCAAAGCTGCTCTCTGAAAGGGAATGTTCAACTCTATGAGTTGAATGCAAACATCACAAAGACGTTTCCAAGAATGCTTCTGTCTAGATTTGATATGAAGATATTCCCGTTTCCACCGAAATCTTCAAATCTATCCAAATGTCCACTTGCAGATTCAACAAAAAGTGTTTTTCAGAACTGCTCTATCAAAAGAAAGATCCACCTCTGTTAGCTGAGTTCACACATCACAAACAAGTTTATGAGAATGCTTCTGTCTAGTTTTTATTTGAAGATATTTCCTTTCTCACCATAGACCTGAAAGCTGTCCTAATGTTCACTTCCAGTTACTACAGAAAGAGTGTTTCAAAACTGCTGTACGAAAGGGAATGTTCAACTCTGTGACTTGAATGCACACATCACAAAGAAGGTTCCTGAGGATGCTGCTGTCTACTTTTTATACGTAATCCCGTTTCCAACGAAATCCTCCAAGCTATCCAAATATCCATTTGCAGATTCCACAGAAAGACTGTTTCAAAACTGCTCTGTCAATAGAAAGGTTCAACTCTGTTAGCTGCGTGCATATATCCCAAAGAAGATTCTGAGATTGCTTCTGTCTAGTTTTTATGGGAAGATATTTCCCTTTTCACCGTAGGCGTCAAGGCGCTCCAAATGTCCACTTCCAGATAGTACAAAAAGAGTGTTTCAAACCTACTCTGTGAAAGGGAATATTCATCTCTGTGACTTGAATGCACATATCACAAAGAAGTTTCTGAGAATGCTTCTGTCGAGATTTCTATATGAAGATATTCCCGTTTCCAACGAAATCCTGAAATCTATCCAAATATCCCCTCGCAGATTCTACAAAAAGAGTGTTTCAAAACTGCTCTGTAAAAAGGAAGGTTCAACTCTGTTAGTTGAGTACACACATCACAAACAAGTTTCACAGAATGCTTCTTTCTAGCTTGTAGGGGAAGATACTCCCTTTATCACCATGGGCCTCAAACCGTCCGAAAAGTCCACTTCCATATATTACAAAAAGAGCGTTTCAAACCTGCTCTATGAAAGGCAATGTTCAACTCTGTGACTTGAATGCAGACATCACAGAGCAGTTTCTGAGAATGCTTCTGTCTAGATTTTATAGGAAGGTATTCCCGTTTCCAACGAAATCTTCACAGCTATCCAAATATCCACTTGCAGATTCTACAAAAAGAGTGTATCAAAACTGCTCTGTCAAAAGGAAGGTTCTTCTCTGTTAGTTGAGTACATACGTCATAAAGGAGTTTCTGAGAATGTTTCTGTCTCGTGGTTATGGGAAGATATTTGCTTTTTCACCGTAGGCCTCAGAGCGCTCCAAATATCCACTTGCACATACTACAAAAAGAGTGTTTCAAAGCTGCTCTCTGAAAGGGAATGTTCAACTCTATGAGTTGAATGCAAACATGACAAAGACGTTTCTGAGAATGCTTCTGTCTAGATTTGATATGAAGATATTCCCGTTTCCAACGAAATCTTCAAATCTATCCTAATGTCCACTTGCAGATTCAACAAAAAGTGTTTTTCAGAACTGCTCTATCAAAAGAAAGATCCACCTCTGTTAGCTGAGTTCACACATCACAAACAAGTTTATGAGAATGCTTCTGTCTAGTTTTTATTTGAAGATATTTCCTTTCTCACCATAGACCTGAAAGCTGTCCTAATGTTCACTTCCAGATGCTACAGAAAGAGTGTGTCAAAACTGCTGTACGAAAGGGAATGTTCAACTCTGTGACTTGAATGCACACATCACAAAGAAGTTTCTGAGGATGCTGCTGTCTACTTTTTATACGTAATCCCGTTTCCAACGAAATCCTCCAAGCTATCCAAATATCCACTTGCAGATTCCACAGAACGACTGTTTCAAAACTGCTCTGTCAATAGAAATGTTCAACTCCGTTAGCTGCGTGCATATATCCCAAAGAAGATTCTGAGATTGCTTCTGTCTAGTTTTTATGGGAAGATATTTCCCTTTTCACCGTAGGTGTCAAGGCGCTCCAAATGTCCACTTCCAGATACTACAGAAAGAGTGTTTCAAACCTACTCTGTGAAAGGGAATATTCAACTCTGTGACTTGAAAGCAGATATCACAAAGAAGTTTCTGAGAATGCTTCTGTCGAGATTTTATATGAAGATATTCCCGTTTCCAATGAAATCCTGAAATCTATCCAAATATCCCCTCGCAGATTCTACAAAAAGAGTGTTTCAAAACTGCTCTGTAAAAAGAAAGGTTCAACTCTGTTAGTTGAGTACACACATCACAAACAACTTTCACAGAATGCTTCTTTCTAGCTTGTAGGGGAAGATATTCCCTTTATCACCATGGGCCTCAAACCGTCCGAAACGTCCACTTCCATATACTACAAAAAGAGCGTTTCAAACCTGCTCTATGAAAGGCAATGTTCAACTCTGTGACTTGAATGCAGACATCACAGAGCTGTTTCTGAGAATGCTTCTGTCTAGATTTTATAGGAAGATATTCCCGTTTCCAACGAAATCTTCACAGCTATCCCAATATCCACTTGCAGATTCTACAAAAAGAGTGTATCAAAACTGCTCTGTCGAAAGGAAGGTTCTCCTCTGTTAGGTGAGTGCATACGTCATAAAGGAGTTTCTGAGAATGTTTCTGTCTAGTGGTTATGGGAAGATATTTGCTTTTTCACCGTAGGCCTCAGAGCGCTCCAAATATCCACTTGCACATACTACAAAAAGAGTGCTTCAAAGCTGCTCTCTGAAAGGGAATGTTCAACTCTATGAGTTGAATGGAAACATCACAAAGACGTTTCTGAGAATGCTTCTGTCTAGATTTGATATGAAGATATTCCCGTTTCCAACGAAATCTTCAAATCTATCCAAATGTCCACTTGCAGATTCAACAAAAAGTGTTTTTCAAAACTGCTGTATCAAAAGAAAGATCCACGTCTGTTACCTGAGTTCACACATCACAAACAAGTTTATGAGAATGCTTCTGTCTAGTTTTTATTTGAAGATATATCCTTTCTCACTATAGACCTGAAAGCTGTCCTAAAGTTCACTTCCAGATACTACAGAAAGAGTGTTTGAAAACTGCTGTACGAAAGGGAATGTTCAACTCTGTGACTTGAATGCACACATCACAAGGATGTTTCTGAGGATGCTGCTGTCTACTTTTTATACGTAATCCCGTTTCCAACGTAATCCTCCAAGCTATCCAAATATCCACTTGCAGATTCCACAGAAAGACTGTTACAAAACTGCTCTGTCAATAGAAAGGTTCAACTCTGTTAGCTGCGTGCATATATCCCAAAGAAGATTCTGAGATTGCTTCTGTCTACTTTTTATGAGAAGATATTACCCTTTTCACCGTAGGCGTCAAGGCGCTCCAAATGTCCACTTCCAGATACTACAAAAAGAGTGTTTCAAACCTACTCTGTGAAAGGGAATATTGAACTCTGTGACTTGAATGCACATATCACAAAGAAGCTTCTGAGAATGCTTCTGTCGAGATTTTATATGAAGACATTCCCGTTTCCAACGAAATCCTGAAATCTATCCAAATATCCCCTCGCAGATTCTACAAAAAGAGTGTTTCAAAACTGCTCTGTAAAAAGAAAGGTTCAACTCTGTTAGTTGAGTACACACATCACAAACAAGTTTCACAGAATGCTTCTTTCTAGCTTGTATGGGAAGATATTCCCTTTATCACCATGGGCCTCAAACCGTCCGAAACGTCCACTTCCATATACTACAAAAAGAGTGTTTCAAACCTGCTCTATGAACGGCAATGTTCAACTCTGTGACTTGAATGCAGACATCACAGAGCAGTTTCTGAGAATGCTTCTGTCCAGACTTTATAGGAAGATATTCCCGTTTCCAACGAAATCTTCACAGCTATCCAAATATCCACTTGCAGATAGTACAAAAAGAGTGTATCAGAAATGCTCTGTCAAAAGGAAAGTTCTTCTCTGCTAGTTGAGTACATACGTCATAAAGAAGTTTCTGAGAATGTTCCTGTCTAGTGGTTATGGGAAGATATTTGCTTTTTCCCCGTAGGCCTCAAAGCGGTCCAAATGTCCACTTGCACATACTACAAAAAGAGTGCTTCAAAGCTCCTCTCAGAAAGGGAATGTTCAACTCTATGAGTTGAATGCAAACATCACAAAGGCGTTTCTGAGAATGCTTCTGTCTAGATTTGATATGAAGATATTCCCGTTTCCAACGAAATCTTCAAATCTATCCAAATGTCCACTTGCAGATTCAACAAAAAGTGTTTTTCAGAACTGCTCTATCAAAAGAAAGATCCACGTCTGTTAGCTGAGTACACACATCACAAACAAGTTTATGAGAATGCTTCTGTCTAGTTTTTATTTGAAGATATTTCCTTTCTCACCATAGGCCTGAAAGCTGTCCTAATGTTCACTTCCAGATACTACAGAAAGAGTGTTTCAAAACTGCTGTACGAAAGGGAATGTTCAACTCTGTGACTTGAATGCACACATCACAAAGAAGTTTCTGAGGATGCTGCTGTCTACTTTTGATACGTAATCCCGTTTCCAACGAAATCCTCCAAGCTATCCAAATATCCACTTGCAGATTCCACAGAAAGACTGTTTCAAAACTGCTCTGTCAATAGAAAGGTTCAACTCTGTTAGCTGCGTGCATATATCCCAAAGAAGATTCTGAGATTGCTTTCTGTCTATTTTTTATGGGAAGATATTTCCCTTTTCACCGTAGGCGTCAAGGCGCTCCAAATGTCCACTTCCAGATACTACAAAAAGAGTGTTTCAAACCTACTCTGTGAAAGGGAATATTCAACTCTGTGACTTGAAGGCAGATATCACAAAGAAGTTTCTGAGAATGCTTCTGTCGAGATTTTATATGAAGATATTCCCGTTTCCAACGAAATGCTGAAATGTATCCAAATATCCCCTCGCAGATTCTACAAAAAGAGTGTTTCAAAACTGCTCTGTAAAAAGAAAGGTTCAACTCTGTTAGTTGCGTACACACATCACAAACAAGTTTCACAGAATGCTTCTTTCTAGCTTGTAGGGGAAGATATTCCCTTTATCACCATGGGCCTCAAACCGTCCGAAACGTCCACTTCCATATACTACAAAAAGAGCGTTTCAAACCTGCTCTATGAAAGGCAATGTTCAAATCTGTGACTTGAATGCAGACATCACAGAGCAGTTTCTGAGAATGCTTCTGTCTAGATTTTATAGGAAGATATTCCCGTTTCCAACGAAATCTTCACAGCTATCCAAATATCCACTTGCAGATTCTACAAAAAGAGTGTATCAAATCTGCTCTGTCAAAAGGAAGGTTCTTCTCTGTTAGTTGAGTACATACGTCATAAAGGAGTTTCTGAGAATGTTTCTGTCTAGTGGTTATGGGAAGATATTTGCTTTTTCACCGTAGGCCTCAGAGCGCTCCAAATATCCACTTGCACATACTACAAAAAGAGTGCTTCAAAGCTGCTCTCTGAAACGGAATGTTAAACTCTATGAGTTGAATGCAAACATCACAAAGACGTTTCTGAGAATGCTTCTGTCTAGATTTGATATGAAGATATTCCCATTTCCAACGAAATCTTCAAATCTATCCAAATGTCCACTTGCAGATTCAACAAAAAGTGTTTTTCAGAACTGCTCTATCAAAAGAAAGATCCACCTCTGTTAGCTGAGTTCACACATCACAAACAAGTTTATGAGAATGCTTCTGTCTAGTTTTTATTTGAAGATATTTCCTTTCTCACCATAGACCTGAAAGCTGTGCTAAAGTTCACTTCCAGATACTACAGAAAGAGTGTTTCAAAACTGCTGTACGAAAGGGAATGTTCAACTCTGTGACTTGAATGCACACATCACAAGGATGTTTCTGAGGATGCTGCTGTCTACTTTGTATATGTAATCCCGTTTCCAACGAAATCCTCCAAGCTATCCAAATATCCACTTGCAGATTCCACAGAAAGACTGTTTCAAAACTGCTCTGTCAATAGAAAGGTTCAACTCTGTTAGCTGCGTGCATATATCCCAAAGAAGATTCTGAGATTGCTTCTGTCTAGTTTTTATGGGAAGATATTTCCCTTTTCATCATAGGTGTCAAGGCGCTCCAAATGTCCACTTCCAGATACTACAAAAAGAGTGTTTCAAACCTACTCTGTGAAAGGGAATATTCAACACTGTGACTTGAATGCGCATATCACAAAGAAGTTTCTGAGAATGCTTCTGTCGAGATTTTATATGAAGATATTCCCGTTTCCAACGAAATCCTGAAATCTATCCAAATATCCCCTCGCAGATTCTACAAAAAGAGTGTTTCAAAACTGCTTTGTAAAAAGAAAGGTTCAACTCTGTTAGTTGAGTACACACATCACAAACAAGTTTCACAGAATGCTTCTTTCTAGCTTGTAGGGGAAGATATTCCCTTTATCACCATGGGCCTCAAACCGTCCGAAACGTCTACTTACATATACTACAAAAAGAGCGTTTCAAACCTGCTCTATGAAAGGCAATGTTCAACTCTGTGACTTGAATGCAGACATCACAGAGCAGTTTCTGAGAATGCTTCTGTCTAGATTTTATAGGAAGATATTCCCGTTTCCAACGAAATCTTCACAGCTATCCAAATATCCACTTGCAAATTCTACAAAAAGAGTGTATCAAAACTGCTCTGTCAAAAGGAAGGTTCTTCTCTGTTAGGTGAGTGCACACGTCATAAAGGAGTTTCTGAGAATGTTTCTGTCTAGTGGTTATGGGAAGATATTTGCTTTTTCACCGTAGGCCTCAGAGCGGTCCAAATATCCACTTGCACATACTACAAAAAGAGTGCCTCAAAGCTGCTCTCTGAAACGGAATGTTCAACTCTATGAGTTGAATGCAAACATCACAAAGACGTTTCTGAGAATGCTTCTGTCTAGATTTGATATGAAGATATTCCCGTTTCCAACGAAATCTTCAAATCTATCCAAATGTCCACTTGCGGATTCAACAAAAAGTGTTTTTCAAAACTGCTGTATCAAAAGAAAGATCCACCTCTGTTAGCTGAGTTCACACATCACAAACAAGTTTATGAGAATGCTTCTGTCTAGTTTTTATTTGAAGATATTTCCTTTCTCACCATAGACCTGAAAGCTGTCCTAATGTTCACTTCCAGTTACTACAGAAAGAGTGTTTCAAAACTGCTGTACGAAAGGGAATGTTCAACTCTGTGAGTTGAATGCACACATCACAAAGAAGTTTCTGAGGATGTTGCTGTCTACTTTTTATACGTAATCCCATTTCCAAAGAAATCCTGCAAGCTATCCAAATATCCACTTGCAGATTCCACAGAAAGACTGTTTCAAAACTGCTCTGTCAATAGAAAGGTTCAACTCTGTTAGTTGCGTGCATATATCCCAAAGAAGATTCTGAGATTGCTTCTGTCTAGTTTTTATGGGAAGATATTTCCCTTTTCACCGTAGGTTTCAAGGCGCTCCAAATGTCCACTTCCAGATACTACAAAAAGAGTGTTTCAAACCTACTCTGTGAAAGGGAATATTCAACTCTGTGACTTGAATGCACATATCACAAGGAAGTTTCTGAGAATGCTTCTGTCGAGATTTTATATGAAGATATTCCCGTTTCCAACGAAATCCTGAAATCTATCCAAATATCCCCTCGCAGATTATACAAAAAGAGTGTTTCAAAACTGCTCTGTAAAAAGAAAGGTTCAACTCTGTTAGTTGAGTACACACATCACAAACAAGTTTCACAGAATGCTTCTTTCTAGCTTGTAGGGGAAGATATTCCCTTTATCACCATGGGCCTCCAACCGTCCGAAACGTCCACTTCCATATACTACAAAAAGAGCCTTTCAAACCTGCTCTATGAAAGGCAATGTTCAACTCTGTGACTTGAATGCAGACATCACAGAGCAGTTTCTGAGAATGCTTTTTGTTTAGATTTTATAGGAAGATATTTGCGTTTCCAAGGAATTCTTCACAGATATCCAAATATCCACTTGCAGATTCTCCAAAAAGAGTGTATCAAAACTGCTCTGTCAAAAGGAAGGTTCTTCTCTGTTAGTTGAGTACATACGTCATAAAGAAGTTTCTGAGAATGTTTCTGTCTAGTGGTTATGGGAAGATATTTGCTTTTTCACCGTAGGCCTCAGAGCGCTCCAAATATCCACTTGCACATACTACAAAAAGAGTGCCTCAAAGCTGCTCTCTGAAACGGAATGTTCAACTCTATGATTTGAATGCCAACATCACAAAGACGTTTCTGAGAATGCTTCTGTCTAGACTTGATATGAAGATATTCCCGTTTCCAACGAAATCTTCAAATCTATTCAAATGTCCACTTGCAGATTCAACAAAAAGTGTTTTTCAGAACTGCTCTATCAAAAGAAAGATCCACCTCTGTTAGCTGAGTTCACACATCACAAACAAGTTTATGAGAATGCTTCTGTCTAGTTTTTATTTGAAGATATTTCCTTTCTCACCATAGACCTGAAAGCTGTCTTAATGTTCACTTCCAGATACTACAGAAAGAGTGTTTCAAAACTGCTGTACGAAAGGGAATGTTCAACACTGTGACTTGAATGCACACATCACAAAGAAGTTTCTGAGGATGCTGCTGTCTAATTTTTATACGTAATCCCGTTTCCAACGAAATCCTCCAAGCTATCCAAATATCCACTTGCAGATTCCACAGAAAGACTGTTTCAAAACTGCTCTGTCAATAGAAAGGTTCAACTCTGTTAGCTGCGTGCATATATCACAAAGAAGATTCTGAGATTGCTTCTGTCTAGTTTTTATGGGAAGATATTTCCCTTTTCACCGTAGGCGTCAAGGCTCTCCAAATGTCCACTTCCAGATACTACAAAAAGAGTGTTTCAAACCTACTCTGTGAAAGGGAATATTCAACTCTGTGACTTGAATGCAGATATCACAAAGAAGTTTCTGAGAATGCTTCTGTCGAGATTTTATATGAAGATATTCCCGTTTCCAACGAAATCCTGAAATCAATCCAAATATCCCCTCGCAGATTCTACAAAAAGAGTGTTTCAAAACTGCTCTGTAAAAAGAAAGGTTCAACTCTGTTAGTTGAGTACACACATCACAAACAAGTTTCACAGAATGCTTCTTTCTAGCTTGTAGGGGAAGATATTCCGTTTATCACCATGGGCCTCAAACCGTCCGAAACGTCTACTTCCATATACTACAAAAAGAGCGTTTCAAACCTGCTCTATGAAAAGCAATGTTCAACTCTGTGACTTGAATGCAGACATCACAGAGCAGTTTCTGAGAATGCTTCTGTCAGATTTGATATGAAGATATTCCCGTTTCCAACGAAATCTTCACACCTATCCAAATATCCACTTGCAGATACTACAAAAAGTGTGTATCCAAAGTTCTCTGTCAAAAGGAAAGTTCTTCTCTGCTACTTGAGTACATACGTCATAAATAAGTTTCTGAGAATGTTTCTGTCTAGTGGTTATGGGAAGATATTTGCTTTTTCACCTTAGGCCTCAGAGCGCTCCAAATATCCACTTGCACATACTACAAAAAGAGTGTTTCAAAGCTGCTCTCTGAAACGGAATGTTCAACTCTATGAGTTAAATGCAATCATCACAAAGACGTTTCTGAGAATGCTTCTGTCTAGATTTGATATGAAGATATTCCCGTTTCCAACGAAATCTTCAAATCTATCCAAATGTCCACTTGCAGATTCAACAAAGTGTTTTTCAGAACTGCTCTATCAAAAGAAAGATCCACCTCTGTTAGCTGAGTTCACACTTCAAAAACAAGTTTATCAGAATGCTTCTGTCTAGTTTTTATTTGAAGATATTTCCTTTCTCACCATAGACCTGAAAGCTGTCCTATTGTTCACTTCAGATACTACAGAAAGAGTGTTTCAAAACTGCTGTACGAAAGGGAATGTTCAACTCTGTGACTTGAATGCACACATCACAAAGAAGTTTCTGAGGATGCTGCTGTCTACTTTTTATACGTAATCCCGTTTCAAACGAAATCCTCCAAGCTATCCAAATATCCACTTGCAGATTCCACAGAAAGACTGTTTCAAAACTGCTCTGTCAATAGAAAAGTTCAACTCTGTTAGCTGCGTGCATATATCCCAAAGAAGATTCTGAGATTGCTTCTGTCTAGTTTTTATGGGAAGATATTTCCCTTTTCACCGTGGGCGTCAAGGCGCTCCAAATGTCCACTTCCAGATACTACAAAAAGAGTGTTCCAAACCTACTCTGTGAAAGGGAATATTCAACTCTGTGACTTGAATGCACATATCACAAGGAAGTTTCTGAGAATGCTTCTGTCGAGATTTTGTATGAAGATATTCCCGTTTCCAACGAAATGCTGAAATGTATCCAAATATCCCCTCGCAGATTCTACAAAAAGAGTGTTTCAAAACTGCTCTGTAAAAAGAAAGGTTCAACTCTGTTAGTTGAGTACACACATCACAAACAAGTTTCACAGAATGCTTCTTTCTAGCTTGTAGGGGAAGATATTGCCTTTATCACCATGGGCCTCAAACCGTCCGAAACGTCCACTTCCATATACTACAAAAAGAGCGTTTCAAACCTGCTAAATGAAAGGCAATGTTCAACTCTGTGACTTGAATGCAGACATCACAGAGCAGTTTCTGAGAATGCTTCTGTCTAGATTTTATAGGAAGATATTCCCGTTTCCAACGAAATCTTCACAGCTATCCAAATATGCACTTGCAGATTCTACAAAAAGAGTGTATCAAAACTGCTCTGTCAAAAGGAAGGTTCTTCTCTTTTAGGTGAGTGCATAGGTCATAAAGGAGTTTCTGAGAATGTTTCTGTCTAGTGGTTATGGGAAGATATTTGCTTTTTCCCCGTAGGCCTCAGGGCGCTCCAAATGTCCACTTGCACATGCTACAAAAAGAGTGCTTCAAAGCTACTCACTCAAAGGGAATGTTCAACTCTATGAGTTGAATGCAAACATCGCAAAGACGTTTCTGAGAATGCTTTCTGTCTAGATTTGATATGAAGATATTCCCGTTTCCAACGAAATCTTCAAATCTATCCAAATGTCCACTTGCAGATTCAACAAAAAGTGTTTTTCAGAACTGCTCTATCAAAAGAAAGATCCACCTCTGTTAGCTGAGTTCACACATCACAAACAAGTTTATGAGAATGATTCTGTCTAGTTTTTATTTGAAGATATTTCCTTTCTCACCATAGACCTGAAAGCTGTCCTAATGTTCACTTCCAGATACTACAGAAAGAGTGTTTCAAAGCTGCTGTACGAAAGGAAATGTTCAAATCTGTGACTTGAATGCACACATCACAAAGAAGTTTCTGAGGATGCTGCTGTCTAATTTTTATACGTAATCCCGTTTCCAACGAAATCCTCCAAGCTAACCAAATATCCACTTGCAGATTCCACGGAAAGACTGTTTCAAAACTGCTCTGTCAATAGAAAGGTTCAACTCTGTTAACTGCGTGCATATATCCCAAGGAAGATTCTGAGATTGCTTCTGTCTAGATTTGATATGAAGATATTCCCGTTCCCAACGAAATCTTCAAATCTATCCAAATGTCCACTTGCAGATTCAACAAAAAGTTTTTTTCAGAACTGCTCTATCAAAAGAAAGATCCACCTCGGTTAGCTGAGTTCACACATCACAAAGAAGTTTATGAGAATGCTTCTGTCGAGATTTTATATGAAGATATTCCCGTTTCCAAGGAAATCCTGAAATCTATCCAAATATCCCCTCGCAGATTCTACAAAAAGAGTGTTTCAAAACTGCTCTGTAAAAAGAAAGGTTCAACTCTGTTAGTTGAGTACACACATCACAAACAAGTTTCACAGAATGCTTCTTTCTAGCTTGTAGGGGAAGATATTCCCTTTATCACCATGGGACTCAAACCGTCCGAATCGTCCACTTCCATATACTACAAAAAGACCGTTTCAAACCTGCTCCATGAAAGGCAATGTTCAACTCTGTGACTTGAATGCAGACATCACAGAGCAGTTTCTGAGAATGCTTCTGTCTAGATTTTATAGGAAGATATTCCCGTTTCCAACGAAATCTTCACAGCTATCCAAATATGCACTTGCAGATTCTACAAAAAGAGTGTATCAAAACTGCTCTGTCAAAAGGAAGGTTCTTCTCTGTTAGGTGAGTGCATACGTCATAAAGGAGTTTCTGAGAATGTTTCAGTCTAGTGTTTATGGGAAGATATTTGCTTTTTCCCCGTAGGCCTCAGAGCGCTCCAAATATCCACTTGCACATACTACAAAAAGAGTGCTTCAAAGCTGCTCTCTGAAACGGAATGTTCAACTCTATGAGTTGAATGCAAACATCACAAAGACGTTTCTGAGAATGCTTCTGTCTAGATTTGATATGAAGATATTCCCGTTTCCAAAGAAATCTTCAAATCTATCCAAATGTCCACTTGCAGATTCAAAAAAAAGTGTTTTTCAGAACTGCTCTATCAAAAGAAAGATCCACCTCTGTTAGCTGAGTTCACACATCACAAACAAGTTTATGAGAATGCTTTCTGTCTAGTTTTTATTTGAAGATATTTCCTTTCTCACCATAGACCTGAAAGCTGTCCTAATGTTCACTCCCAGATAATACAGAAAGAGTGTTTCAAAACTGCTGTACGAAAGGGAATGTTCAACTCTGTGACTTGAATGCACACATCACAAAGAAGTTTCTGAGGATGCTGATGTCTACTTTTTATATGTAATCCCGTTTCCAACGAAATCCTCCAATCTATCCAAATATCCACTTGCAGATTCCACAGAAACACTGTTTCAAAACTGCTCTGTCAATAGAAAGGTTAAACTCTGTTAGCTGCGTGCATATATCCCAAAGAAGATTCTGAGATTGCTTCTGTCTAGTTTTTATGGGAAGATATTTCCCTTTTCACCGTAGGCGTCAAGGCGCTCCAAATGTCCACTTCCAGACACTACAAAAAGAGTGTTTCAAACCTACTCTGTGAAAGGGAATATTCAACTCTGTGACTTGAATGCACATATCACAAAGAAGTTTCTGAGAATGCTTCTGTCGAGATTTTATATGAAGATATTCCCGTTTCCAACGAAATGCTGAAATCTATCCAAATATCCCCTCGCAGATTCTACAAAAAGAGTGTTTCAAAACTGCTCTGTGAAAAGAAAGGTTCAACTCTGTTAGTTGAGTACACACATCACAAACAAGTTTCACAGAATGCTTCTTTCTAGCTCGTAGGGGAAGATATTCCCTTTATCACCATGGGCCTCCAACCGTCTGAAACATCCACTTCCATATACTACAAAAAGAGCGTTTCAAACCTGCTCTATGAAAGGCAATGTTCAACTCTGTGACTTGAATGCAGACATCACAGAGCAGTTTCTGAGAATGCTTCTGTCTAGATTTTATAGGAAGATATTCCCGTTTCCAACAAAATCTTCACAGCTATCCAAATATCCACTTGCAGATTCTACAAAAAGAGTGTATCAAACCTGCTCTGTCAAAAGGAAGGTTCTTCTCTGTTAGGTGAGTGCATACGTCATAAAGGAGTTTCTGAGAATGTTTCTGTCTAGTGGTTATGGGAAGATATTTGCTTTTTCACCGTAGGCGTCAGAGCTCTCCAAATATCCACTTGCACATACTACAAAAAGAGTGCTTCAAAGCTGCTCTCTGAAACGGAATGTTCAACTCTATGAGTTGAATGCAAACATCACAAAGACGTTTCTGAGAATGCTTCTGTCTAGATTTGATATGAAGATATTCCCGTTTCCAACGAAATCTTCAAATCTATCCAAATCTCCACTTGCAGATTCAACAAAAAGTGTTTTTCAGAACTGCTCTATCAAAAGAAAGATCCACCTCTGTTAGCTGAGTTCACACATCACAAACAAGTTTATGAGAATGCTTTCTGTCTAGTTTTTATTTGAAGATATTTCCTTTCTCACCATAGACCTGAAAGCTGTCCTAATGTTCACTTCCAGATACTACAGAAAGAGTGTTTCAAAACTGCTGTATGAAAGGGAATGTTCAACTCTGTGACTTGAATGCACACATCACAAGGAAGTTTCTGAGGATGCTGCTGTCTACTTTTTATACGTAATCCCGTTTCCAACGAAATCCTCCAAGCTATCCAAATATCCACTTGCAGATTCCACAGAAAGACTGTTTCAAAACTGCTCTGTCAATAGAAAGGTTCAACTCTATTAGCTGCGTGCATATATCTCAAAGAAGATTCTGAGATTGCTTCTGTCTAGTTTTTATGGGAAGATATTTCACTTTTCACCGTAGGTGTCAAGGCGCTCCAAATGTCCACTTCCAGATACTACAAAAAGAGTGTTTCAAACCTACTCTGTGAAAGGGAATATTCAACTCTGTGACTTGAATGCACATATCACAAAGAAGTTTCTGAGAATGCTTCTGTCGAGATTTTATATGAAGATATTCCCGTTTCCAACGAAATCCTGAAATCTATCCAAATATCCCCTCGCAGATTCTACAAAAAGAGTGTTTCAAAACTGCTCTGTGAAAAGGAAGGTTCAACTCTGTTAGTTGAGTACACACATCACAAACAAGTTTCACGGAATGCTTCTTTCTAGCTTGTAGGGGAAGATATTCCCTTTATAACCATGGGCCTCAAACCGTCCGAAACGTCTACTTCCATATACTACAAAAAGAGCGTTTCAAACCTGCTCTATGAAAGGCAATGTTCAACTCTGTGACTTGAATGCAGACATCACAGAGCAGTTTCTGAGAATGCTTCTGTCTAGATTTTATAGGAAGATATTCCCGTTTCCAACGAAATCTTCACAGCTATCCAAATATCCACTTGCAGATTCTACAAAAAGAGTGTATCAAAACTGCTCTGTCAAAAGGAAGGTTCTTTTCTGTTAGTTGAGTGCATACGTCATAAAGGAGTTTCTGAGAATGTTTCTGTCTAGTGGTTATGGGAAGATATTTGCTTTTTCACCTTAGGCCTCAGAGCGCTCCAAATATCCCCTTGCACATACTATAAAAAGAGTGCTTCAAAGCTGCTCTCTGGAAGGGAATGTTCAACTACTATGAGTTGAATGCAAGCATCACAAAGACGTTTCTGAGAATGCTTCTGTCTAGATTTGATATGAAGATATTCCCGTTTCCAACGAAATCTTCAAATCTATCCAAATGTCCACTTGCAGATTCATCAAAAAGTGTTTTTCAGAACTGCTCTATCAAAAGAAAGATCCACCTCTGTTAGCTGAGTTCACACATCACAAACAAGTTTATGAGAATGCTTCTGTCTAGTTTTTATTTGAAGATATTTCCTTTCTCACCATAGACCTGAAAGCTGTCCTAGTGTTCACTTCCAGTTACTACAGAAAGAGTGTTTCAAAACTGCTGTACGAAAGGGAATGTTCAACTCTGTGACTTGAATGCACACATCACAAAGAAGTTTGCTGAGGATGCTGCTGTCTACTTTTTATACGTAATCCCGATTCCAACGAAATCCTCCAAGCTATCCAAATATCTACTTGCAGATTCCACAGAAAGACTATTTCAAAACTGCTCTGTCAATAGAAAGGTTCAACTCTGTTAGCTGCGTGCATATATCCCAAAGAAGATTCTGAGATTGCTTCTGTCTAGTTTTTATGGGAAGATATTTCCCTTTTCACCGTAGGCGTCAAGGCGCTCCAAATGTCCACTTCCAGATACTACAAAAGGAGTGTTTCAAACCTACTCTCTGAAAGGGAATATTCAACTCTGTGACTTGAATGCACATATCACAAAGAAGTTTCTGAGAATGCTTCTGTCGAGATTTTATATGAAGATATTCCCGTTTCCAACGAAATCCTGAAATCTATCCAAATATCCCCTCGCAGATTCTACAAAAAGAGTGTTTCAAAACTGCTCTGTAAAAAGAAAGGTTCAACTCTGTTAGTTGAGTACACACAGCACAAACAAGTTTCACAGAATGCTTCTTTCTAGCTTGTAGGGGAAGATATTCCCTTTATCACCATGGGCCTCAAACCGTCCGAAACGTCCACTTCCATATACTACAAAAAGAGTGTTTGAAACCTCCTCTATGAAAGGCAATGTTCAACTCTGTGACTTGAATGCAGACATCACAGAGCAGTTTCTGAGAATGCTTCTGTCTAGATTTTATAGGAAGATATTCCCGTTTCCAACGAAATCTTCACAGCTATCCAAATATCCACTTGCAGATTCTACAAAAAGAGTGTATCAAAACTGCTCTGTCAAAAGGAAGGTTCTTCTCTGTTAGATGAGTGCATACGTCATAAAGGAGTTTCTGAGAATGTTTCTGTCTAGTGATTATGGGAAGATATTTGCTTTTTCACCGTAGGCCTCAGAGCGCTCCAAATATCCCCTTGCACATACTACAAAAAGAGTGCTTCAAAGCTGCTCTCTGAAACGGAATGTTCAACTCTATGAGTTGAATGCAAACATCGCAAAGACGTTTCTGAGAATGCTTCTGTCTAGATTTGATATGAAGATATTCCCGTTTCCAACGAAATCTTCAAATCTATCCAAATGTCCACTTGCAGATTCAACAAAAAGTGTTTTTCAGAACTGCACTATCAAAAGAAAGATCCACCTCTGTTAGCTGAGTTCACACATCACAAACAAGTTTATGAGAATGCTTCTGTATAGTTTTTATTTGAAGATATTTCCTTTCTCACCATAGACCTGAAAGCTGTCCTAATGTTCACTTCCAGATACTACAGAAAGAGTGTTTCAAAACTGCTGTACGAAAGGGAATGTTGAACTCTGTGACTTGAATGCACACATCACAAAGAAGTTTCTGAGGATGCTGCTGTCTACTTTTTATACGTAATCCCGTTTCCAACGAAATCCTCCAAGCTATCCAAATATCCACTTGCAGATTCCACAGAAAGACTGTTTCAAAACTGCTCTGTCAATAGAAAGGTTCAACTCTATTAGCTGCGTACATATATCCCAAAGAAGATTGCTGAGATTGCTTCTGTCTAGTTTTTATGGGAAGATATTTCCCTTTTCACCGTAGGTGTCAAGACGCTCCAAATGTCCACTTCCAGATACTACAAAAAGAGTGTTTCAAACCTACTCTGTGAAAGGGAATATTCAACTCTGTGACTTGAATGCAGATATCACAAAGAAGTTTCTGAGAATGCTTCTGTCGAGATTTTATATGAAGATATTCCCGTTTCCAACGAAATCCTGAAATGTATCCAAATATCCCCTTGCAGATTCTACAAAAAGAGTGTTTCAAAACTGCTCTGTAAAAAGAAAGGTTCAACTCTGTTAGTTGAGTACACACATCACAAAGAAGTTTCACACAATGCTTCTTTCTAGCTTGTAGGGGAAGATATTCCCTTTATCACCATGGGCCTCCAACCGTCCGAAACATCCAGTTCCATATTCTACAAAAAGAGCGTTTCAAACCTGCTCTATGAAAGGCAATGTTCAACTCTGTGACTTGAATGCAGACATCACAGAGCAGTTTCTGAGAATGCTTCTGTCTAGATTTTATAGGAAGATATTCCCGTTTCCAACGAAATCTTCACAGCTATCCAAATATCCACTTGCAGATTCTACAAAAAGAGTGTATCAAAGCTGCTCTGTCAAAAGGAAGGTTCTTCTCTGTTAGGTGAGTGCATACGTCATAAAGCAGTTTCTGAGAATGTTTCTGTCTAGTGGTTATGGGAAGATATATGCTTTTTCACCTTAGGCCTCACAGCGATCCAAATATCCACTTGCACATACTACAAAAAGAGTGCTTCAAAGCTGCTCTCTGAAACGGAATGTTCAACTCTATGAGTTGAATGCAAACATCACAAAGACGTTTCTGAGAATGCTTCTGTCTAGATTTGATATGAAGATATTCCCGTTTCCAACGAAATCTTCAAATCTATCCAAATGTCCACTTGCAGATTCAACTAAAAGTGTTTTTCAGAACTGCTCTATCAAAAGAAGTATCCACCTCTGTTAGCTGAGTTCACACATCACAAACAAGTTTATGAGAATGCTTCTGTCTAGTTTTTATTTGAAGATATTTCCTTTCTCACCATAGACCTGAAAGCTGTCCTAATGCTTATCCTAATGCTTACTTCCAGATACTACAGAAAGAGTGTTTCAAAACTGCTGTACGAAACGGGATGTTCAACTCTGTGACTTGAATGCACACATCACAAAGAAGTTTCTGAGGATGGTGCTGTCTACTTTTTATACGTAATCCCGTTTCCAAAGAAATCCTCCAAGCTATCCAAATATCCACTTGCAGATTCCACAGAAAGACTGTTTCAAAACTGCTCTGTCAATAGAAAGGTTCAACTCTGTTAGCTGCGTGCATATATCCCAAAGAAGATTCTGAGATTGCTTCTGTCTAGTTTTTATGGGAAGATATTTCCCTTTTCACCGTAGGCGTCAAGGCGCTCCAATGTCCAATTCCAGATACTATAAAAAGAGTGTTTCAAACCTCCTCTGTGAAAGGGAATATTCAACTCTGTGACTGTAATGCAGATATCACAAAGAAGTTTCTGAGAATGCTTCTGTCGAGATTTTATAAGAAGATATTCCCGTTTCCAACGAAATCCTGAAATCTATCCAAATATCCCCTCGCAGATTCTACAAAAAGAGTGTTTCAAAACTGCTCTTTAAAAAGAAAGGTTCAACTCTGTTAGTTGAGTACACACATCACAAACAAGTTTCACAGAATGCTTCTTTCTAGCTTGTAGGGGAAGATATTCCCTTTATCACCATGGGCCTCAAACCGTCCGATAAGTCCACTTCCATATACTAAAAAAAGAGCGTTTCAAACCTGCTCTATGAAAGGCAATGTTCAACTCTGTGACTTGAATGCAGACATCACAGAGCAGTTTCTGAGAATGCTTCTGTCTAGATTTTATAGGAAGATATTCCCGTTTCCAACGAAATCTTCACAGCTATCCAAATATCCACTTGCAGATTCTACAAAAAGAGTGTATCAAAACTCCTCTGTCAAAAGGAAGGTTCTTCTCTGTTAGGTGAGTGCATACGTCATAAAGGAGTTTCTGAGAATGTTTCTGTCTAGTGGTTATGGGAAGATATTTGCTTTTTCACCGTAGGCCTCAGAGCGCTCCAAATGTCCACTTGCACATACTACAAAAAGAGTGCTTCAAAGCTGCTCTCTGAAAGGGAATGTTCAACTCTATGAGTTGAATGCAAACATCACAAAGACGTTTCTGAGAATGCTTCTGTCTAGTATTTGATATGAAGATATTCCCGTTTCCAACGAAATCTTCAAATCTATCCAAATGTCCACTTGCAGATTCAACAAAAAGTGTTTTTCAGAACTGCTCTATCAAAAGAAAGATCCACCTCTGTTAGCTGAGTTCACACTTCACAAACAAGTTTATCAGAATGCTTCTGTCTAGTTTTTATTTGAAGATATTTCCTTTCTCACCATAGACCTGAAAGCTGTCCTAATGTTCACTTCCAGATACTACAGAAAGAGTGTTTCAAAACTGCTGTACGAAAGGGAATGTTCAACTACTGTGACTTGAATGCACACATCACAAAGAAGTTTGCTGAGGATGCTGCTGTCTACTTTTTATACGTAATCCCGTTACCAACGAAATCCTCCAAGCTATCCAAATATCCACTTGCAGATTCCACAGAAAGACTGTTTCAAAACTGCTCTGTCAATAGAAAGGTTCAACTCTGTTAGCTGCGTGCATATATCCCAAAGAAGATTCTGAGATTGCTTCTGTCTAGTTTTTATCGGAAGATATTTCCCTTTTCACCATAGGTGTCAAGGTGCTCCAAATGTCCACTTCCAGATACTACAAAAAGAGTGTTTCAAACCTACTCTGTGAAAGGGAATATTCAACTCTGTGACTTGAATGCAGATATCACAAAGAAGTTTCTGAGAATGCTTCTGTCGAGATTTTATATGAAGATATTCCCGTTTCCATCGAAATCCTGAAATCTATCCAAATATCCCCTCGCAGATTCTACAAAAAGAGTGTTTCAAAACTGCTCTGTAAAAAGAAAGGTTCAACTCTGTTAGTTGAGTACACACATCACAAACAAGTTTCACAGAATGCTTCTTTCTAGCTTGTAGGGGAAGATATTCCCTTTATCACCATGGGCCTCAAACCGTCCGAAACGTCTACTTACATATACTACAAAAAGAGCGTTTCAAACCTGCTCTATGAAAGGCAATGTTCAACTCTGTGACTTGAATGCAGACATCACAGAGCAGTTTGCTGAGAATGCTTCTGTCTAGATTTTATAGGAAGATATTCCCGTTTCCAACGAAATCTTCCCAGCTATCCAAATATCCACTTGCAGATTCTACAAAAAGAGTGTATCAAAACTGCTCTGTCAAAAGGAAGGTTCTTCTCTGTTAGGTGAGTGCATACGTCATAAAGGAGTTTCTGAGAATGTTTCTGTCTAGTGGTTATGGGAAGATATTTGCTTTTTCACCGTAGGCCTCAGAGCGCTCCAAATATCCACTTGCACATACTACAAAAAGAGTGCCTCAAAGCTGCTCTTTGAAACGGAATGTTCAACTCTATGAGTTGAATGCAAACATCACAAAGACGTTTCTGAGAATGCTTTCTGTCTAGATTTGATATGAAGATATTCCCGTTTCCAACGAAATCTTCATATCTATCCAAATGTCCACTTGCAGATTCAACAAAAAGTGTTTTTCAAAACTGCTCTATCAAAAGAAAGATCCACCTCTGTTAGCTGAGTTCACACATCACAAACAAGTTTATGAGAATGCTTCTGTCTAGTTTTTATTTGAAGATATTTCCTTTCTCACCATAGACCTGAAAGCTGGCCTAATGTTCACTTCCAGATACTACAGAAAGAGTGTTTCAAAACTGCTGTACGAAAGGGAATGTTCAACTCTGTGACTTGAATGCACACATCACAAAGAAGTTTCTGAGGATGCTGCTGTCTATTTTTATACGTAATCCCGTTTCCAACGAAATCCTCCAATTTAACCAAATATCCACTTGCAGATTCCACAGAAAGACTGTTTCAAAACTGCTCTGTCAATAGAAAGGTTCAACTCTGTTAGCTGCGTGCATATGTCCCAAAGAAGATTCTGAGATTTCTTCTGTCTACTTTTTATGAGAAGATATTTCCCTTTTCACCGTAGGCGTCAAGGCGCTCCAAATGTCTACTTCCAGATACTACAAAAAGAGTGTTTCAAACCTACTCAGTGAAAGGGAATATTCAACTCTGTGACTTGAATGCAGATATCACAAAGAAGGTTCTGAGAATGCTTCTGTCGAGATTTTATATGAAGATATTCCCGTTTCCAACAAAATCCTGAAATCTATCCAAATATCCCCTCACAGATTCTACAAAAAGAGTGTTTCAAAACTGCTCTGTAAAAAGAAAGGTTCAACTCTGTTAGTTGAGTACACACATCACAAACAAGTTTCACAGAATGCTTCTTTCTAGCTTGTAGGGGAAGATATTCCCTTTATCACCATGGGCCTCAAACCGTCCGATAAGTCCACTTCCATATACTACAAAAAGAGCGTTTCAAACCTGCTGTATGAAAGGCAATGTTCAACTCTGTGACTTGAATGCAGACATCACAGAGCAGTTTCTGAGAATGCTTCTGTCTAGATTTTATAGGAAGATATTCCCGTTTCCAACGAAATCTTCACAGCTATCCAAATATCCACTTGCAGATTCTACAAAAAGAGTGTATCAAAACTACTCTGTCAAAAGGAAGGTTCTTTTCTGTTAGGTGAGTGCATACGTCATAAAGGAGTTTCTGAGAATGTTTCTGTCTAGTGGTTATGGGAAGATATTTGCTTTTTCACCTTAGGCCTCAGAGCGATCCAAATATCCACTTGCACATACTACAAAAAGAGTGCTTCAAAGCTGCTCTCTGAAAGTGAATGTTCAACTCCTTGAGTTGAATGCAAACATCACAAAGACGTTTCCGAGAATGCTTCTGTCTAGATTTGATATGAAGATATTCCCGTTTCCAACGAAATCTTCAAATCTATCCAAATGTCCACTTGCAGATTCAACAAAAAGTGTTTTTCAGAACTGCTCTATCAAAAGAAAGATCCACCTCTCTTAGCTGAGTTGACACATCACAAACAAGTTTATGAGAATGCTTCTGTCTAGTTTTCATTTGATGATATTTCCTTTCTCACCATAGACCTGAAAGCTGTCCTAATGTTCACTTCCAGATACTACAGAAAGAGTGTTTCAAAACTGCTGTACGAAAGGGAATGTTCAACTCTGTGACTTGAATGCACACATCACAAAGAAGTTTCTGAGGATGCTGCAGTCTACTTTTTATACGTAATCCCGTTTCCAAAGAAAACCTCCAAGCTATCCAAATATCCACTTGCAGATTCCACAGAAAGACTGTTTCAAAACTGCTCTGTCAATAGAAAGGTTCAACTCTGTTAGCTGCGTGCATATATCCCAAAGAAGATTCTGAGATTGCTTCTGTCTAGTTTTTATGGGAAGATATTTCCCTTTTCACCGTAGGCGTCAAGGCGCTCCAAATGTCCACTTCCAGATACTACAAAAAGAGTGTTCCAATCCTACTCTGTGAAAGGGAATATTCAACTCTGTGACTTGAATGCAGATATCACAAAGAAGTTTCTGAGAATGCTTCTGTCGAGATTTTATATGAAGATATTCCCGTTTCCAACGAAATCCTGAAATCTATCCAAATATCCGCTCGCAGATTCTACAAAAAGAGTGTTTCAAAACTGCTCTGTAAAAAGAAAGGTTCAACTCTGTTAGTTGAGTACACACATCACAAACAAGTTTCACACAATGCTTCTTTCTAGCTTGTAGGGGAAGATATTCCCTTTATCACCATGGGCCTCAAACCGTCCGAAACGTCCACTTCCATATACAACAAAAAGAGCGTTTCAAACCTGCTCTATGAAAGGCAATGTTCAACTCTGTGACTTGAATGCAGACATCACAGAGCAGTTTCTGAGAATGCTTCTGTCTAGATTTTATAGGAAGATATTCCCGTTTCCAACGAAATCTTCACAGCTATCCAAATATCCACTTGCAGATTCTACAAAAAGAGGGTATCAAAACTGCTCTGTCAAAAGGAAGGTTCTTCTCTGTTAGTTGAGTACATACGTCATAAAGGAGTTTCTGAGAATGTTTCTGTCTAGTGGTTATGGGAAGATATTTGCTTTTTCACCTTAGGCCTCAGAGCGCTCAAAATATCCCCTTGCACATACTACAAAAAGAGTGCTTCAAAGCTGCTCTCTGAAACGGAATGTTCAACTCTATGAGTTGAATGCAAACATCACAAAGACGTTTCTGAGAATGCTTCTGTCTAGATTTGATATGAAGATATTCCCGTTTCCAACGGAAATCTTCAAATCTATCCAAATGTCCACTTGCAGATTCAACAAAAAGTGTTTTTCAAAACTGCTGTATCAAAAGAAAGATCCACGTCTGTTAGCTGAGTTCACACATCACAAACAAGTTTATGAGAATGCTTCTGTTTAGTTTTTATTTGAAGATATTTCCTTTCTCACCATCGACCTGAAAGCTGTCCTAATGTTCACTTCCAGATACTACAGAAAGAGTGTTTCAAAACTGCTGTACGAAAGGGAATGTTCAACTCTGTGACTTGAATGCACACATCACAAAGAAGTTTCTGAGGATGCGGCTGTCTACTTTTTATACGTAATCCCGTTTCCAACGAAATCCTCCAACTATCAAAATATCCACTTGCAGATTCCACAGAAAGACTGTTTCAAAACTGCTCGGTCAATAGAAAGGTTCAACTCTGTTAGCTGCGTGCATATATCCCAAAGAAGATTCTGAGATTGCTTCTGTCTAGTTTTTATGGGAAGATATTTCCCTTTTCACCGTAGGTGTCAAGTCGCTCCAAATGTCCACTTCCAGATACTACAAAAAGAGTGTTTCATACCTACTCTGAGAAAGGGAATATTCAACTCTGTGACTTGAAGGCAGATATCACAAAGAAGTTTCTGAGAATGCTTCTGTCGAGATTTTGTATGAAGATATTCCCGTTTCCAACGAAATCCTGAAATCTATCCAAATATCCCCTCGCAGATTCTACAAAAAGAGTGTTTCAAAACTGCTCTGTAAAAAGAAAGGTTCAACTCTGTTACTTGAGTACACACATCACAAACAAGTTTCACAGAATGCTTCTTTCTAGCTTGTAGGGGAAGATATTCCCTTTATCACCATGGGCCTCAAACCGTCCGAAATGTCCACTTCCATATACTACAAAAAGAGCGTTTCAAACCTGCTCTATGAAAGGCAATGTTCAACTCTGTGACTTGAATGCAGACATCACAGAGCAGTTTCTGAGAATGCTTCTGTCTAGATTTTATAGGAAGATATTCCCGTTTCCAACGAAATCTTCACAGCTATCCAAATATCCACTTGCAGATTCTACAAAAAGAGTGTATCAAAATTGCTCTGTCAAAAGGAAGGTTCTTCTCTGTTAGGTGAGTGCATACGTCATAAAGGAGTTTCTGAGAATGTTTCTGTCTAGTGGTTATGGGAAGATATTTGCTTTTTCACCTTAGGCCTCACAGCGATCCAAATATCCATTTGCACATACTACAAAAAGAGTGCTTCAAAGCTGCTCTCTGAAACGGAATGTTCAACTCTATGAGTTGAATGCAAACATCACAAGACGTTTCTGAGGATGCTTCTGTCTAGATTTGATATGAAGATATTCCCGTTTCCAACGAAATCTTGAAATCTAT
The DNA here is from genome assembly GCF_000001405.40 of Homo sapiens. Taxonomy (NCBI): domain Eukaryota; kingdom Metazoa; phylum Chordata; class Mammalia; order Primates; family Hominidae; genus Homo; species Homo sapiens. Next base: position 17,124,125 of record NC_000014.9, on the reverse strand, counting down.
CCAAATGTCCACTTGCAGATTCAACAAAGTGTTTTTCAGAACTGCTCTATCAAAAGAAAGATCCACGTGTGTTAGCTGAGTTCACACATCACAAACAAGTTGATGAGAATTCTTCTGTCTAGTTTTTATTTGAATATATTTCCTTTCTCACCATAGACCTGAAAGCTGTCCTAATGTTCACTTCCAGATACTACAGAAAGAGTGTTTCAAAACTGCTGTACGAAAGGGAATGTTCAACTCTGTGACTTGAATGCACACATCACAGAGAAGTTTCTGAGGAGGCTGCTGTCTACTTTTTATACTTAATCCCGTTTCCAACGAAATCCTCCAAGCTATCCAAATATCCCACTTGCAGATTCCACAGAAAGACTGTTTCAAAACTGCTCTGTCAATAGAAAGGTTCAACTCTGTTAGCTGCGTGCATATATCCCAAAGAAGATTCTGAGATTGCTTCTGTCTAGTTTTTATGGGAAGATATTTCCCTTTTCACCGTAGGCGTCAAGGCGCTCCAAATGTCCACTTCCAGATACTACAAAAAGAGTGTTTCAAACCTACTCGGTGAAAGGGAATATTCAACTCTGTGACTTGAATGCACATATCACAAAGAAGCTTCTGAGAATGCTTCTGTCGAGATTTTATATTAAGATATTCCCGTTTCCAACAAAATCCTGAAATCTATCCAAATATCCCCTCGCAGATTCTACAAGAAGAGTGTTTCAAAACTGCTCTGTAAAAAGAAAGGTTCAACTCTGTTAGTTGAGTACACACATCACAAACAAGTTTCACAGAATGCTTCTTTCTAGCTTGTAGGGGAAGATATTCCCTTTATCACCATGGGCCTCAAACCGTCCGAAACGTCCTCTTCCATATAGTACAAAAAGAGCGTTTCAAAACTGCTCTATGAAAGGCAATGTTCAACTCTGTGACTTGAATGCAGACATCACAGAGCAGTTTCTGAGAATGCTTCTGTTTAGATTTTATAGGAAGATATTCCCGTTTCCAATGAAATCTTCACAGCTATCCAAATATCCACTTGCAGATTCTACAAAAAGAGTGTATCAAAACTGCTCTGTCAAAAGGAAGGTTCTTCTCTGTTAGGTGAGTGCATACGTCATAAAGGAGTTTCTGAGAATGTTTCTGTCTAGTGGTTATGGGAAGATATTTGCTTTTTCACCGTAGGCCTCAGAGCGCTCCAAATATCCACTTGCACATACTACAAAAAGATTGCCTCAAAGCTGCTCTCTGAAACGGAATGTTCAACTCTATGAGTTGAATGCAAACATCGCAAAGACGTTTCTGAGAATGCTTCTGTCTAGATTTGATATGAAGATATTCCCGTTACCAACGAAATATTCAAATCTATCCAAATGTCCACTTGCAGATTCAACAAAAAGTGTTTTTCAGAACTGCTCTATCAAAAGAAAGATCCACCTCTGTTAGCTGAGTTCACACATCACAAACAAGTTTATGAGAATGCTTCTGTCTAGTTTTTATTTGAAGATATTTCCTTTCTCACCATAGACCTGAAAGCTGTCCTAATGTTCACTTCCAGATACTACATAAAGAGTGTTTCAACACTGCTGTACGAAAGGGAATGTTCAACTCTGTGACTTGAATGCACACATCACAAAGAAGTTTCTGAGGATGCTCTGTCTACTTTTTATACTTAATCCCGTTTCCAACGAAATCCTCCAAGCTATCCAAATATCCACTTGCAGATTCCACAGAAAGACTGTTTCAAAACTGCTCTGTCAATAGAAAGGTTCAACTCTGTTAGCTGCGTGCATATATCCCAAAGAAGATTCTGAGATTGCTTTCTGTCTAGTTTTTATGGGAAGATATTTCCCTTTTCACCGTAGGTGTCAAGGCGCTCCAAATGTCCACTTCCAGATACTACAAAAAGAGTGTTTCAAACCTACTCTGTGAAAGGGAATATTCAACTCTGTGACTTGAATGCACATATCACAAAGAAGTTTCTGAGAATGCTTCTGTCGAGATTTTATATAAAGATATTCCCGTTTCCAACGAAATCCTGAAATCTATCCAAATATCCCCTCGCAGATTCTACAAAAAGAGTGTTTCAAAACTGCTCTGTAAAAAGAAAGGTTCAACTCTGTTAGTTGAGTACACACATCACAAACAAGTTTCACAGAATGCTTCTTTCTAGCTTGTAGGGGAAGATATTCCCTTTATGACCATGGGCCTCAAACCGTCCGAAACGTCCACTTTTATATACTACAAAAAGAGCGTTTCAAACCTGCTCTATGAAAGGCAATGTTCAACTCTGTGACTTGAATGCAGACATCACAGAGCAGTTTCTGAGAATGCTTCTGTCTAGATTTTATAGGAAGATATTCCCGTTTCCAACGAAATCTTCACAGCTATCCAAATATCCACTTGGAGATTCTACAAAAAGAGTGTATCAAAACTGCTCTGTCAAAAAGAAGGTTCTTCTCTGTTAGTTGAGTACATACGTCATAAAGGAGTTTCTGAGAATGTTTCTGTCTAGTGGTTATGGGAAGATATTTGCTTTTTCCCCGTAGGCCACAGAGCGCTCCAAATATCCACTTGCACATACTACAAAAAGAGTGCTTCAAAGCTGCTCTCTGAAAGGGAATGTTCAACTCCATGAGTTGAATGCAAACATCACAAAGACGTTTCTGAGAATGTTTCTGTCTAGATTTGATATGAAGATATTCCCGTTTCCAACGAAATCTTCAAATCTATCCAAATGTCCACTTGCAGATTCAACAAAAAGTGTTATTCAGAACTGCTCTATCAAAAGAAAGATCCACCTCTGTTAGCTGAGTTCACACATCACAAACAAGTTTATGAGAATGCTTCTGTCTAGTTTTTATTTGAAGATATTTCCTTTCTCACCATGGAGCTGAAAGCTGTCCTAATGTTCACTTCCAGATACTACAGAAAGAGTGTTTCAAAACTGCTGTACGAAAGGGAATGTTCAACTCTGTGACTTGAATGCACACATCACAAAGAAGTTTCTGAGGATGCTGCTGTCTACTTTTTATACGTAATCCCGTTTCCAACGAAATCCTCCAAGCTATCCAAATATCTACTTGCAGATTCCACAGAAAGACTATTTCAAAACTGCTCTGTCAATAGAAAGGTTCAACTCTGTTAGCTGCGTGCATATATCCCAAAGAAGATTCTGAGATTGCTTCTGTCTAGTTTTTATGGGAAGATATTTCCCTTTTCACCGTAGGCGTCAAGGCGCTCCAAATGTCCACTTCCAGATATTACAAAAAGAGTGTTTCAAACCTACTCTGTGAAAGGGAATATTCAACTCTGTGACTTGAATGCACATATCACAAACAAGTTTCTGAGAATGCTTCTGTCGAGATTTTATATGAAGATATTCCCGTGTCCAACGAAATCCTGAAATCTATCCAAATATCCCCTTGCAGATTCTACAAAAAGAGTGTTTCAAAACTGCTCTGTAAAAAGAAAGGTTCAACTCTGTTAGTTGAGTACACACATCACAAACAAGTTTCACACAATGCTTCTTTCTAGCTTGTAGGGGAAGATATTTCCTTTATCACCATGGGCCTCAAACCGTCCGAAACGTCCACTTCCATATACTAAAAAAAGAGTGTTTGAAACCTGCTCTATGAAAGGCAATGTTCAACTCTGTGACTTGAATGCAGACATCACAGAGCAGTTTCTGAGAATGCTTCTGTCCAGACTTTATAGGAAGATATTCCCGATTCCAAAGAAATCTTCACAGCTATCCAAATATCCACTTGCAGATACTACAAAAAGAGTGTATCAAAAAAGCTCTGTCAAAAGGAAAGTTCTTTTCTGCTAGTTGAGTACATACGTCATAAAGAAGTTTCTGAGAATGTTTCTGTCTAGTGGTTATGGGAAGATATTTGCTTTTTCACCGTAGGCCTCAGAGCGCTCCAAATATCCCCTTGCACATACTACAAAAAGAGTGCTTCAAAGCTGCTCTCTGAAAGGGAATGTTCAAATACTGTGAGTTGAATGCAAACATCACAAAGACGTTTCTGAGAATGCTTTCCTGTCTAGATTTGATATGAAGATATTCCCGTTTCCAACGAAATCTTCAAATCTATCCAAATGTCCACTTGCAGATTCAACAAAAAGTGTTTTTCAGAACTGCTCTATCAAAAGAAAGATCCACCTCTGTTAGCTGAGTTCACACATCACAAACAAGTTTATGAGAATGCTTCTGTCTACTTTTTATTTGAAGATATTTCCTTTCTCACCATAGACCTGAAATCTGTCCTAATGTTCACTTCCAGATACTACAGAAAGAGTGTTTCAAAACTGCTGTACGAAAGGGAATGTTCAACTCTGGGACTTGAATGCATACATCACAAAGAAGTTTCTGAGGATGCTGCTGTCTACTTTTTATACGTAATCCCGTTTCCAAAGAAATCCTCCAAGCTATCCAAATATCCACTTGCAGATTCCACAGAAAGACTGTTTCAAAACTGCTCTGTCAATAGAAAGGTTCAACTCTGTTAGCTGCGTGCATATATCCCAAAGAAGATTCTGAGATTGCTTCTGTCTAGTTTTTATGGGAAGATATTTCCCTTTTCACTTTAGGTGTCAAGGCGCTCCAAATGTCCACTTACAGATACTACAAAAAGAGTGTTTCAAACCTACCCTGTGAAAGGGAATATTCAACTCTGTGACTTGAATGCAGATATCACAATGAAGTTTCTGAGAATGCTTCTGTCGAGATTTTATATGAAGATATTCCCGTTTCCAACGAAATCCTGAAATCTATACAAATATCCCCTCGCAGATTCTACAAAAAGAGTGTTTCAAAACTGCTCTGTAAAAAGAAAGGTTCAACTCTGTTACTTGAGTACACACATCACAAACAAGTTTCACAGAATGCTTCTTTCTAGCTTGTAGGGGAAGATATTCCCTTTATCACCATCGGCCTCAAACCGTCTGAAACGTCCACTTCCATATACTACAAAAAGAACATTTCAAACCTGCTCTATGAAAGGCAATGTTCAACTCTGTGACTTGAATGCAGACATCACAGAGCAGTTTCTGAGAATGCTTCTGTCTAGATTTTATAGGAAGATATTCCCGTTTCCAACGAAATCTTCACAGCTATCCAAATATCCACTTGCAGATTCTACAAAAAGAGTGTATCAAAACTGCTCTGTCAAAAGGAAGGTTCTTTTCCGTTAGGTGAGTGCATACATCATAAAGGAGTTTCTGAGAATGTTTCTGTCTAGTGGTTATGGGAAGATATCTGCTTTTTCCCCGTAGGCCTCAGGGCGCTCCAAATGTCCACTTGCACATGCTACAAAAAGAGTGCTTCAAAGCTGCTCTCTGAAAGGGAATGTTCAACTCTATGAGTTGAATGCAAACATCACAAAGACGTTTCTGAGAATGCTTCTGTCTAGATTTGATATGAATATATTCCCGTTTCCAACGAAATCTTCATATCTATCCAAATGTCCACTTGCAGATTCAACAAAATGTGTTTTTCAAAACTGCTGTATCAAAAGAAAGATCCACGTCTGTTAGCTGAGTTCACACATCACAAACAAGTTTATGAGAATGCTTCTGTCTAGTTTTTATTTGAAGATATTTCCTTTCTCACCATAGACCTGAAAGCTGTCCTAATGTTCACTTCCAGATACTACAGAAACAGTGTTTCAAAACTGCTCTATGAAAGGGAATGTTCAACTCTGTGACTTGAATGCACACATCACAAAGAAGTTTCTGAGGATGCTGCTGTCTACTTTTTGTACGTAATCCCGTTTCCAACGAAATCCTCCAAGCTATCCAAATATCCACTTGCAGATTCCACAGAAAGACTGTTTCAAAACTGCTCTGTCAATAGAAAGGTTCAACTCTGTTAGCTGCGTGCATATATCCCAGAGAAGATTCTGAGATTGCTTCTGTCTAGTTTTTATGGGAAGATATTTCCCTTTTCACCGTAGGTGTCAAGGCGCTCCAAATGTCCACTTCCAGATACTACAAAAAGAGTGTTTCAAACCTACTCTGTGAAAGGGAATATTCAACTCTCTGACTTGAATGCAGATATCACAAAGAAGTTTCTGAGAATGCTTCTGTCGAGTATTTTATATGAAGATATTCCCGTTTCCAAAGAAATCCTGAAATCTATCCAAATATCCCCTCGCAGATTCTACAAAAAGAGTGTTTCAAAACTGCTCTGTAAAAAGAAAGGTTCAACTCTGTTAGTTGAGTACACACATCACAAACAAGTTTCACAGAATGCTTCTTTCTTGCTTCTAGGGGAAGATATTTCCTTTATCACCATGGGCCTCAAACCGTCCGAAACGTCCACTTCCATATAGTAAAAAAAGAGTGTTTTAAACCTGCTCTATGAAAGGCAATGTTCAACTCTGTGACCTGAATGCAGACATCACAGAGCAGTTTCTGAGAATGCTTCTGTCCAGACTTTATAGGAAGATATTCCCGATTCCAACGAAATCTTCACAGCTAATCAAATATCCACATGCAGATACTACAAAAAGAGTGTATCCAAAAAGCTGTGTCAAAAGGAAAGTTCTTCTCTGCTAGTTGAGTACATACGTCATAAAGAAGTTTCTGAGAATGTTTCTGTCTAGTGGTTATGGGAAGATATTTGATTTTTCACCTTAGGCCTCAGAGCGCTCCAAATATCCCCTTGCACATACTACAAAAAGAGTGCTTCAAAGCTGCTCTCTGAAAGGGAATGTTCAACTCTATGGGTTGAATGCAAACATCACAAAGACGTTTCTGAGAATGCTTCTGTCTAGATTTGATATGAAGATATTCCCGTTTCCAACGAAATCTTCAAAACTATCCAAATGTCCACTTGCAGATTCAACAAAAAGTGTTTTTCAGAACTGCTCTATCAAAAGATAGATCCACCTCTGTTAGCTGAGTTCATACATCACAAACAAGTTTATGAGAATGCTTCTGTCTAGTTTTTATTTGAAGATATTTCCTTTCTCACCATAGACCTGAAAGCTGTCCTAATGTTCACTTCCAGATACTACAGAAAGAGTGTTTCAATACTGCTGTACGAAAGGGAATGTTCAACTCTGTGACTTGAATGCACACATCACAAAGAAGTTTCTGAGGATGCTGCTGTCTACTTTTTATACGTAATCCCTTTTCCAACGAAATCCTCCAAGCTATCCAAATATCCACTTGCAGATTCCACAGAAAGACTGTTTCAAAACTGCTCTGTCAATAGAAAGGTTCAACTCTGTTAGCTGCGTGCATATATCCCAAAGAAGATTCTGAGATTGCTTCTGTCTAGTTTTTATGGGAAGATATTTCCCTTTTCACCGTAGGTGTCAAGGCGCTCCAAATGTCCACTTCCAGATACTACAAAAAGAGTGTTTCAAACCTACTGTGTGAAAGGGAATATTCAACTCTGTGACTTGAAGGCAGATATCACAAAGAAGTTTCTGAGAATGCTTCTGTCGAGATTTTATATGAAGATATTCCCGTTTCCAACGAAATCCTGAAATGTATCCAAATATCCCCTCGCAGATTCTACAAAAAGAGTGTTTCAAAACTGCTCTGTAAAAAGAAAGGTTCAACTCTGTTAGTTGAGTACACACATCACAAACAAGTTTCACACAATGCTTCTTTCTAGCTTGTAGGGGATGATATTCCCTTCATCACCATGGGCCTCAAAACGTCCGAAACGTCCACTTCCATATACTACAAAAAGAGCGTTTCAAACCTGCTCTAGTTAAGGCAATGTTCAACTCTGTGACTTGAATGCAGACATCACAGAGCAGTTCCTGAGAATGCTTCTGTCTAGATTTATAGGAAGATATTCCCGTTTCCAACGAAATCTTCACAGCTATCCAAATATCCACTTGCAGATTCTACAAAAAGAGTGTATCAAAACTGCTCTGTCAAAAGGAAGGTTCTTTTCTGTTAGGTGAGTGCATACGTCATAAAGGAGTTTCTGAGAATGTTTCTGTCTAGTGGTTATGGGAAGATATTTGCTTTTTCCCCGTAGGCCTCAAAGCGCTCCAAATATCCACTTGCACATACTACAAAAAGAGTGTTTCAAAGCTGCTCTCTGAAAGGGAATGTTCAACTCTATGAGTTGAATGCAAACATGACAAAGACGTTTCTGACAATGCTTCTGTCTAGATTTGATATGAAGATATTCCCGTTTCCAACGAAATCTTCAAATCTATCCAAATGTCCACTTGCAGATTCAACAAAAAGTGTTTTTCAGAACTGCTCTATCAAAAGAAAGATCCACCTCTGTTAGCTGAGTTCACACATCACAAACAAGTTTATGAGAATGCGTCTGTCTAGTTTTTATTTGAAGATGTTTCCTTTCTCACCATAGACTTGAAAGCTGTCCTAATGTTCACTTCCAGATACTACAGAAAGAGTGTTTCAAAACTGCTGTACGAAAGGGAATGTTCAACTCTGTGACTTGAATGCACACATCACAAAGAAGTTTCTGAGGATGCTGCTGTCTACTTTTTATACATAATCCCGTTTCCAACGAAATCCTCCAAGCTATCCAAATATCCACTTGCAGATTCCACAGAAAGACTGTTTCAAAACTGCTCTGTCAATAGAAAGGTTCAACTCTGTTAGCTGCGTGCATATATCCCAAAGAAGATTCTGAGATTGCTTCTGTCTAGTTTTGATGGGAAGATACTTCCCTTTTCACCGTAGGTGTCAAGGCGCTCCAAATGTCCACTTCCAGATACTACAAAAAGAGTGTTTCAAACCTACTCTGTGAAAGGGAATATTCAACTCTGTGACTTGAATGCACATATCACAAAGAAGTTTCTGAGAATGCTTTCTGTCGAGATTTTATATGAAGATATTCCCGTTTCCAACGAAATCCTGAAATGTATCCAAATATCCCCGCGCAGATTCTACAAAAAGAGTGTTTCAAAACTACTCTGTAAAAAGAAAGGTTCAACTCTGTTAGTTGAGTACACACATCACAAACAAGTTTCACACAATGCTTCTTTCTAGCTTGTAGGGGAAGATATTTCCTTTATCACCATGGGCCTCAAACCGTGTGAAACGTCAACTTCCATATACTACAAAAAGAGCGTTTCAAACCTGCTCTATGAAAGGCAATGTTCAACTCTGTGACTTGAATGCAGACATCACAGAGCAGTTTCTGAGAATGCTTTTCTTTAGATTTTATAGGAAGATATTCCCGTTTCCAACGAATTCTTCACAGCTATCCAAATATCCAGTTGCAGATTCTACAAAAAGAGTGTATCAAAACTGCTCTGTCAAAAGGAAGGTTCTTCTCTGTTAGTTGAGTACATACGTCATAAAGAAGTTTCTGAGAATGTTTCTGTCTAGTGGTTATGGGAAGATATTTGCTTTTTCACCGTAGGCCTCAGAGCGCTCCAAATATCCACTTGCACATACTACAAAAAGAGTGCCTCAAAGCTGCTCTCTGAATCGGAATGTTCAACTCTATGAGTTGAATGCAAACATTACAACGACGTTTCTGAGAATGCTTCTGTCTAGATTTGATATGAAGATATTCCCGTTTCCAACGAAATCTTAAAATCTATCCAAATGTCCACTTGCAGATTCAACAAAAAGTGTTTTTCAGAACTGCTCTATCAAAAGAAAGATCCACCTCTGTAAGCTGAGTTCACACATCACAAACAAGTTTATGAGAATGCTTCTGTCTAGTTTTTATTTGAAGATATTTCCTTTCTCACCACAGACCTGAAAGCTGTCCTAATGTTCACTTGCAGATACTACAGAAAGAGTGTTTCAAAACTGCTGTACGAAAGGGAATGTTCAACTTCTGTGACTTGAATGCACACATCACAAAGAAGTTTCTGAGGATGCTGCTGTCTACTTTTTATACGTAATCCCGTTTCCAACGAAATCCTCCAAGCTATCCAAATATCCACTTGCAGATTCCACAGAAAGACTGTTTCAAAACTGCTCTGGCAATAGAAAGGTTCAACTCTGTTAGCTGCGTGCATATATCCCAAAGAAGATTCTGAGATTGCTTCTGTCTAGTTTTTATGGGAAGATATTTCCCTTTTCACCGTAGGTGTCAAGACGCTCCAAATGTCCACTTCCAGATACTACAAAAAGAGTGTTTCAAACCTACTCTGTGAAAGGGAATATTCAACTCTGTGACTTGAATGCACATATCACAAGGAAGTTTCTGAGAATGCTTCTGTCGAGATTTTATATGAAGATATTCCCGTTTCCAACAAAATCCTGAAATCTATCCAAATATCCCCTCGCAGATTCTACAAAAAGAGTGTTTCAAAACTGCTATGTAAAAAGAAAGGTTCAACTCTGTTAGTTGAGTACACACATCACAAACAAGTTTCACAGAATGCTTCTTTCTAGCTTGTAGGGGAAGATATTCCCTTTATCACCATGGGCCTCAAACCGTCCGAAACGTCCACTTCCATATACTACAAAAAGAGCGTTTCAAACCTGCTCTACGAAAGGCAATGTTCAACTCTGTGACTTGAATGCAGACATCACAGAGCAGTTTCTGAGAATGCTTCTGTCTAGATTTTATAGGAAGATATTCCCGTTTCCAACGAAATCTTCACAGCTATCCAAATATCCACTTGCAGATTCTACAAAAAGAGTGTATCAAAACTGCTCAGTCAAAAGGAAGGTTCTTCTCTGTTAGGTGAGTGCATACGTCATAAAGGAGTTTCTGAGAATGTTTCTGTCTAGTGGTTATGGGAAGATATTTGCTTTTTCACCTTAGGCCTCAGAGCGCTCAAAATATCCCCTTGCACATACTACAGAAAGAGTGCTTCAAAGCTGCTCTCTGAAACGGAATGTTCAACTCTATGGGTTGAATGCAAACATCACAAAGACGTTTCTGAGAATGCTTCTGTCTAGATTTGATATGAAGATATTCCCGTTTCCAACGAAATCTTCAAATCTATCCAAATGTCCACTTGCAGATTCAACAAAAAGTGTTTTTCAAAACTGCTATATCAAAAGAAAGATCCACGTCTGTTAGCTGAGTTCACACATCACAAACAAGTTTATGAGAATGCTTCTGTCTAGTTTTTATGTGAAGATATTTCCTTTCTCACGATAGACCTGAAAGCTGTCCTAATGTTCACTTCCAGATACTACAGAAAGAGTGTTTCAAAACTGCTGTACGAAAGGGAATGTTCAACTCTGTGTCTTGAATGCACACATCACAAGGAAGTTTCTGAGGATGCTGCTAATTTTTATACGTAATCCCGTTACCAACGAAATCCTCCAAGCTATCTAAATATCCACTTGCAGATTCCACAGAAAGACTGTTTGAAAACTGCTCTGTCAATAGAAAGGTTCAACTCTGTTAGCTGCGTGCATATATCCCAAAGAAGATTCTGAGATTGCTTCTGTCTAGTTTTTATGGGAAGATATTTCCCTTTTCACCGTAGGCGTCAAGGCGCTCCAAATGTCCACTTCCAGATAGTACAAAAAGAGTGTTTCAAACTTACTCTATGAAAGGGAATATTCAACTCTGTGACTAGAATGCACATATCACAAAGAAGTTTCTGAGAATGCATCTGTCGAGATTTTATTTGAAGATATTCCCGTTTCCAACGAAATCCTGAAATCTATCCAAATATCCCCTCGCAGATTCTACAAAAAGAGTGTTTCAAAACTGCTCTGTAAAAAGAAAGGTTCAACTCTGTTAGTTGAGTACACACATCACAAACAAGTTTCACAGAATGCTTCTTTCTAGCTTGTAGGGGAAGATATTCCCTTTATCACCATGGGCCTCAAACCGTCCGAAACGTCAACTTCCATATACTACAAAAAGAGCGTTTCAAACCTGCTCTATGAAAGGCAATGTTCAACTCTGTGACTTGAATGCAGACATCACAGAGCAGTTTCTGAGAATGCTTCTGTCTAGATTTTATAGGAAGATATTCCCGTTTCCAACGAAATCTTCACAGCTATCCAAATATCCACTTGCAGATTCTATAAAAAGAGTGTATCAAATCTGCTCTGTCAAAAGGAAGGTTCTTCTCTGTTAGGTGAGTGCATACGTCATAAAGGAGTTTCTGAGAATGTTTCTGTCTAGTGGTTATGCGAAGATATTTGCTTTTTCACCGTAGGCCTCAGAGCGCTCCAAATATCCCCTTGCACATACTACAAAAAGAGTGCTTCAAAGCTGCTCTCTGAAAGGGAATGTTCAACTATATGAGTTGAATGCAAACATCACAAAGACGTTTCTGGGAATGATTCTGTCTAGATTTGATATGAAGATATTCCCGTTTCCAATGAAATCTTCAAATCTATCCGAATGTCCACTTGCAGATTCAACAAAAAGTGTTTTTCAGAACTGCTCTATCAAAAGAAAGATCCACCTCTGTTAGCTGAGTTCACACATCACCAAACAAGTTTATGAGAATGCTTCTGTCTAGTTTTTATTTGAAGATATTTCCTTTCTCACCATAGACCTGAAAGCTGTCCTAATGTTCACTCCCAGATACTACAGAAAGAGTGTTTCAAAACTGCTGTACGAAAGGGAATGTTCAACCCTGTGACTTGAATGCACACATCACAAAGAAGTTTCTGAGGATGCTGCTGTCTACTTTTTATACGTAATCCCGTTTCCAACGAAATCCTCCAATCTATCCAAATATCCACTTGCAGATTCCACAGAAAGACTGTTTCAAAACTGCTCTGTCAATAGAAAGGTTCAACTCTGTTAGCTGCGTGCATATATCCCAAAGAAGATTCTGAGATTGCTTCTGTCTAGTTTTTATGGGAAGATATTTCCCTTTTCACCGTAGGCGTCAAGGCGCTCCAAATGTCCACTTCCAGATACTACTAAAAGAGTGTTTCAAACCTACTCTGTGAAAGGGAATATTCAACTCTGTGACTTGAATGCACATATCACAAAGAATTTTCTGAGAATGCTTCTGTCGAGATTTTATATGAAGATATTCCGGTTTCCAACGAAATCCTGAAATCTATCCAAATATCCCCTCGCAGATTCTACAGAAAGAGTGTTTCAAAACTGCTCTGTAAAAAGAAAGGTTCAACTCTGTTAGTTGAGTACACACATCACAAACAAGTTTCACAGAATGCTTCTTTCTAGCTTGTAGGGGAAGATATTCCCTTTATCACCATGGGCCTCCAACCGTCCGAAACATCCACTTCCATATACTACAAAAAGAGCGTTTCAAACCGGCTCTATGAAAGGCAATGTTCAACTCTGTGACTTGAATGCAGACATCACAGAGCAGTTTCTGAGAATGCTTCTGTCTAGATTTTATAGGAAGATATTCCCGTTTCCAACGAAATCTTCACAGCTATCCAAATATCCACTTGCAGATTCTACAAAAAGAGTGTATCAAAACTGCTCAGTCAAAAGGAAGGTTCTTCTCTGTTAGGTGAGTGCATACGTCATAAAGGGGTTTCTGAGAATGTTTCTGTCTAGTGGTTATGGGAAGATATTTGCTTTTTCACCTTAGGCCTCAGAGCGCTCAAAATATCCCCTTGCACATACTACAAAAAGAGTGCTTCAAAGCTGCTCTCTGAAACGGAATGTTCAACTCTATGGGTTGAATGCAAACATCACAAAGACGTTTCTGAGAATGCTTCTGTCTAGATTTGATATGAAGATATTCCCGTTTCCAACGAAATCTTCAAATCTATCCAAATGTCCACATGCAGACTCAACAAAAAGTGTTTTTCAAAACTGCTGTATCAAAAGAAAGATCCACGTCTGTTAGCTGAGTTCACACATCACAAACAAATTTATGAGAATGCTTCTGTCTAGTTTTTATTTGAAGTTATTTCCTTTCTCACCATAGACCTGAAAGCTGTCCTAATGTTCACTTCCAGATACTACAGAAAGAGTGTTTCAAAACTGCTGTACGAAAGGGAATGTTCAACTCTGTGACTTGAATGCACACATCACAAAGAAGTTTCTGAGGATGCTGCTGTCTACTTTTTATACGTAATCCCGTTTCCACCGAAATCCTCCAAGCTATCCAAATATCCACTTGCAGATTCCACAGAAAGACTGTTTCAAAACTGCTCTGTCAATAGAAAGGTTCAACTCTGTTAGCTGCGTGCATATATCCCAAAGAAGATTCTGAGATTGCTTCTGTCTAGTTTTTATGGGAAGATATTTCCCTTTTCACCGTAGGTGTCAAGGCGCTCCAAATGTCCACTTCCAGATACTACAAAAAGAGTGTTTCAAACCTACTCTGTCAAAGGGAATATTCAACTCTGTGACTTGAATGCAGATATCACAAAGAAGTTTCTGAGAATGCTTCTGTCGAGATTTTATATGAAGATATTCCCGTTTCCAATGAAATCCTGAAATCTATCCAAATATCCCCTCGCAGATTCTACAAAAAGAGTGTTTCAAAACTGCTCTGTAAAAAGAAAGGTTCAACTCTGTTAGTTGAGTACACACATCACAAACAAGTTTCACAGAATGCTTCTTTCTAGCTTGTAGGGGAAGATATTCCCTTTATGACCATGGGCCTCCAACCGTCCGAAACATCCACTTCCATATACTACAAAAAGAGCGTTTCAAACCTGCTCTATGAAAGGCAATGTTCAACTCTGTGACTTGAATGCAGACATCACAGAGCAGTTTCTGAGAATGCTTCTGTCTAGATTTTATAGGAAGATATTCCCGTTTCCAACGAAATCTTCACAGCTATCCAAATATGCACTTGCAGATTCTACAAAAAGAGTGTATCAAAACTGCACTGTCAAAAAGAAGGTTCTTCTCTGTTAGTTGAGTACATACGTCATAAAGGAGTTTCTGAGAATGTTTCTGTCTAGTGGTTATGGGAAGATATTTGCTTTTTCACCGAAGGCCTCAGAGCGCTCCAAATATCCACTTGCACATACTACAAAATGAGTGCCTCAAAGCTGCTCTCTGAAACGGAATGTTCAACTCTATGAGTTGAATGCAAACATCACAAAGACGTTTTCGAGAATGCTTCTGTCTAGATTTGATATATAGATATTCCCGTTTCCAAAGAAATCTTCAAATCTATCCAAATGTCCACTTGCAGATTCAACAAAAAGTGTTTTTCAGAACTGCTCTATCAAAAGAAAGATCCACCTCTGTTAGCTGAGTTCACACATCACAAACAAGTTTATGAGAATGCTTCTGTCTAGTTTTTATTTGAAGATATTTCCTTTCTCACCATAGACCTGAAAGCTGTCCTAATGTTCACTTCCAGATACTACAGAAAGAGTGTTTCAAAACTGCTTTACGAAAGGGAATGTTCAACTCTGTGACTTGAATGCACACATCACAAAGAAGTTTCTGAGGATGCTGCTGTCTACTTTTTATACGTAATCCCATTTCCAACGAAATCCTCCAAGCTATCCAAATATCCACTTGCAGATTCCACAGAAAGACTGTTTCAAAACTGCTCTGTCAATAGAAAGGTTCAACTCTGTTAACTGCGTGCATATATCCCAAAGAAGATTCTGAGATTGCTTCTGTCTAGTTTTTATGGGAAGATATTTCCCTTTTCACCGTGGGCCGTCAAGGCGCTCCAAATGTCCACTTCCAGATACTACAAAAAGAGTGTTTCAAACCTACTCTGTGAAAGGGAATATTCAACTCTGTGACTTGAATGCACATATCACAAGGAAGTTTCTGAGAATGCTTCTGTCGAGATTTTATATGAAGATATTCCCGTTTTCAACGAAATCCTGAAATCTATCCAAATATCCCCTCGCAGATTCTACAAAAAGAGTGTTTCCAAACTGCTCTGTAAAAAGAAAGGTTCAACACTGTTAGTTGAGTACACACATCGCAAGCATGTTTCACAGAATGCTTCTTTCTAGCTTGTAGGGGAAGATATTCCCTAAATCACCATGGGCCTCAAACCGTCCGAAACGTCCACTTCCATATACTACAAAAAGAGTGTTTCAAACCTGCTCTATGAAAGGCAATGTTCAACTCTGTGACTTGAATGCAGACATCACAGAGCAGTTTCTGAGAATGCTTCTGTCTAGATTTTATAGGAAGTTATTCCCGTTTCCAACGAAATCTTCACAGGTATCCAAATATCCACTTGCAGATTCTACAAAAAGAGTGTATCAAAACTGCTCTGTCAAAAGGAAGGTTCTTCTCTGTTAGGTGAGTGCATACGTCATAAAGGAATTTCTGAGAATGTTTCTGTCTAGTGGTTATGGGAAGATATTTGCTTTTTCACCGTAGGCCTCAGAGCGCTCCAAATATCCCCTTGCACATACTACAAAAAGAGTGCTTCAAAGCTGCTCTCTGAAACGGAATGTTCAACTCTATGAGTTGAATGCAAACATCACAAAGACGTTTACTGAGAATGCTTCTGTCTAGTTTTTATTTGAAGATATTTCCTTTCTCACCATAGAGCTGAAAGCTGTCCTAATGTTCACTTCCAGATACTACAGAAAGAGTGTTTCAAAACTGCTGTACAAAAGGGAATGTTCAACTCTGTGACTTGAATGCACACATCACAAAGAAGTTTCTGAGGATGCTGCTGTCTACTTTTTATACGTAATCCCGTTTCCAACGAAATCCTCCAAGCTATCCAAATATCCACTTGCGGATTCCACAGAAAGACTGTTTCAAAACTGCTCTGTCAATAGAAAGGTTCAACTCTGTTAGCTGCGTGCATATATCCCAAAGAAGATTCTGAGATTGCTTCTGTCTAGTTTTTATGGGAAGATATTTCCCTTTTCACGGTAGGTGTCAAGGCGCTCCAAATGTCCACTTCCAGATACTACAAAAAGAGTGTTTCAAACCTACTCTGTGAAAGGGAATATTCAACTCTGTGACTTGAATGCAGATATCACAAAGAAGTTTCTGAGAATGCTTCTGTCGAGATTTTATATGAAGATATTCCCGTTTCCAACGAAATCCTGAAATCTATCCAAATATCCCCTCGCAGATTCTACAAAAAGAGTGTTTCAAAACTGCTCTGTAAAAAGAAAGGTTCAACTCGGTTAGTTGAGTACACACATCACAAACAACTTTCACAGAATGCTTCTTTCTAGCTTGTAGGGGAAGATATTCCCTTTATCACCATGGGCCTCCAACCGTCCGAAACATCCACTTCCATATACTACAAAAAGAGCGTTTCAAACCTGCTCTATGAAAGGTAATGTTCAACTCTGTGACTTGAATGCAGACATCACAGAGCAGTTTCTGAGAATGCTTCTGTCTACATTTTATAGGAAGATATTCCCGTTTCCAACGAAATCTTCACAGGTATCCAAATATCCACTTGCAGATTCTACAAAAAGAGTGTATCAAAACTGCTCTGTCAAAAGGAAGGTTCTTCTCTGTTAGGTGAGTGCATACATCATAAAGGAGTTTCTGAGAATGTTTCTGTCTAGTGGTTATGGGAAGATATTTGCTTTTTCCCCGTAGACCTCAGAGCGCTCCAAATGTCCACTTGCACATGCTACAAAAAGAGTGCTTCAAAGCTGCTCTCTGAAAGGGAATGTTCAACTCTATGAGTTGAATGTAAACATCACAAAGACGTTTCTGAGAATGCTTTCTGTCTAGATTTGATATGAAGATATTCCCGTTTCCAACGAAATCTTCAAATCTATCCAAATGTCCACTTGCAGATTCAACAAAAAGTGTTTTTCAAAACTCCTGTATCAAAAGAAAGATCCACGTCTGTTAGCTGAGTTCACACATCACAAACAAGTTTAGGAGAATGCTTCTGTCTAGTTTTTATTTGAAGATATTTCCTTTCTCACCATAGAGCTGAAAGCTGTCCTAATGTTCACTTCCAGATACTACAGAAAGAGTGTTTCAAAACTGCTGTATGAAAGGGAATGTTCAACTCCTGTGACTTGAATGCACACATCACAAAGAAGTTTCTGAGGATGCTGCTGTCTACTTTTTATACGTAATCCCGTTTCCAACGAAATCCTCCAAGCTATCCAAATATCCACTTGGAGATTCCACAGAAAGACTGTTTCAAAACTGCTCTGTCAATAGAAAGGTTCAACTCTGTTAACTGCGTGCATATATCCCAAAGAAGATTCTGAGATTGCTTCTGTCTAGTTTTTATGGGAAGATATTTCCCTTTTCACCGTGGGCATCAAGGCGCTCCAAATGACCACTTCCAGATACTACAAAAAGAGTGTTTCAAACCTACTCTGTGAAAGGGAATATTCAAATCTCTGACTTGAATGCACATATCACAAAGAAGTTTCTGAGAATGCTTCTGTCGAGATTTTATATGAAGATATTCCTGTTTCCAACGAAATGCTGAAATCTATCCAAATATCCCCTCGCAGATTCTACAAAAAGAGTGTTTCAAAACTGCTCTGTGAAAAGAAAGGTTCAACTCTGTTAGTTGAGTACACACATCACAAACAAGTTTCACAGAATGCTTCTTTCTAGCTTGTAGGGGAAGATATTCCCTTTAACACCATGGGCCTCAAACCGTCTGAAACGTCCACTTCCATATACTAAAAAAGAGCGTTTCAAACCTGCTCTAGGAAAGGCAATGTTCAACTCTGTGACTTGAATGCAGACATCACAGAGCAGTTTCTGAGAATGCTTCTGTATAGATTTTATAGGAAGATATTCCCGTTTCCAACGAAATCTTCACAGCTATCCAAATATCCACTTGCAGATTCTATAAAAAGAGTGTATCAAAACTGCTCTGTCAAAAGGAAGGTTCTTCTCTGTTAGGTGAGTGCATACGTCATAAAGGAGTTTCTGAGAATGTTTCTGTCTAGTGGTTATGGGAAGATATTTGCTTTTTCACCTTAGGCCTCAGAGCACTCCAAATATCCCCTTGCACATACTATAAAAAGAGTGCTTCAAAGCTGCTCTCTGAAACGGAATGTTCAACTCTATGAGTTGAATGCAAACATGACAAAGACGTTTCCGAGAATGCTTCTGTCTAGATTTGATATAAAGATATTCCCGTTTCCAACGAAATCTTCAAATCTATCCAAATGTCCACTTGCAGATTCAACAAAAAGTGTTTTTCCGAACTGCTCTATCAAAAGAAAGATCCACCTCTGTTAGCTGAGTTCACACATCACAAACAAGTTTATGAGAATGCTTTCTGTCTAGTTTTTATTTGAAGATATTTCCTTTCTCACCATAGACCTGAAAGCTGTCCTAATGTTCACTTCCAGATACTACAGAAAGAGTGTTTCAAAACTGCTGTACGAAAGGGAATATTCAACTCTGTGACTTGAATGCACACATCACAAAGAAGTTTCTGAGGATGCTGCTGTCTACTTTTTATACGTAATCCCGTTTCCAACGAAATCCTCCAATCTATCCAAATATCCACTTGCAGATTCCACAGAAAGACTGTTTCAAATCTGCTCAGTCAATAGAATGGTTCAACTCTGTTAGCTGCGTGCATATATCCCAAAGAAGATTCTGAGATTGCTTCTGTCTAGTTTTTATGGGAAGATATTTCCCTTTTCACCGTAGGCGTCAAGGCGCTCCAAATGTCCACTTCCAGATACTAGAAAAAGAGTGTTTCAAACCTTCTCTGTGAAAGGGAACATTCAAATCTGTGACTTGAATGCACATATCACAAAGAAGTTTCTGAGAATGCTTCTGTCTAGATTTTATAGGAAGATATTCCCGTTTCCAACGAAATCCTGAAATCTATCCAAATATCCGCTCGCAGATTCTACAAAAAGAGTGTTTCAAAACTGCTCTGTGAAAAGAAATGTTCAACTCTGTTAGTTGAGTACACACATCACAAACAAGTTTCACAGAATGCTTCTTTCTAGCTTGTAGGGGAAGATATTCCCTTTATCACCATGGGCCTCAAACCGTCCGAAAAGTCCACTTCCATATACTACAAAAAGAGCATTTCAAACCTGCTCTATGAAAGGCAATGTTCAACTCTGTGACTTGAATGCAGACATCACAGAGCAGTTTCTGAGAATGCTTTCTGTCTAGTGGTTATGGGAAGATATTTGCTTTTTCACCGTAGGCCTCAGAGCGCTCCAAATATCCACTTGCACATACTATAAAAAGAGTGCCTCAAAGCTGCTCTCTGAAACGGAATGTTCAACTCTATGAGTTGAATGCAAACATCGCAAAGACGTTTCTGAGAATGCTTCTGTCTAGATTTGATATGAAGATATTCCCGTTTCCAACGAAATCTTCAAATCTATCCAAATGTCCACTTGCAGATTCAACAAAAAGTGGTTTTCAGAACTGCTCTATCAAAAGAAAGATCCACCTCTGTTAGCTGAGTTCACACATCACAAACAAGTTTATGAGAATGCTTCTGTCTAGTTTTTATTTGAAGATATTTCGTTTCTCACCATAGAGCTGAAAGCTGTCCTAATGTTCACTTCCAGATACTACAGAAAGAGTGTTTCAAAACTGCTGTACGAAAGGGAATGTTCAACTCTGTGACTTGAATGCACACATCACAAAGAAGTTTCTGAGGATGCTGCTGTCTACTTTTTATACGTAATCCCGTTTCCAACGAAATCCTCCAAGCTATCCAAATATCCACTTGCAGATTCTACAGAAAGACTGTTTCAAAACTGCTCTGTCAATAGAAAGGTTCAACTCTGTTAGCTGCGTGCATATATCCCAAAGAAGATTCCGAGATTGCTTCTGTCTAGTTTTTATGGGAAGATATTTCCCTTTTCACCGTAGGCGTCAAGGCGCTCCAAATGTCCACTTCCAGATACTACAAAAAGAGTGTTTCAAACCTACTCTGTGAAAGGGAATATTCAACTCTGTGACTTGAATGCACATATGACAAAGAAGTTTCTGAGAATGCTTCTGTCGAGATTTTATATGAAGATATTCCCGTTTCCAAAGAAATCCTGAAATCTATCCAAATATCCCCTCGCAGATTCTACAAAAAGAGTGTTTCAAAACTGCTCTGTAAAAAGAAAGGTTCAACCCTGTTAGTTGAGTACACACATCACAAACAAGTTTCACAGAATGCTTCTTTCTAGCTTGTAGGGGAAGATATTCCCTTTATCACCATGGGCCTCCAACCGTCCGAAACATCCACTTCCATATACTACAAAAAGAGCGTTTCACACCTGCTCTATGAAAGGCAATGTTCAACTCTGTGACTTGAATGCAGACATCTCAGAGCAGTTTCTGAGAATACTTCTGTCTAGATTTTATAGGAAGATATTCCCGTTTCCAACGAAATCTTCACAGCTATCCAAATATCCACTTGCAGATTCTACAAAAAGAGTGTATCAAAAGTGCTCTGTCAAAAGGAAGGTTCTTCTCTGTTAGGTGAGTGCATACGTCATAAAGGAGTTTCTGAGAATGGTTCTGTCTAGTGGTTATGGGAAGATATTTGCTTTTTCACCGTAGGCCTCAGAGCGCTCCAAATATCCACTTGCACATACTACAAAAAGAGTGCTTCAAAGCTGTTCTCTGAAACGGAATGTTCAACTCTATGAGTTGAATGCAAACATCACAAAGACGTTTCTGAGAATGCTTCTGTCTAGATTTGATATGAAGATATTCCCGTTTCCAACGAAATCTTCAAATCTATCCAAATGTCCACTTGCAGATTCAACAAAAAGTGTTTTTCAGAACTGCTCTATCAAAAGAAAGATCCACGTCTCTTAGCTGAGTTCACACATCACAAACAAGTTTATGAGAATGCTTCTGTCTACTTTTTATTTGAAGATATTTCCTTTCTCACCATAGACCTGAAAGCTGTCCTAATGTTCACTTCCAGATACTACAGAAAGAGTGTTTCAATACTGCTGTACGAAAGGGAATGTTCAACTCTGTGACTTGAATGCACACATCACAAAGTAAGTTTCTCAGGATGCTGCTGTCTACTTTTTATACGTAATCCCGTTTCCAACGAAATCCTCCAACTATCCAAATATCCGCTTGCAGATTCCACAGAAAGACTGTTTCAAAACTGCTCTGTCAATAGAAAGGTTCAACTCTGTTAGCTGCGTGCATATATCCCAAAGAAGATTCTGAAATTGCTTCTGTCTAGTTTTTATTGGAAGATATTTCCCTTTTCACCGTAGGCGTCATGGCGCTCCAAATGTCCACTTCCAGATACTACAAAAAGAGTGTTTCAAACCTACTCGGTGAAAGGGAATATTCAACTCTGTGACTTGAATGCAGTTATCACAAAGAAGTTTCTGAGAATGCTTCTGTCGAGATTTTATATGAAGATATTCCCGTTTCCAACGAAATGCTGAAATCTATCCAAATATCCCCTCGCAGATTCTACAGAAAGAGTGTTTCAAAACTGCTCTGTAAAAAGAAAGGTTCAACTCTGTTAGTTGAGTACACACATCACAAACAAGTTTCACAGAATGCTTCTTTCTAGCTTGTAGGGGAAGATATTCCCCAAATCACCATGGGCCTCAAACCGTCCGAAACGTCCACTTCCATATACTACAAAAAGAGTGTTTCAAACCTGCTCTATGAAAGGCAATGTTCAACTCTGTGACTTGAATGCAGACATCACAGAGCAGTTTCTGAGAATGCTTCTGTCTAGATTTTATAGGAAGATATTCCCGTTTCCAACGAAATCTTCACAGGTATCCAAATATCCACTTGCAGATTCTACAAAAAGAGTGTATCAAAACTGCTCTGTCAAAAGGAAGGTTCTTCTCTGTTACGTGAGTGCATACGTCATAAAGGAATTTCTGAGAATGTTCCTGTCTAGTGGTTATGGAGAAGATATTTGCTTTTTCCCCGTAGGCCTCAGAGCGCTCCAAATATCCACTTGCACATACTACAAAAAGAGTGCTTCAAAGCTGCTCTCTGAAAGGGAATGTTCAACTCGCTATGAGTTGAATGCAAACATCACAAAGACGTTTCTGAGAATGCTTCTGTCTAGATTTGATATGAAGATATTCCCGTTTCCAACGAAATCTTCAAATCTATCCAAATGTCCACTTGCAGATTCAACAAAAAGTGTTTTTCAAAACTGCTGTATCAAAAGAAAGATCCACGTCTGTTAGCTGAGTTCACACATCACAAACAAGTTTATGAGAATGCTTCCGTCTAGTTTTTATTTGAAGATATATCCTTTCTCACTATAGACCTGAAAGCTGTCCTAAAGTTCACTTCCAGATACTACAGAAAGAGTGTTTCAAAACTGCTGTACGAAAGGGAATGTTCAACTCTGTGACTTGAATGCACACATCACAAGGATGTTTCTGAGGATGCTGCTGTCTACTTTTTATACGTAATCCCGTTTCCAACGAAATCCTCCAATCTATCCAAATATCCACTTGCAGATTCCACAGAAAGACTGTTTCTAAACTGCTCTGTCAATAGAAAGGTTCAACTCTGTTAGCTGCGTGCATATATCCCAAAGAAGATTCTGAGATTGCTTCTGTCTAGTTTTTATGGGAAGATATTTCCCTTTTCACCGTAGGTGTCAAGGTGCTCCAAATATCCACTTCCAGATACTACAAAAAGAGTGTTTCAAACCTACTCTGTGAAAGGGAATATTCAACTCTGTGACTTGAATGCACATATCACAAAGAAGTTTCTGAGAATGCTTCTGTCGAGATTTTATATGAAGATATTCCCGTTTCCAACGAAATCCTGAAATCTATCCAAATATCCGCTCGCAGATTCTACAAAAAGAGTGTTTCAAAACTGCTCTGTGAAAAGCAAGGTTCAACTCTGTTAGTTGAGTACACACATCACAAACAAGTTTCACAGAATGCTTCTTTCTAGCTTGTAGGGGAAGATATTCCCTTTATCACCATGGGCCTCAAACCGTCGGAAACGTCCACTTCCATATACTACAAAAAGAGCGTTTCAAACCTGCTCTAGGAAAGGCAATGTTCAACTCTGTGACTTGAATGCAGACATCACAGAGCAGTTTCTGAGAATGCTTCTGTCTAGATTTTATAGGAAGATATTCCCGTTTCCAACGAAATCTTCACAGCTATCCAAATATCCACTTGCAGATTCTACAAAAAGAGTGTATCAAAACTGCTCTGTCAAAAGGAAGGCTCTTCTCTGTTAGGTGAGTGCATACGTCATAAAGGAGTTTCTGAGAATGTTTCTGTCTTGTGGTTATGGGAAGATATTTGCTTTTTCACCGTAGGCCTCAGAGCGCTCCAAATATCCACTTGCACATACTACAAAAAGAGTGCTTCAAAGCTGCTCTCTGAAAGGGAATGTTCAACTCTATGAGTTGAATGCAAACATCACAAAGACGTTTCTGAGAATGCTTCTGTCTAGTATTTGATATGAAGATATTCCCGTTTCCAACGAAATCTTCAAATCTATCCAAATGTCCACTTGCAGATTCAACAAAGTGTTTTTCAGAACTGCTCTATCAAAAGAAAGATCCACCTCTGTTAGCTGAGATCACACTTCACAAACAAGTTTATCAGAATGCTTCTGTCTAGTTTTTATTTGAAGATATTTCCTTTCTCACCATAGACCTGAAGGCTGTCCTAATGTTCACTTCCAGATACTACAGAAAGAGTGTTTCAAAACTGCTGTACGAAAGGGAATGTTCAACTCTGTGACTTGAATGCACACATCACAAAGAAGTTTCTGAGGATGCTGCTGTCTACTTTTTATACGTAATCCCGTTTCCAACGAAATCCTCCAAGCTATCCAAATATCTACTTGCAGATTCCACAGAAAGACTGTTTCAAAACTGCTCTGTCAATAGAAAGGTTCAACTCTATTAGCTGCGTACATATATCCCAAAGAAGATTCTGAGATTGCTTCTGTCTAGTTTTTATGGGAAGATATTTCCCTTTTCACCGTAGGTGTCAAGGCGCTGCAAATGTCCACTTCCAGATACTACAAAAAGAGTGTTTCAACCCTACTCTGTGAAAGGGAATATTCAACTCTGTGGCTTGAATGCAGATATCACAAAGAAGTTTCTGAGAATGCTTCTGTCGAGATTTTATATGAAGATATTCCCGTTTCCAACGAAATCCTGAAATCTATCCAAATATCCCCTCGCAGATTCTACAAAAAGAGTGTTTCAAAACTGCTCTGTAAAAAGAAAGCTTCAACTCTGTTAGTTGAGTACACACATCACAAACAAGTTTCACAGAATGCTTCTTTCTAGCTTGTAGGGGAAGATATTCCCTTTATCACCATGGGCCTCAAACCGTCCGAAACGTCTACTTCCATATACTACAAAAAGAGCGTTTCAAACCTGCTCTATGAAAGGCAATGTTCAACTCTGTGACTTGAATACAGACATCGCAGAGCAGTTCCTGAGAATGCTTCTGTCTAGATTTTATAGGAAGATATTCCCGTTTCCAACGAAATCTTCACAGCTATCCAAATATCCACTTGCAGATGCTACAAAAAGAGTGTATCAAAAATGCTCTGTCAAAAGGAAGGTTATTCTCTGTTAGGTGAGTGCATACGTCATAAAGGAGTTTCTGAGAATGTTTCTGTCTAGTGGTTATGGGAAGATATTTGCTTTTTCACCGTAGGCCTCAGAGCGCTCTAAATATCCACTTGCACATACTACAAAAAGAGTGCCTCAAAGCTGCTCTCTGAAACGGAATGTTCAACTCTATGAGTTGAATGCAAACATCGCAAAGACGTTTCTGAGAATGCTTCTGTCTAGATTTGATATGAAGATATTCCCGTTTCCAACGAAATCTTCAAATCTATCCAAATGTCCACTTGCAGATTCAACAAAATGAGTTTTTCAGAACTGCTCTATCAAAAGGGAAGATCCACCTCTGTTAGCTGAGTTCACACATCACAAACAAGTTTATGAGAATGCTTCTGTCTAGTTTTTATTTGAAGATATTTCCTTTCTCACCATAGACCTGAAAGCTGTCCTAATGTTTTCTTCCAGATACTACAGAAAGAGTGTTTCAAAACTGCTGTACGAAACGGGATGTTCAACTCTGTGACTTGAATGCACACTTCACAAAGAAGTTTCTGAGGATGCTGCTGTCTACTTTTTATACATAATCCCGTTTCCAACGAAATCCTCCAAGCTATCCAAATATCCACTTGCAGATTCCACAGAAAGAATGTTTCAAAACTGCTCTGTCAAGAGAAAGGTTCAACTCTGTTAGCTGCGTGCATATATCCCAAAGAAGATTCTGAGATTGCTTCTGTCTAGTTTTTATGGGAAGATATTTCCCTTTTCACCGTAGGCGTCAAGGCGCTCCAAATGTCCACTTCCAGATACTACAAAAAGAGTGTTTCAAACCTACTCCTGTGAAAGGGAATATTCAACTCCTGTGACTTGAATGCACATATCACAAGGAAGTTTCTGAGAATGCTTCTGTCGAGATTTTATATGAAGATATTCCCGTTTCCAACGAAATCCTGAAATCTATCCAAATATCCCCTCGCAGATTCTACAAAAAGAGTGTTTCAAAACTGCTCTGTAAAAAGAAAGGTTCAACTCTGTTAGTTGAGTACACACATCACAAACAAGTTTCACATAATGCTTCTTTCTAGCTTGTAGGGGAAGATATTCCCTTTATCACCATGGGCCTCAAACCGTCTGAAACGTCCACTTCCATATACTACAAAAAGAGCATTTCAAAGCTGCTCTGTGAAAGGCAATGTTCAACTCTGTGACTTGAATGCAGACATCACAGAGCAGTTTCTGAGAATGCTTCTGTCTAGATTTTATAGGATGATATTCCCGTTTCCAACGAAATCTTCACAGCTATCCAAATATCCACTTGCAGATTCTACAAAAAGAGTGTATCAAAACTGCTCTGTCAAAAGGAAGGTTCTTTTCTGTTAGGTGAGTGCATACGTCATAAAGGAGTTTCTGAGAATGTTTCTGTCTAGTGGTTATGGGAAGATATTTGCTTTTTCACCGTAGGCCTCAGAGCGCTCCAAATATCCACTTGCACATACTACAAAAAGAGTGCCTCAAAGCTGCTCTCTGAAACGGAATGTTCAACTCTATGAGTTGAATGCAAACATCGCAAAGACGTTTCTGAGATGCTTCTGTCTAGATTTGATATGAAGATATTCCCGTTTCCAACGAAATCTTCAAATCTATCCAACTGTCCTCTTGCAGATTCAACAAAAAGTGTTTTTCAGAACTGCTCTATCAAAAGAAAGATCCACGTGTGTTAGCTGAGTTCACACATCACGAACAAGTTTATGAGAATGCTTCTGTCTAGTTTTTATTTGAAGATATTTCCTTTCTCACCATAGACCTGAAAGCTGTCCTAATGTTCACTTCCAGATACTACAGAAAGAGTGTTTCCAAACTGCTGTACGAAAGGGAATGTTCAACTCTGTGACTTGAATGCACACATCACAAAGAAGTTTCTGAGGATGCTGCTGTCTACTTTTTATACGTAATCCCGTTTCCAACGAAATCCTCCAACTATCCAAATATCCACTTGCAGATTCCACAGAAAGACTGTTTCAAAACTGCTCTGTCAATAGAAAGGTTCAACTCTGTTAGCTGCGTGCATATATCCCAAAGAAGATTCTGAGATTGCTTCTGTCTAGTTTTAATGGGAAGATATTTCCCTTTTCACCGTAGGCGTCAAGGCGCTCCAAATGTCCACTTCCAGATACTACAAAAAGAGTGTTTCTAACCTACTCGGTGAAAGGGAATATTCAACTCTGTGACTTGAATGCAGATATCACAAAGAAGTTTCTGAGAATGCTTCTGTCGAGATTTTATATGAAGGTATTCCCGTTTCCAACGAAATCCTGAAATGTATCCAAATATCCCCTCGCAGATTCTACAAAAAGAGTGTTTCAAAACTGCTCTGTAAAAAGAAAGGTTCAACTCTGTTAGTTGAGTACACACATCACAAACAAGTTTCACAGAATGCTTCTTTCTAGCTTGTAGGGGAATATATTCCCTTTATCACCATGGGTCTCAAACCGTCCGAAACGTCCACTTCCATATACTACAAAAAGAGCGTTTCAAACCTGCTCTATGAAAGGCAATGTTCAACTCTGTGACTTGAATGCAGACATCACAGAGCAGTTTCTGAGAATGCTTCTGTCTAGATTTTATAGGAAGATATTCCCGTTTCCAACGAAATCTTCACAGCTATCCAAATATCCACTTGCAGATTCTACAAAAAAAGTGTATCAAAACTGCTCTGTCAAAAGGAAGGTTCTTCTCTGTTAGGTGAGTGCATACGTCATAAAGGAGTTTCTGAGAATGTTTCTGTCTAGTGGTTATGGGAAGATATTTGCTTTTTCACCGTAGGCCTCACAGCGCTCCAAATATCCCCTTGCACATACTACAAAAAGAGTGCTTCAAAGCTGCTCTCTGAAACGGAATGTTCAACTCTATGAGTTGAATGCAAACGTGACAAAGACGTTTCCGAGAATGCTTCTGTCTAGATTTGATATGAAGATATTCCCGTTTCCAACGAAATCTTCAAATCTATCCAAATGTCCACTTGCAGATTCAACAAATCGTGTTTTTCAGAACTGCTCTATCAAAAGAAAGATCCACCTTTGTTAGCTGAGTTCACACATCACAAACAAGTTGATGAGAATGCTTCTGTCTAGTTTTTATTTGAAGATATTTCCTTTCTCACCATAGACCTTAAAGCTGTCCTAATGTTCAGTTCCAGATACTACAGAAACAGTGTTTCAAAACTGCTGTACGAAAGGGAATGTTCAACTCTGTGACTTGAATGCACACATCACAAAGAAGTTTCTGAGGATGCTGCTGTCTACTTTTTATACATAATCCCGTTTCCAACGAAATCCTCCAAGCTATCCAAATATCCACTTGCAGATTCCACAGAAAGACTGTTTCAAATCTGCTCTGTCAACAGAAAGATTCAACTCTGTTAGCTGCGTGCATATATCCCAAAGAAGATTCTGAGATTGCTTCTGTCTAGTTTTTATGGGAAGATATTTCCCTTTTCACCGTAGGTGTCAAGGCGCTCCAAATGTCCACTTCCAGAAACTACAAAAAGAGTGTTTCAAACCTACTCTGTGAAAGGGAATATTCAACTCTGTGACTTGAATGCACATATCACAAAGAAGTTTCTGAGAATGCTTCTGTCGAGATTTTATATGAAGATATTCCCGTTTCCAAAGAAATGCTGAAATCTATCCAAATATCCCCTCGCAGATTCTACAAAAAGAGTGTTTCAAAACTGCTCTGTGAAAAGAAAGGTTCAACTCTCTTAGTTGAGTACACACATCACAAACAAGTTTCACAGAATGCTTCTTTCTAACTTGTAGGGGAAGATATTTCCTTTATCACCATGGGCCTCAAACCGTCCGAAACGTCCACTTCCATATACTAAAAAAAGAGTGTTTCAAACCTGCTCTATGAAAGGCAATGTTCAACTCTGTGACTTGAATGCAGACATCACAGAGCAGTTTCTGAGAATGCTTCTGTCTAGATTTTATAGGAAGATATTCCCGTTTCCAACGAAATCTTCACAGCTATCCAAATATCCACTTGCAGATTCTACAAAAAGAGTATATCAAAACTGCTCTGTCAAAAGGAAGGTTCTTCTCTGTTAGGTGAGTGCATACGTCATAAAGGAGTTTCTGAGAATGTTTCTGTCTAGTGGTTATGGGAAGATATTTGCTTTTTCACCGTAGGCCTCAGAGCGCTCCAAATATCCACTTGCACATACTACAAAAAGAGTGTTTCAAAGCTGCTCTCTGAAAGGGAATGTTCAACTCTATGAGTTGAATGCAAACGTGACAAAGACGTTTCTGAGAATGCTTCTGTCTAGATTTGATATGAAGATATTCCCGTTTCCAACGAAATCTTCAAATCTATCCAAATGTGCACTTGCAGATTCAACAAAAAGTGTTTTTCAGAACTGCTCTATCAAAAGAAAGATCCACCTCTGTTAGCTGAGTTCACACATCACAAACAAGTTTATGAGAATGCTTCTGTCTAGTTTTTATTTGAAGATATTTCCTTTCTCTCCATAGACCTGAAAGCTGTCCTAATGTTCACTTCCAGATACTACAGAAAGAGTGTTTCAAAACTGCTGTACGAAAGGGAATGTTCAACTCTGTGACTTGAATGCACACATCACAAAGAAGTTTCTGAGGATGCTGCTGTCTACTTATTATACGTAATCCCGTTTCCAACGAAATCCTCCAAGCTATCCAAATATCCACTTGCAGATTCCACAGAAAGACTGTTTCAAAACTGCTCTGTCAATAGAAAGGTTCAACTCTGTAAGCTGCGTGCATATATCCCAAAGAAGATTCTGAGATTGCTTCTGTCTACTTTTTATGAGAAGGTATTTCCCTTTTCAACGTAGGCGTCAAGGCGCTCCAAATGTCCACTTCCAGATACTACAAAAAGAGTGTTTCAAACCTACTCTGTGAAAGGGAATATTCAACTCTGTGACTTGAATGCACATATCACAAAGAAGCTTCTGAGAATGCTTCTGTCGAGATTTTTTATGAAGATATTCCCGTTTCCAACGAAATGCTGAAATGTATCCAAATATCCCCTCGCAGATTCTACAAAAAGAGTGTTTCAAAACTGCTCTGTAAAAAGAAAGGTTCAACTCTGTTAGTTGAGTACACACATCACAAACAAGTTTCACAGAATGCTTCTTTCTAGCTTGTAGGGGAAGATATTCCCTTTATCACCATGGGCCTCAAACCGTCCGATAAGTCCACTTCCATATACTACAAAAAGAGCGTTTCAAACCTGCTCTATGAAAGGCAATGTTCAACTCTGTGACTTGAATGCAGACAACACAGAGCAGTTTCTGAGAATGCTTCTGTCTAGATTTTATAGGAAGATATTCCCGTTTCCAACGAAATCTTCACAGCTATCCAAATATCCACTTGCAGATTCTACAAAAAGAGTGTATCAAAACTGCTCTGTCAAAAGGAAGGTTCTTCTCTGTTAGGTGAGTGCATACCTCATAAAGGAGTTTCTGAGAATGTTTCTGTTAGTGGTTATGGGAAGATATTTGCTTTTTCACCGTAGGCCTCTGAGCGCTCCAAATATCCACTTGCACATACTACAAAAAGAGTGCCTCAAAGCTGCTCTCTGAAACGGAATGTTCAACTCTATGAGTTGAATGCAAACATTGCAAAGACGTTTCTGAGAATGCTTCTGTCTAGATTTGATATGAAGATATTCCCGTTTCCAACGAAATCTTCAAATCTATCCAAATGTCCACTTGCAGATTCAACAAAGTGTTTTTCAGAACTGCTCTATCAATAGAAAGATCCACCTCTGTTAGCTGAGATCACACTTCACAAACAAGTTTATCAGAATGCTTCTGTCTAGTTTTTATTTGAAGATATTTCCTTTCTCACCATAGACCTGAAAGCTGTCCTAATGTTCACTTCCAGATACTACAGAAAGAGTGTTTCAAAACTGCTGTACGAAAGGGAATGTTCAACCCTGTGACTTGAATGCACACATCACAAGGAAAGTTTCTGAGGAGGCTGCTGTCTACTTTTTATACGTAATCCCGTTTCCAACGAAATCCTCCAAGCTATCCAAATATCCACTTGCAGATTCCACAGAAAGACTGTTTCAAAACTGCTCTGTCAATAGAAAGGTTCAACTCCGTTAGCTGCGTGCATATATCCCAAAGAGGATTCTGAGATTGCTTCTGTCTAGTTTTTATGGGAAGATATTTCCCTTTTCACCGTAGGCGTCATGGCGCTCCAAATGTCCACTTCCAGATACTACAAAAAGAGTGTTTCAAACCTACTCGGTGAAAGGGAATATTCAACTCTGTGACTTGAATGCAGTTATCACAAAGAAG
Organism: Homo sapiens; assembly: GCF_000001405.40. NCBI lineage: Eukaryota > Metazoa > Chordata > Mammalia > Primates > Hominidae > Homo > Homo sapiens. Next base: position 17,092,478 of record NC_000014.9, on the reverse strand, counting down.
TTTCTGAGAATGCTTCTGTCGAGATTTTATATGAAGATATTCCCGTTTCCAACGAAATGCTGGAATCTATCCAAATATCCCCTCGCAGATTCTACAAAAAGAGTGTTTCAAAACTGCTCTGTAAAAAGAAAGGTTCAACTCTGTTAGTTGAGTACACACATCACAAACAAGTTTCACACAATGCTTCTTTCTAGCTTGTAGGGGAAGATATTCCCTTTATCACCATGGGCCTCAAACCGTCCGAAAAGTCCACTTCCATATACTACAAAAAAGAGCGTTTCAAACCTGCTCTATGAAAGGCAATGTTCAACTCTGTGACTTGAATGCAGACATCACAGAGCAGTTTCTGAGAATGCTTCTGTCTAGGTTTTATGGGAAGATATTCCCGTTTCCAACGAAATCTTCACAGCTATCCAAATATCCACTTGCAGATAGTACAAAAAGAGTGTATCAAAAATGCTCTGTCAAAAGGAAAGTTCTTCTCTGTTAGTTGAGTACATACGTCACAAAGGAGTTTCTGAGAATGTTTCTGTCTAGTGGTTATGGGAAGATATTTGCTTTTTCACCGTAGGCCTCAGAGCGCTCCAAATATCCACTTGCACATACTACAAAAAGAGTGCTTCAAAGCTGCTCTCTGAAAGTGAATGTTCAACTCTATGAGTTGAATGCCAACATCACAAAGACGTTTCTGAGAATGCTTCTGTCTAGATTTGATATGAAGATATTCCCGTTTACAAAGAAATCTTCAAATCTATCCAAATGTCCACTTGCAGATTCAACAAAAAGTGTTTTTCAGAACTGCTCTATCAAAAGAAAGATCCACCTCTGTTAGCTGAGTTCACACATCAGAAACAAGTTTATGAGAATGCTTCTGTCTAGTTTTTATTTGAAGATATTTCCTTTCTCACCATAGAGCTGAAAGCTGTCCTAATGTTCACTTCCAGATACTACAGAAAGAGTGTTTCAAAACTGCTGTACGAAAGGGAATGTTCAACTCTGTGACTTGAATGCACACATCACAAAGAAGTTTCTGAGGATGCTGCTGTCTACTTTTTATATGTAATCCCGTTTCCAACGAAATCCTCCAACCTATCCAAATATCCACTTGCAGCTTCCACAGAAAGACTGTTTCAAAACTGCTCTGTCAATAGAAAGGTTCAACTCTGTTAGCTGCGTGCATATATCCCAAAGAAGATTCTGAGATTGCTTGTGTCTACTTTTTATGAGAAGATATTTCCCTTTTCACCGTAGGCGTCAAGGCGCTCCAAATGTCCACTTCCAGATACTACAAAAAGAGTGTTTCAAACCTACTCTGTGAAAGGGAATATTCAACTCTGTGACTTAAATGCACATATCACAAAGAAGCTTCTGAGAATGCTTCTGTCGAGATTTTGTATGAAGATATTCCCGTTTCCAACGAAATCCTGAAATGTATCCAAATATCCCCTCGCAGATTCTACAAAAAGAGTGTTTCAAAACTGCTCTGTGAAAAGAAAGGTTCAACTCTCTTAGTTGAGTACACACATCACAAACAAGTTTCACAGAATGCTTCTTTCTAGCTTGTAGGGGAAGATATTCCCTTCATCACCATGGGCCTCAAACCGTCCGAAACGTCCACTTCCATATACTACAAAAAGAGCGTTTCAAACCTGCTCTATGAAAGGCAATGTTCAACTCTGTGACTTGAATGCAGACATCACAGAGCAGTTTCTGAGAATGTTTCTGTCTAGATTTTATAGGAAGATATTCCCGTTTCCAACGAAATCTTCACAGCTATCCAAATATCCACTTGCAGATTCTACAAAAAGAGTGTATCAAAACTGCTCTGTCAAAAGGAAGGTTCTTTTCTGTTAGGTGAGGGCATACGTCATAAAGGAGTTTCTGAGAATGTTTCTGTCTAGTGGTTATGGGAAGATATTTGCTTTTTCACCGTAGGCCTCAGGGTGCTCCAAATGTCCACTTGCACATGCTACAAAAAGAGTGCTTCAAAGCTGCTCTCTGAAAGGGAATGTTCAACTCTATGAGTTGAATGCAAACATCACAAAGACGTCTCTGAGAATGCTTCTGTCTAGATTTGATATGAACATATTCCCGTTTCCAACGAAATCTTCAAATCTTTCCAAATGTCCACTTGCAGATTCAACAAAAAGTGTTTTTCAGAACTGCTCTATCGAAAGATCCACCTCTGTTAGCTGAGTTCACACATCACAAACAAGTTTATGAGAATGCTTCTGTCTAGTTTTTATTTGAAGATATTTCCTTTCTCACCATAGAGCTGAAAGCTGTCCTAATGTTCACTTCCAGATACTACAGAAAGAGTGTTTCAAAACTGCTGTACGAAAGGGAATGTTCAACTACTGTGACTTGAATGCACACATCACAAAGAAGTTTCGGAGGATGCTGCTGTCTACTTTTTATACGTAATCCCGTTTCCAACGAAATCCTCCAAGCTATCCAAATATCCACTTGCAGATTCCACAGAAAGACTGTTTCAAAACTGCTCTGTCAATAGAAAGGTTCAACTCTGTTAGCAGCGTGCATATATCCCAAAGAAGATTCTGAGATTGCTTGTGTCTACTTTTTATGAGAAGATATTTCCCTTTTCACCATAGGCGTCAAGGCGCTCCAAATGTCCACTTCCAGATACTACAAAAAGAGTGTTTCAAACCTACTCTGTGAAAGGGAATATTCAACTCTGTGACTTGAATGCAGATATCACAAAGAAGTTTCTGAGAATGCTTCTGTCGAGATTTTATATGAAGATATTCCCGTTTCCAAAGAAATCCTGAAATCTATCCAAATATCCCCTCGCATATTCTACAAAAAGAGTGTTTCAAAACTGCTCTGTAAAAAGAAAGGTTCAACTCTGTTAGTTGAGTACACACATCACAAACAAGTTTCACAGAATGCTTCTTTCTAGCTTGTAGGGGAAGATATTCCCTTTATCACCATGGGCCTCAAACCGTCCGAAACGTTCACTTCCATATACTACAAAAAGAGCGTTTCAAACCTGCTCTATGAAAGGCAATGTTCAACTCTGTGACTTGAATGCAGACATCACAGAGTAGTTTCTGAGAATGCTTCTGTCTAGATTTTATAGGAAGATATTCCCGTTTCCAACGAAATCTTCACAGCTATCCAAATATCCACTTGCAGATTCTACAAAAAGAGTGTATCAAAACTGCTCTGTCAAAAGGAAGGTTCTTCTCTGTTAGGTGAGTGCATACGTCATAAAGGAGTTTCTGAGAATGTTTATCTGTCTAGTGGCTATGGGAAGATATTTGCTTTTTCACCGTAGGCCTCACAGCGCTCCAAATATCCACTTGCACATACTACAAAAAGAGTGCTTCAAAGCTGCTCTCTGAAACGGAATGTTCAACTCTATGAGTTGAATGCAAACATCACAAAGACGTTTCTGAGAATGCTTCTGTCTAGACTTGATATGAAGATATTCCCGTTTCCAACGAAATCTTCAAATCTATCCAAATGTCCACTTGCAGATTCAACAAAAAGTGTTTTTCAGAACTGCTCTATCAAAAGAAAGATCCACCTCTGTTAGCTGAGTTCACACATCACAAACAAGTTGATGAGAATGCTTGTGTCTAGTTTTTATTTGAAGATATTTCCTTTCTCACCATAGACCTGAAAGCTGTCCTAATGTTCACTTCCAGATGCTACAGAAAGAGTGTTTCAAAACTGCTGTACGAAAGGGAATGTTCAACTCTGTGACTTGAATGCACACATCACAAAGAAGTTTCTGAGGATGCTGCTGTCTACTTTTTATACGTAATCCCGTTTCCAACGAAATCCTGCAATCTATCCAAATATCCACTTGCAGATTCCACAGAAAGACTGTTTCAAAACTGCTCTGTCAATAGAAAGGTTCAACTCTGTTAGCTGCGTGCATATATCCCAAAGAAGATTCTGAGATTGCTTCTGTCTAGTTTTTATGGGAAGATATTTCCCTTTTCACCGTGGGCGTCAAGGCGCTCCAAATGACCACTTCCAGATACTACAAAAAGAGTGTTTCAAACCTACTCTGTGAAAGGGAATATTCAACTCTGTGACTTGAATGCACATATCAGAAGGAAGTTTCTGAGAATGCTTCTGTCGAGATTTTGTATGAAGATATTCCCGTTTCCAACGAAATCCTGAAATCTATCCAAATATCCCCTCACAGATTCTACAAAAAGAGTGTTTCAAAACTGCTCTGTGAAAAGAAAGGTTCAACTCTGTTAGTTGAGTACACACATCACAAACAAGTTTCACAGAATGCTTCTTTCTAGCTTGTAGGGGAAGATATTCCCTTTATCACCATGGGCCTCAAACCGTCTGAAACGTCCACTTCCATATACTACAAAAAGAGCGTTTCAAACCTGCTCTAGGAAAGGCAATGTTCAACTCTGTGACTTGAATGCAGACATCACAGAGCAGTTTCTGAGAATGCTTCTGTCTATACTTTATAGGAAGATATTCCCGTTTCCAAAGAAATCTTCACAGCTATCCAAATATCCACTTGCAGATTCTACAAAAAGAGTGTATCAAAACTGCTCTGTCAAAAGGAAGGTTCTTCTCTGTTAGGTGAGTGCATACGTCATAAAGGAGTTTCTGAGAATGTTTCTGTCTAGTGGTTATGGGAAGATATTTGCTTTTTCACCGTAGGCCTCAGAGCGCTCCAAATATCCCCTTGCACATACTACAAAAAGAGTGCTTCAAAGCTGCTCTCTGAAACGGAATGTTCAAATCTATGAGTTGAATGCAAACATCACAAAGACGTTTCTGAGAATGCTTCTGTCTAGATTTGATATGAAGATATTCCCGTTTCCAACGAAATCTTCAAATCTATCCAAATGTCCACTTGCAGATTCAACAAAAAGTGTTTTTCAAAACTGCTGTATCAAAAGAAAGATCCACGTCTGTTAGCTGAGTTCACACATGACAAACAAGTTTATGAGAATGTTTCTGTCTAGTTTTTATTTGAAGATATTTCCTTTCTCACCATAGACCTGAAAGCTGTCCTAATGTTCTCTTCCAGATGCTACAGAAAAAGTGTTTCAAAACTGCTGTACGAAAGGGAATGTTCAATTCTGTGACTTGAATGCACACATCACAGAGAAGTTTCTGAGGATGCGGCTGTCTACTTTTTATACGTAATCCCGTTTCCAACGAAATCCTCCAAGCTATCCAAATATCCACTTGCAGATTCCACAGAAAGACTGTTTCAAAACTGCTCTGTCAATAGAAAGGTTCAACTCTGTAAGCTGCGTGCATATATCCCAAAGAAGATTCTGAGATTGCTTCTGTCTAATTTTTATGGGAAGATATTTCCCTTTTCACCGTAGGCGTCAAGGCGCTCCTAATGTCCACTTCCAGATATTACAAAAAGAGTGTTTCAAACCTACTCTGTGAAAGGGAATATTCAACTCTGTGACTTGAATGCAGATATCACAAAGAAGTTTCTGAGAATGCTTCTGTCGAGATTTTATATGAAGATATTCCCGTTTCCAACGAAATCCTGAAATCTATCCAAATATCCCCTCGCAGATTCTACAAAAAGAGTGTTTCAAAACTGCTCTGTAAAAAGAAAGGTTCAACTCTGTTAGTTGAGTGCACACATCACAAACAAGTTTCACAGAATGCTTCTTTCTAGCTTGTAGGGGAAGATATTCCCTTTATCACCATGGGCCTCAAACCGTCTGAAACGTCCACTTCCATATACAGCAAAAAGAGCATTTCAAACCTGCTCTATGAAAGGCAATGTTCAACTCTGTGACTTGAATGCAGACATCACAGAGCAGTTTCTGAGAATGCTTCTGTCTAGATTTTATAGGAAGATATTCCCGTTTCCAACAAAATCTTCACAGCTATCCAAATATCCACTTGCAGATTCTACAAAAAGAGTGTATCAAAACTGCTCTGTCAAAAGGAAGGTTCTTCTCTGTTAGGTGAGTGCATACGTCGTAAAGGAGTTTCTGAGAATGTTTCTGTCTAGTGGTTATGGGAAGATATTTGCTTTTTCACCGTAGGCCTCAGAGCGCTCCAAATATCCACTTGCACATACTACAAAAAGAGTGTCTCAAAGCTGCTCTCTGAAACGGAATGTGCAACTCTATGAGTTGAATGCAAACATCGCAAAGACGTTTCTGAGAATGCTTCTGTCTAGATTTGATATGAAGATATTCCTTTTTCCAAGGAAATCTTCAAAACTATCCAAATGTCCACTTGCAGATTCAACAAAAAGTGTTTTTCAGAACTGCTCTATCAAAAGAAAGATCCACCGCTGTTTGCTGAGTTCACACATCACAAACAAGTTTATGAGAATGCTTCTGTCTAGTTTTTATTTGAAGATATTTCCTTTCTCACCATAGACCTGAAAGCTGTCCTAATGTTCACTTCCAGATACTACAGAAAGAGTGTTTCAAAACTGCTGTACAAAAGGGAATGTTCAACTCTGTGACTTGAATGCACACATCACAAAAAAGTTTCTGAGGATGCTGCTGTCTACTTTTTATACGTAATCCCGTTTCCAACGAAATCCTCCAAGCTATCCAAATATCCACTTGCAGATTCCACAGAAAGACTGTTTCAAAACTCCTCTGTCAATAGAAAGGTTCAACTCCGTTAGCTGCGTGCATATATCCCAAAGAAGATTCTGAGATTGCTTCTGTCTAGTTTTTATGGGAAGATATTTCCCTTTTCACCGTAGGTGTGAAGGCGCTCCAAATGTCCACTTCCAGATACTACAAAAAGAGTGTTTCAAACCTACTCTGTGAAAGGGAATATTCAACTCTGTGACTTGAATGCACATATCACAAAGAAGTTTCTGAGAATGCTTCTGTCGAGATTTTATATGAAGATATTCCCGTTTCCAACGAAATCCTGAAATCTATCCAAATATGCCCTCGCAGATTCTACAAAAAGAGTGTTTCAAAACTGCTCTGTAAAAAGAAAGGTTCAACTCTGTTAGTTGAGTACACACATCACAAACAAGTTTCACAGAATGCTTCTTTCTAGCTTGTAGGGGAAGATATTCCCTTTATTACCATGGGCCTCAAACCGTCCGAAACGTCCACTTCCATATACTACAAAAAGAGCGTTTCAAACCTCCTCTATGAAAGGCAATGTTCAACTCTGTGACTTGAATGCAGACATCACAGAGCAGTTTCTGAGAATGCTTCTGTCTAGATTTTATAGGAAGATATTCCCGTTTCCAACGAAATCTTCACAGCTATCCAAATATCCACTTGCAGATTCTACCAAAAGAGTGTATCAAAACTGCTCTGTCAAAAGGAAGGTTCTTTTCTGTTAGGTGAGTGCATACGTCATAAAGGAGTTTCTGAGAATGTTTCTGTCTAGTGGTTATGGGAAGATATTTGCTTTTTCACCGTAGGCCTCAGAGCGCTCCAAATATCCACTTGCACATACTACAAAAAGAGTGCCTCAAAACTGCTCTCTGAAACGGAATGTTCAACTCTATGAGTTGAATGCAAACATCGCAAAGACGTTTCTGAGAATGCTTCTGTCTAGATTTGATATGAAGATATTCCCGTTTCCAACGAAATCTTCAAATCTATCCAAATGTCCACTTGCAGATTCAACAAAAAGTGTTTTTCAGAACTGCTGTATCAAAAGAAAGATCCACCTCTGTTAGCTGAGTTCAGACATCACAAACAAGTTTATGAGAATGCTTCTGTCTAGTTTTTATTTGAAGATATTTCCTTTCTCACCATGGACCTGAAAGCTCTCGTAATGTTCACTTCCAGATACTAGAGAAAGAGTGGTTCAAACCTGCTCTGCGAAAGGGAATGTTGAACTCTGTGACTTGAATTCACACATCACAAAGGAGTTTCTGAGAATACTGCTGTCTACTTTTTATACATAATACCGTTTCCAACGAAATCCTCCAAGCTATCCAAATATCCACTTGCAGATTCCTCAAAAAGACTGTTTCAAAACTGCTCTGTCAATAGAAAGGTTCAACTCTGTAAGCTGCGTGCATATATCCCAAAGAAGATTCTGAGATTGCTTCTGTCTAGATTTGATGGGAAGATATTTCCCTTTTCACAGTAGACGTCAAGGCGCTCCAAATGTCCACTTCCAGATACTACAAAAAGAGTGTTTCAAACCTACTCTGTGAAAGGGAATATTCAACTCTGTGACTTGAATGCAGATATCACAGAGCAGTTTCTGAGAATGCTTCTGTCGAGATTTTATATGAAGATATACCCGTTTCCAACGAAATCCTGAAATCTATCCAAATATCCCCTCGCAGATTCTACAAAAAGAGTGTTTCAAAACTGCTCTGTGAAAAGAAAGGTTCAACTCTGTTAGTTGAGTACACACATCACAAACAAGTTTCACAGAATGCTTCTTTCTAGCTTGTAGGGGAAGATATTCCCTTTATCACCATGGGCCTCAAACCGTCCGAAAAGTCCACTTCCATATACTACAAAAAGAGCGTTTCAAACCTGCTCTATGAAAGGCAATGTTCAACTCTGTGACTTGAATGCAGACATCACAGAGCAGCTTCTGAGAATGCTTCTGTCTAGATTTTATAGGAAGATATTCCCGTTTCCAGCGAAATCTTCACAGCTATCCAAATATCCACTTGCAGATTCTACAAAAAGAGTGTATCATAACTGCTCTGTCAAATGGAAGGTTCTTCTCTGTTAGGTGAGTGCATACGTCATAAAGGAGTTTCTGAGAATGTTTCTGTCTAGTGGTTATGGGAAGATATTTGCTTTTTCACCGTAGGCCTCAGAGCGCTCCAAATATCCACTTGCACATACTACAAAAAGAGTGTTTCAAAGCTGCTCTCTGAAAGGGAATGTTCAACTCTATGAGTTGAATGCAAACATCACAAAGACGTTTCTGAGAATGCTTCTGTCTAGATTTGATAGGAAGATATTCCCGTTTCCAACGAAATCTTCAAATCTATCCAAATGTCCACTTGCAGATTCAACAAAAAGTGTTTTTCAGAACTGCTCTATCAAAAGAAAGATCCACCTCTGTTAGCTGAGTTCACACATCAAAAACAAGTTTATGAAAATGCTTCTGTCAAGTTTTTATTTGAAGATATTTCCTTTCTCACCATAGACCTGAAAGCTGTCCTAATGTTCACTTCCAGATACTACAGAAAGAGTGTTTCAAAACTGCTGTACGAAAGGGAATGTTCAACTCTGTGACTTGAATGCACACATCACAAAGAAGTTTCTGAGGATGCTGCTGTCTACTTTTTATACGTAATCCCGTTTCCAAAGAAATCCTCCAAGCTATCCAAATATCCACTTGCAGATTCCACAGAAAGACTGTTTCAAAACTGCTCTGTCAATAGAAAGGTTCAACTCTGTTAGCTGCGTGCGATATATCCCAAAGAAGATTCTGAGATTGCTTCTGTCTAGTTTTTATGGGAAGATATTTCCCTTTTCACCGTAGGTGTCAAGGCGCTCCAAATGTCCACTTCCAGATACTACAAAAAGAGTGTTTCAAACCTACTCTGTGAAAGGGAATATTCAACTCTGTGACTTGAATGTAGATATCACAAAGAAGTTTCTGAGAATGCTTCTGTCGAGATTTTATATAAAGATATTCCCGTTTCCAACGAAATCCTGAAATCTATCCAAATATCCCCTCGCAGATTCTACAAAAAGAGTGTTTCAAAACTGCTCTGTAAAAAGAGAGGTTCAACTCTGTTAGTTGAGTACACACATCACAAACAAGTTTCACAGAATGCTTCTTTCTAGCTTGTAGGGGAAGATATTCCCTTTATCACCATGGGTCTCAAACCGTCCGAAACGTCCACTTCCATATACTACAAAAAGAGCGTTTCAAATTTGCTCTAGGAAAGGCAATGTTCAACTCTGTGACTTGAATGCAGACATCACAGAGCAGTTCCTGAGAATGTTTCTGTCTAGATTTTATAGGAAGATATTCCCGTTTCCAACGAAATCTTCACAGCTATCCAAATATCCACTTGCAGATTCTACAAAAAGAGTGTATCAAAACTGCTCTGTCTAAAGGAAGGTTCTTCTCTGTTAGTTGAGTACATACGTCATAAAGGAGTTTCTGAGAATGTTTCTGTCTAGTGGTTATGGGAAGATATTTGCTTTTTCACCGTAGGCCTAAGAGCGCTCCAAATATCCACTTGCACATACTACAAAAAGAGTGCTTCAAAGCTGCTCTCTGAAACGGAATGTTCAACTCTATGAGTTGAATGCAAACATCACAAAGACGTTTCTGAGAATGCTTCTGTCTAGATTTGATATGAAGATATTCCCGTTTCCAACGAAATCTTCAAATCTATCCAAATGTCCACTTGCAGATTCAACAAAAAGTGTTTTTCAGAACTGCTCTATCAATAGAAAGATCCACCTCTGTTAGCTGAGTTCACACATCACAAACAAGTTTATGAGAATGCTTCTGTCTAGTTTTTATTTGAAGATATTTCCTTACTCACGATAGACCTGAAAGCTGTCCTAATGTTCACTTCCAGATACTACAGAAAGAGTGTTTCAAAACTGCTGTACGAAAGGGAATGTTCAACTGTGTGTCTTGAATGCACACATCACAAGGAAGTTTCTGAGGATGCTGCTGTCTACATTTGATACGTAATCCCGTTTCCAACGAAATCTTCCAAGCTATCCAAATATCCACTTGCAGATTCCACGGAAAGACTGTTTCAAAACTGCTCTGTCAATAGAAAGGTTCAACTCTGTTAGCTGCGTGCATATATCCCAAAGAAGATTCTGAGATTGCTTCTGTCTAGTTTTTATGGGAAGATATTTCCCTTTTCACCGTAGGCGTTAAGGCGCTCCAAATGTCCACTTCCAGATACTACAAAAAGAGTGTTTCAAACCTACTCTGTGAAAGGGAATATTCAACTCTGTGACTTGAATGCAGATATCACAAAGAAGTTTCTGAGAATGCTTCTGTCGAGATTTTATATGAAGATATTCCCGTTCCCAACGAAATCCTGAAATCTATCCAAATATCCCCTCGCAGATTCTACAAAAAGCGTGTTTCAAAACTGCTCTGTAAAAAGAAAGGTTCAACTCTGTTAGTTGAGTACACACATCACAAACAAGTTTCACAGAATGCTTCTTTCTAGCTTGTAGGGGAAGATATTCCCTTTATCACCATGGTCCTCAAACCGTCCGAAACGTCCACTTCCATATACTACAAAAAGAGCGTTTCTAAACTGCTCTAGGAAAGGCAATGTTCAACACTGTGACTTGAATGCAGACATCACAGAGCAGTTTCTGAGAATGCTTCTGTCTAGATTTTATAGGAAGATATTCCCGTTTCCAACGAAATCTTCACAGCTACCCCAATATCCACTTGCAGATTCTACAAAAAGAGTGTATCAAAACTGCTCTGTCAAAAGGAAGGTTCTTCTCTGTTAGGTGAGTGCATAAGTCATAAAGGAGTTTCTGAGAATGTTTCTGTCTAGTGGTTATGGGAAGATATTTGCTTTTTCACCGTAGGCCTCAGAGCGCTCCAAATATCCACTTGCACATACTACAAAAAGAGTGCCTCACAGCTGCTCTCTGAAAGGGAATGTTCAACTCTATGAGTTGAATGCAAACATCGCAAAGACGTTTCTGAGAATGCTTCTGTCTAGATTTGATATGAAGGTATTCCCGTTTCCAACGAAATCTTCAAATCTGTCCAAATGTCCACTTGCAGATTCAACAAAAAGTGTTTTTCAGAACTGCTCTATCAAAAGAAAGATCCACCTCTGTTAGCTGAGTTCACACATCACAAACAAGTTTATGAGAATGCTTCTGTCTAGTTTTTATTTGAAGATATTTCCTTTCTCACCATAGACCTGAAAGCTGTCCTAATGTTCACTTCCAGATACTGCAGAAAGAGTGTTTCAAAACTGCTGTACGAAAGGGAATGTTCAACTCTGTGACTTGAATGCACACATCACAAAGAAGTTTCTGAGGATGCTGCTGTCTACTTTTTATACGTAATCCCGTTTCCAACGAAATCCTCCAAGCTATCCAAATATCCACTTGCAGATTCCACAGAAAGACTGTTTCAAAACTGATCTGTCAATAGAAAGGTTCAACTCTGTTAGCTGCGTGCATATATCCCAAAGAAGATTCTGAGATTGCTTCTGTCTAGTTTTTATGGGAAGATATTTCCCTTTTCACCGTAGGGGTCAAGGCGCTCCAAATGTCCACTTCCAGATACTACAAAAAGAGTGTTTCAAACCTACTCTGTGAAAGGGAATATTCAACTCTGTGACTTGAATGCAGATATCACAAGAAGTTTCTGAGAATGCTTCTGTCGAGATTTTATATGAAGATATTCCCGTTTCCAACGAAATCCTGAAATGTATCCAAATATCCCCTCGCAGATTCTACAAAAAGAGTGTTTCAAAACTGCTCTGTAAAAAGAAAGGTTCAACTCTGTTAGTTGAGTACAGACATCACAAACAAGTTTCACAGAATGCTTCTTTCTAGCTTGTAGGGGAAGATATTCCCTTTATCACCATGGGCCTCCAACCGTCCGAAACATCCACTTCCATATACTACAAAAAGAGCGTTTCAAACCTGCTCTATGAAAGGCAATGTTCAACTCTGTGACTTGAAAGCAGACATCACAGAGCAGTTTCTGAGAATGCTTCTGTCTAGATTTTATAGGAAGATATTCCCGTTTCCAACGAAATCTTCACAGCTATCCAAATATCCACTTGCAGATTCTACAAAAAGAGTGTATCAAAACTGCTCTGTCAAAAGGAAGGTTCTTCTCTGTTAGGGTGAGTGCATACGTCGTAAAGGAGTTTCTGAGAATGTTTCTGTCTAGTGGTTATGGGAAGATATTTGCTTTTTCCCCGTAGGCCTCAGGGCGCTCCAAATGTCCACTTGCACATACTACAAAAAGAGTGCTTCAAAGCTGCTCTCTGAAACGGAAAGTTCAACTCTATGAGTTGAATGCAAACATCACAAAGACGTTTCTGAGAATGCTTCTGTCTAGATTTGATATGAAGATATTCCCGTTTCCAACGAAATCTTCAAATCTATCCAAATGTCCACTTGCAGATTCTACAAAAAGTGTTTTTCAGAACTGCTCTATCAAAAGAAAGATCCACCTCTGTTAGCTGAGTTCACACATCACAAACAAGTTTATGAGAATGCTTCTGTCTAGTTTTTATTTGAAAATATTTCCTTTCTCACCATAGACCTGAAAGCTGTCCTAATGTTCACTTCCAGATACTACAGAAAGAGTGTTTCAAAACTGCTGTACGAAAGGGAATGTTCAACTCTGTGACTTGAATGCACACATCACAAAGAAGTTTCTGAGGATGCTGCTGTCTACTTTTTATACTTAATCCCGTTTCCAACGAAATCCTCCAAGCTATCCAAATATCCACTTGCAGATTCCACAGAAAGACTGTTTCAAAACTGCTCTGTCAATAGAAAGGTTCAACTCTGTTAGCTGCATGCATATATCCCAAAGAAGATTCTGAGATTGCTTCTGTCTAGTTTTGATGGGAAGATATTTCCCTTTTCACCGTAGGCGTCAAGGCGCTCCAAATGTCCACTTCCAGATACTACAAAAAGAGTGTTTCAAACCTGTTCTATTAAAGGGAATGTTCAATTCTGTGACTTGAATGCAAACATCACCAAGAAGTTTCTCAGAACGCTTCTGTCGAGATTTTATATGAAGATACTCCCGTTTCCAACGAAATCCTGAAATCTATCCAAATATCCCCTCGCAGATTCTACAAAAAGAGTGTTTCAAAACTGCTCTGTAAAAAGAAAGGTTCAACTCTGTTAGTTGAGTACACACATCAGAAACAAGTTTCACAGAATGCTTCTTTCTAGCTTGTAGGGGAAGATATTCCCTTTATCACCATGGGCCTCAAACCGTACGAAACGTCTACTTCCATATACTACAAAAAGAGCGTTTCAAACCTGCTCTATGAAAGGCAATGTTCAACTCTGTGACTTGAATGCAGACATCACAGAGCAGTTTCTGAGAATGCTTCTGTCTAGATTTTATAGGAAGATATTCCCGTTTCCAACGAAATCTTCACAGGTATCCAAATATCCACTTGCAGATTCTACAAAAAGAGTGTATCAAAACTGCTCTGTCAAAAGGAAGGTTCTTCTCTGTTAGGTGAGTGCATACGTCATAAAGGAGTTTCTGAGAAAGTTTCTGTCTAGTGGTTATGGGAAGATATTTGCTTTTTCACCTGAGGCCTCAGAGCACTCCAAATATCCCCTTGCACATACTACAAAAAGAGTGCCTCAAAGCTGCTCTCTGAAACGGAATGTTCAACTCTATGAGTTGAATGCAAACATCACAAAGACGTTTCTGAGAATGCTTCTGTCTAGATTTGATATAAAGATATTCCCGTTTCCAACGAAATCTTCAAATCTATCCAAATGTCCACTTGCAGATTCAACAAAAAGTGTTTTTCCGAACTGCTCTATCAAAAGAAAGATCCACCTCTGTTAGCTGAGTTCACACATCACAAACAAGTTTATGAGAATGCTTCGGTATAGTTTTTATTTGAAGATATTTCCTTTCTCACCATAGACCTGAAAGCTGTCCTAATGTTCACTTCCAGATGCTACAGAAAGAGTGTTTCAAAACTGCTGTACGAAAGGGAATATTCAACTCTGTGACTTGAATGCACACATCACAAAGAAGTTTCTGAGGATGCTGCTGTCTACTTTTTATACGTAATCCCGTTTCCAACGAAATCCTCCAAGCTATCCAAATATCCACTTGCAGATTCCACAGAAAGACTGTTTCAAAACTGCTGTCAATAGAAAGGTTCAACTCTGTTAGCTGCATGCATATATCCCAAAGAAGATTCTGAGATTGCTTCTGTCTACTTTTTATGAGAAGATATTTCCCTTTTCACCGTAGGCGTCAAGGTGCTCAAAATGTCCACTTCCAGATACTACAAAAAGAGTGTTTCAAACCTACTCTGTGAAAGGGAATATTCAACTCTGTGACTTGAATGCACATATCACAAAGAAGCTTCTGAGAATGCTTCTGTCGAGATTTTATATGAAGATATTCTCGTTTCCAACGAAATCCTGAAATCTATCCAAATATCCCCTCACAGATTCTACAAAAAGAGTGTTTCAAAACTGCTCTGTAAAAAGAAAGGTTGAACTCTGTTACTTGAGTACACACATCACAAACAAGTTTCACAGAATGCTTCTTTCTAGCTTGTAGGGGAAGATATTCCCTTTTTCACCATGGGCCTCAAACCGTCTGAAACGTCCACTTCCATATACTACAAAAAGAGCATTTCAAACCTGCTCTGTGAAAGGCAATGTTCAACTCTGTGACTTGAATGCAGACATCACACAGCAGTTTCTGAGAATGCTTCTGTCTAGATTTTATAGGAAGATATTCCGGTTTCCAACGAAATCTTCACAGCTATCCAAATATCCACCTGCAGATACTACAAAAAGAGTGTATCAAAACTGCTCTGTCAAAAGGAAGGTTCTTCTCTGTTAGGTGAGTGCATACGTCATAAAGGAGTTTCTGAAAATGTTTCTGTCTAGTGGTTATGGGAAGATATTTGCTTTTTCACCGTAGGCCTCAGAGCGCTCCAAATATCCAGTTGCACATACTACAAAAAGAGTGCTTCAAAGCTGCTCTCTGAAACGGAATGTTCAACTCTAGGAGTTGAATGCAAACATCACAAAGACGTTTCTGAGAATGCTTCTGTCTAGTATTTGATATGAAGATCTTCCCGTTTCCAACGAAATCTTCAAATCTATCCAAATGTCCACTTGCAGATTCAACAGAAAGTGTTTTTCAGAACTGCTCTATCAAAAGAAAGATCCACCTCTGTTAGCTGAGTTCAGACATCACAAACAAGTTTATGAGAATGCTTCTGTTTAGTTTTTATTTGAAGATATTTCCTTTCTCACCATCGACCTGAAAGCTGTCCTAATGTTCACTTCCAGATACTACAGAAAGAGTGTTTCAAAACTGCTGTACGAAAGGGAATGTTCAACACTGTGACTTGAATGCACACATCACAAAGAAGTTTCTGAGGATGCGGCTGTCTACTTTTTATACCTAATCCCGTTTCCAACGAAATCCTCCAAGCTATCCAAATATCCACTTGCAGATTCCACAGAAAGACTGTTTCAAAACTGCTCTGTCAATAGAAAGGTTCAACTCTGTTAGCTGCGTGCATATATCCCAAAGAAGATTCTGAGATTGCTTCTGTCTAGTTTTTATGGGAAGATATTTCCCTTTTTACCGTAGGTGTCAAGGCGCTCAAAATGTCCACTTCCAGATACTACAAAATGAGTGTTTCAAACCTACTCTGTGAAAGGGAATATTCAACTCTGTGACTTGAATGCAGATATCACAAAGAAGTTTCTGAGAATGCTTCTGTCGATATTTTATATGAAGACATTCCCGTTTCCAACGAAATGCTGAAATGTATCCAAATATCCCCTCGCAGATTCTACAAAAAGAGTGTTTCAAAACTGCTCTGTAAAAAGAAAGGTTCAACTCTGTTAGTTGAGTACACACATCACAAACAAGTTTCACAGAATGCTTCTTTCTATCTTGTAGGGGAAGATATTTCCTTTATCACCATGGTCCTCAAACCGTCCGAATCGTCCACTTCCATATACTAAAAAAAGAGTGTTTGAAACCTGCTCTATGAAAGGCAATGTTCAACTCTGTGACTTGAATGCAGACATCACAGAGCAGTTTCTGAGAATGCTTCTGTCTAGATTTTATAGGAAGATATTCCCGTTTCCAACGAAATCTTCACAGCTATCCAAATATCCACTTGCAGATTCTACAAAAAGAGTGTATGAAAACTGCTCTGTCAAAAGGAAGGTTCTTCTCTGTTAGGTGAGTGCATACGTCATAAAGGAGTTTCTGAGAATGTTTCTGTCTAGTGGTTATGGGAAGATATTTGCTTTTTCACCGTAGGCCTCAGAGCGCTCCAAATATCCACTTGCACATACTACAAAAAGAGTGCTTCAAATCTGCTCTCTGAAACGGAATGTTCAACTCTATGAGTTGAATGCAAACATCACAAAGACGTTTCTGAGAATGCTTCTGTCTAGACTTGATATGAAGATATTCCCGTTTCCAACGAAATCTTCAAATCTATCCAAATGTCCACTTGCAGATTCAACAAAAAGTGTTTTTCAGAACTGCTCTATCAAAAGAAAGATCAACCTCTGTTAGCTGAGTTCACACATCACAAACAAGTTTATGAGAATGCTTCTGTCTAGTTTTTATTTGAAGATATTTCCTTTCTCACCATAGAGCTGAAAGCTGTCCTAATGTTCACTTCCAGTTACTACAGAAAGACTGTTTCAAAACTGCTGTACGAAAGGGAATGTTCAACTCTGTGACTTGAATGCACACATCACAAAGAAGTTTCTGAGGATGCTGCTGTCTACTTTTTATACGTAATCCCGTTTCCAACGAAATCCTCCAAGCTATCCAAATATCCACTTGCAGATTCCACAGAAAGACTGTTTCAAAACTCCTCTGTCCATAGAAAGGTTCAACTCTGTTAGCTGCGTGCATATAACCCAAAGAAGATTCTGAGATTGCTTCTGTCTAGTTTTTATGGGAAGATATTTCCCTTTTCACCGTAGGCGTCAAGGCGCTCCAAATGTCCACTTCCAGATACTACAAAAAGACTGTTTCAAACCTACTCTGTGAAAGGGAATATTCAACTCTGTGACTTGAAAGCACATATCACAAAGAAGTTTCTGAGAATGCTTTTGTCGAGATTTTCTATGAAGATATTCCCATTTCCAACGAAATCCTGAAATGTATCCAAATATCCCCTCGCAGATTCTACAAAAAGAGTGTTTCAAAACTGCTCTGTAAAAAGAAAGGTTCAACTCTGTTAGTTGAGTACAAACATCACAAACAAGTTTCACAGAATGCTTCTTTCTAGCTTATAGGGGAAGATATTCCCTTTATCACCATGGGCCTCAAACCGTCCGAAACGTCCACTTCCATATACTACAAAAAGAGCGTTTCAAACCTGCTCTATGAAAGGCAATGTTCAACTCCGTGACTTCAATGCAGACATCACAGAGCAGTTTCTGAGAATGCTTCTGTCTGGATTTTATAGGAAGATATTCCCGTTTCCAACGAAATCTTCACAGCTATCCAATTATCCACTTGCAGATTCTACAAAAAGAGTGTATCAAAACTGCTCTGTCAAAAGGAAGGTTCTTCTCTGTTAGGTGAGTGCATACGTCATAAAGGAGTTTCTGAGAATGTTTCTGTCTAGTGGTTATGGGAAGATATTTGCTTTTTCACCGTAGGCCTCAGAGCGCTCCAAATATCCACTTGCATATACTACAAAAAGAGTGCTTCAAAGCTGCTCTCTGAAACGGAATGTTCAACTCTATGAGTTGAATGCAAACATCACAAAGACGTTTTCCGAGAATGCTTCTGTCTAGATTTGATATGAAGATCTTCCCGTTTCCAACGAAATCTTCAAATCTATCCAAATGTCCACTTGCAGATTCAACAAAAAGTGTTTTTCAGAACTGCTCTATCAAAAGAAAGATCCACCTCTGTTAGCTGAGTTCAGACATCACAAACAAGTTTATGAGAATGCTTTCTGTCTAGTTTTTATTTGAAGATATATCCTTTCTCACTATAGACCTGAAAACTCTCCTAAAGTTCACTTCCAGATACTACAGAAAGAGTGTTTCAAAACTGCTGTACGAAAGGGAATATTCAACTCTGTGACTTGAATGCACGCATCACAAGGAAGTTTCTGAGGATGCTGCTGTCTACTTTTTATACGTAATCCCGTTTCCAACGAAATCCTCCAAGCTATCCAAATACCACTTGCAGATTCCACAGAAAGACTGTTTCAAAACTGCTCTGTCAATAGAAAGGTTCAACTCTGTTAGCTGCGTGCATATATCCCAAAGAAGATTCTGAGATTGCTTCTGTCTAGTTTTTATGGGAAGATATTTCCCTTTTCACCGTAGGTGTCAAGGCGCTCCAAATGTCCACTTCCAGATACTACAAAAAGAGTGTTTCTAACCTACTCTGTGAAAGGGAATATTCAACTCTGTGACTTGAATGCACATATCACAAAGAAGTTTCTGAGAATGCTTCTGTCGAGATTTTATATGAAGATATTCCCGTTTCCAACGAAATCCTGAAATCTATCCAAATATCGCCTTGCAGATTCTACAAAAAGAGTGTTTCAAAACTGCTCTGTAAAAAGAAAGGTTCAACTCTGTTAGTTGAGTACACACATCACAAACAAGTTTCACAGAATGCTTCTTTCTAGCTCGTAGGGGAAGATATTCCCTTTATCACCATGTGCCTCAAACCGTCCGAAACGTCCACTTCCATATACTACAAAAAGAGCGTTTCAAACCTGCTCCATGAAAGGCAATGTTCAACTCTGTGACTTGAATGCAGACATCATAGAGCAGTTTCTGAGAATGCTTCTGTCTAGATTTTATAGGAAGATATTCCGGTTTCCAACGAAATCTTCACAGCTATCCAAATATCCACTTGCAGATTCTACAAAAAGAGTGTATCAAAACTGCTCTGTCAAAAGGAAGGTTCTTCTCTGTTAGGTGAGTGCATACGTCATAAAGGAGTTTCTGAAAATGTTTCTGTCTAGTGGTTATGGGAAGATACTTGCTTTTTCACCTTAGGCCTCAGAGCGCTCAAAATATCCCCTTGCACATACTACAAAAAGAGCGCTTCAAAGCTGCTCTCTGAAACGGAATGTTCAACTCTATGGGTTGAATGCAAACATCAGAAAGACGTTTCTGAGAATGCTTCTGTCTAGATTTGATATGAAGATATTCCCGTTTCCAACGAAATCTTCAAATGTATCCAAATGTCCACTTGCAGATTCAACAAAAAGTGTTTTTCAGAACTGCTCTATCAAAAGAAAGATCCACCTCTGTTAGCTGAGTTCACACATCACAAACAAGTTTATGAGAATGCTTCTGTCTAGTTTTTATTTGAAGATATTTCCTTTCTCACCATAGAGCTGAAAGCTGTCCTAATGTTCACTTCCAGATACTACAGAAAGAGTGTTTCAAAACTGCTGTACGAAAGGGAATGTTCAACTACTGTGACTTGAATGCACACATCACAAAGAAGTTTCTGAGGATGCTGCTGTCTACTTTTTATACGTAATCCCGTTTCCAACGAAATCCTCCAAGCTATCCAAATATCCACTGGCAGATTCCACAGAAAGACTGTTTCAAAACTGCTCTGTCAATAGAAAGGTTCAACTCTGTTAGCTGCATGCATATATCCCAAAGAAGATTCTGAGATTGCTTCTGTCTAGTTTTTATGGGAAGATATTTCCCTTTTCACCGTAGGCGTCAAGGCGCTCCAAATGTCCACTTCCAGATGCTACAAAAAGAGTGTTTCAAACCTACTCTGTGAAAGGGAATATTCAACTCTGTGACTTGAATGCACATATCACAAAGAAGTTTCTGAGAATGCTTCTGTCGAGTATTTTATATGAAGATATTCCAGTTTCCAACCAAATCCTGAAATCTATCCAAATATCCCCTCGCAGATTCTACAAAAAGAGTGTTTCAAAACTGCTCTGTAAAAAGAAAGGTTCAACTCTGTTAGTTGAGTACACACATCACAAACAAGTTTCACAGAATGCTTCTTTCTAGCTTGTAGGGGAAGATATTCCCTTTATCACCATGGGCCTCAAACCGTCCGAAACGTCTACTTCCATATACTACAAAAAGAGCGTTTCAAACCTGCTCTATGAAAGGCAATGTTCAACTCTGTGACTTGAATGCAGACATCACAGAGCAGTTTCTGACAATGCTTCTGTCTAGATTTTATAGGAAGATATTCCCGTTTCCAACAAAATCTTCACAGCTATCCAAATATCCACTTGCAGATTCTACAAAAAGCGTGTATCAAAACTGCTCTGTCAAAAGGAAGGTTCTTCTCTGTTAGGTGAGTGCATACGTCATAAAGGAGTTTCTGAGAATGTTTCTGTCTAGTGGTTATTCGAAGATATTTGCTTTTTCACCGTAGGCCTCAGAGTGCTCCAAATATCCACTTGCACATACTACAAAAAGAGTGCCTCAAAGCTGCTCTCTGAAACGGAATGTTCAACTCTATGAGTTGAATGCAAACATCACAAAGACGTTTCTGAGAATGCTTCTGTCTAGATTAGATATGAAGATATTCCCGTTTCCAACGAAATCTTCAAATCTATCCAAATGTCCACTTGCAGATTCAACAAAAAGTGTTTTTCCGAACTGCTCTATCAAAAGAAAGATCCGCCTCTGTTAGCTGAGTTCACACATCACAAACAAGTTTATGAGAATGCTTCTGTCTAGTTTTTATTTGAAGATATTTCCTTTCTCACCATAGACCTGAAAGCTGTCCTAATGTTCACTTCCAGTTACTACAGAAAGAGTGTTTCAAAACTGCTGTACGAAAGGAAATGTTCAACTCTGTGACTTGAATGCACACATCACAAAGAAGTTTCTGAGGATGCTGCTGTCTACTTTTTATACTTAATCCCGTTTCCAACGAAATACTCCAAGCTCTCCAAATATCCACTTGCAGATTCCACAGAAAGACTGTTTCAAAACTGCTCTGTCAATAGAAAGGTTCAACTCTGTTAGCTGCGTGCATATATCCCAAAGAAGATTCTGAGATTGCTCTGTCTAGTTTTTATGGGAAGATATTTCCCTTTTCACCGTAGGTGTCAAGGCGCTCCAAATGTCCACTTCCAGATACTACAAAAAGAGTGTTTCAAACCTACTCTGTGAAAGGGAATATTCAACTCTGTGACTTGAATGCAGATATCACAAAGAAGTTTCTGAGAATGCTTTCGGTCGAGATTTTATATGAAGATATTCCCGTTTCCAACGAAATCCTGAAATCTATCCAAATATCCCCTCGCAGATTCTACAAAAAGAGTGTTTCAAAACTGCTCTGTAAAAAGAAAGGTTCAACTCTGTTAGTTGAGTACACACATCACAAACAAGTTTCACAGAATGCTTCTTTCTAGCTTGTAGGGGAAGATATTCCCTTTATCACCATGGGCCTCCAACCGTCCGAAACATCCACTTCCATATACTACAAAAAGAGCGCTTCAAACCTGCTCTATGAAAGGCAATGTTCAACTCTGTGACTTGAATGCAGACATCACAGAGCAGTTTCTGAGAATGCTTCTGTCTAGATTTTATAGGAAGATATTCCCGTTTCCAACGAAATCTTCACAGCTATCCAAATATCCACTTGCAGATTCTACAAAAAGAGTGTATCAAAACTGCTCTGTCAAAAGGAAGGTTCTTTTCTGTTAGGTGAGTGCATACGTCATAAAGGAAGTTTCTGAGAATGTTTCTGTCTAGTGGTTATGGGAAGATATTTGCTTTTTCCCCGTAGGCCTCAGGGCGCTCCAAATGTCCACTTGCACATGCTACAAAAAGAGTGCTTCAAAGCTGGTCTCTGAAAGGGAATGTTCAACTCTATGAGTTAAATGCAAACATCACAAAGACGTTTCTGAGAATGCTTCTGTCTAGATTTGAAATGAAGTTATTCCCGTTTCCAACGAAATCTTCAAATCTATCCAAATGTCCACTTGCAGATTCAACAAAAAGTGTTTTTCAGAACTGCTCTATCAAAAGAAAGATCCACCTCGGTTAGCTGAGTTCACACATCACAAAGAAGTTTATGAGAATGCTTCTGTCTAGTTTTTATTTGAAGATATTTCCTTTCTCAGCATAGACCTGAAAGCTGTCCTAATGTTCACTTCCAGATACTACAGAAAGAGTGTTTCAAAACTGCTGTACGAAAGGGAATGTTCAACTCTGTGACTTGAATGCACACATCACAAAGAAGTTTCTGAGTATGCTGCTGTCTACTTTTTATACATAATCCCGTTTCCAACGAAATCCTCCAAGCTATCCAAATATCCACTTGCAGATTCCACAGAAAGACTGTTTCAAAACTGCTCTGTCAATAGAAAGGTTCAACTCTGTTAGCTGCGTGCATATATCCCAAAGAAGATTCTGAGATTGCTTCTGTCTAGTTTTTATGGGAAGATATTTCCCTTTTCACAGTAGGTGTCAAGGCACTCCAAATGTCCACTTCCAGATACTACAAAAAGAGTGTTTCAAACCTACTCTGTGAAAGGGAATATTCAACTCTGTGACTTGAATGCACATATCACAAAGAAGTTTCTGAGAATGCTTCTGTCGAGATTTTATATGAAGATATTCCCGTTTCCAACGAAATCCTGAAATCTATCCAAATATCCCCTCGCAGATTCTACAAAAAGAGTGTTTCAAAACTGCTCTGTAAAAAGAAAGGTTCAACTCTGTTAGTTGAGTACAAACATCACAAACAAGTTTCACAGAATGCTTCTTTCTAGCTTGTAGGGGAAGATATTCCCTTTATCACCATGGTCCTCAAACCGTTCAAAACGTCCTCTTCCATATACTACAAAAAGAGCGTTTCAAACCTGCTCTATGAAAGGCAATGTTCAACTCTGTGACTTGAATGCAGACATCACAGAGCAGTTTCTGAGAATGCTTCTGTCCAGACTTTATAGGAAGATATTCCCGTTTCCAACGAAATCTTCACAGCTATCCAAATATCCACTTGCAGATACTAGAAAAAGAATGTATCAAAAATGCTCTGTCAAAAGGAAAGTTCTTCTCTGCTAGTTGAGTACATGCGTCATAAAGAAGTTTCTGAGAATGTTCCTGTCTAGTGGTTATGGGAAGATATTTGCTTTTTCCCCGTAGGCCTCAAAGCGCTCCAAATGTCCACTTGCACATACTACAAAAAGAGTGCTTCAAAGCTGCTCTCTGAAAGGGAATGTTCAACTCTATGAGTTGAATGCTAACATCACAACGACGTTTCTGAGAATGCTTCTGTCTAGATTTGATATGAAGATATTCCCGTTTCCAACGAAATCTTCAAATCTATCCAAATGTCCACTTGCAGATTCAACAAAAAGTGTTTTTCAGAACTGCTCTATCAAAAGAAAGTCCCACCTCTGTTAGCTGAGTTCACACATCACAAACAAGTTTATGAGAATGCTTCTGTCTAGTTTTTATTTGAAGATATTTCCTTTCTCACCATAGAGCTGAAAGCTGTCCTAATGTTCACTTCCAGATACTACAGAAAGAGTGTTTCAAAACTGCTGTACGAAAGGGAATGTTCTACTCTGTGACTTGAATGCACACATCACAAAGAAGTTTCGGAGGATGCTGCTGTCTACTTTTTATACGTAATCCCGTTTCCAACGAAATCCTCCAAGCTATCCAAATATCCACTTGCAGATTCCACAGAAAGACTGTTTCAAAACTGCTCTGTCAATAGAAAGATTCAACTCCGTTAGCTGCGTGCATATATCCCAAAGAAGATTCTGAGATTGCTTCTGTCTAGGTTTTATGGGAAGATATTTCCCTTTTCACCGTAGGCGTCAATGCGCTCCAAATGTCCACTTCCAGATACTACAAAAAGAGTGTTTCAAACCTACTCTGTGAAAGGGAATATTCAACTCTGTGACTTGAATGCACATATCACAAAGAAGTTTCTGAGAATGCTTCTGTCGAGATTTTATATGAAGATATTCACGTTTCCAACGAAATCCTGAAATCTATCCAAATATCCCCTCACAGATTCTACAAAAAGAGTGTTTCAAAACTGCTCTGTAAAAAGAAAGGTTCAACTCTGTTAGTTGACTACACACATCACAAACAAGTTTCACAGAATGCTTCTTTCTAGCTTTTAGGGGAAGATATTCCCTTTATCACCATGGGCCTCAAACCGTCCGAAACGTCCACTTCCATATACTACAAAAAGAGCGTTTCAAACCTGCTCTAGGAAAGGCAATGTTCAACTCTGTGACTTGAATGCAGACATCACAGAGCAGTTTCTGAGAATGCTTCTCTCCAGACTTTATAGGAAGATATTCCCGTTTAAAACGAAATCTTCACAGCTATCCAAATATCCACTTGCAGATACTACAAAAAGAGTGTATCAAAAGTGCTCTGTCAAAAGGAAAGTTCTTCTCTGCTAGTTGAGTACATACGTCATAAAGAAGTTTCTGAGAATGTTTCTGTCTAGTGGTTATGGGAAGATATTTGCTTTTTCCCCGTAGGCCTCAGAGCGCTCCAAATATCCAGTTGCACATACTACAAAAAGAGTGCTTCAAAGCTGCTCTCTGAAACGGAATGTTCAACTCTATGAGTTGAATGCAAACATCACAAAGACGTTTCTGAGAATGCTTCTGTCTAGATTTGATATGAAGATATTCCCGTTTCCAACGAAATCTTCAAATCTATCCAAATGTCCACTTGCAGATTCAACAAAAAGTGTTTTTCAGAACTGCTCTATCAAAAGAAAGATCCACCTCTCTTAGCTGAGTTCGCACATCACAAACAAGTTTATGAGAATGCTTCTGTCTAGTTTTTATTTGAAGATATTTCGTTTCTCACCATAGACCTGAAAGCTGTACTAATGTTCACTTCCAGATACTACAGAAAGAGTGTTTCAAAACTGCTGTACGAAAGGGAATGTTCAACTCTGTGACTTGAATGCACACATCACAAAGAAGTTTCTGAGGATGCTGCTGTCTACTTTTTATACGTAATCCCGTTTCCAACGAAATCCTCCAAGCTATCCAAATATCCACTTGCAGATTCCACAGAAAGACTGTTTCAAAACTGCTCTGTCTATAGAAAGGTTCAACTCTGTTAGCTGCGTGCATATATCCCAAAGACGATTCTGAGATTGCTCTGTCTAGTTTTTATGAGAAGATATTTCCCTTTTCACCGTAGGCGTCAAGGCGCTCCAAATGTCCACTTCCAGATACTACAAAAAGAGTGTTTCAAACCTACTCTGTGAAAGGGAATATTCAACTCTGTGACTTGAATGCAGATATCACAAAGAAGTTTCTGAGAATGCTTTCTGTCGAGATTTTATATGAAGATATTCCCGTTTCCAACGAAATCCTGAAATCTATCCAAACTTCCCCTCGCAGATTCTACAAAAAGAGTGTTTCAAAACTGCTCTGTAAAAAGAAAGGTTCAACTCTGTTAGTTGAGTACACACATCACAAACAAGTTTCACAGAATGCTTCTTTCTAGCTCGTAGGGGAAGATATTCCCTTTATCACCATGGGCCTCAAACCGTCCGAAACGTCCACTTCCATATACTACAAAAAGAGCGTTTCAAACCTGCTCCATGAAAGGCAATGTTCAACTCTGTGACTTGAATGCAGACATCATAGAGCAGTTTCTGAGAATGCTTCTGTCTAGATTTTATAGGAAGATATTCCCGTTTCCAAGGAAATCTTCGCAGCTATCCAAATAACCACTTGCAGATTCTACAAAAAGAGTGTATCAAAACTGCACTGTCAAAAGGAAGGTTCTTCTCTGTTAGGTGAGTGCATACGTCATAAAGGAGTTTCTGAGAATGTTTCTGTCTAGTGGTTATGGGAAGATATTTGCTTTTTCACCGTAGGCCTCAGAGCGCTCCAAATATCCACTTGCACATACTACAAAAAGAGTACCTCAAAGCTGCTCTCTGAAACGGAATGTTCAACTCTATGAGTTGAATGCAAACATCACAACGACGTTTCTGAGAATGCTTCTGTCTAGATTTGATATGAAGATATTCCCGTTTCCAACGAAATCTTCAAATCTATCCAAATGTCCACTTGCATAATCAACAAAAAGTGTTTTTCAGAACTGCTCTATCAAAAGAAAGATCCACCTCTGTTAGCTGAGTTCACACATCACAAACAAGTTTATGAGAATGCTTGTGTCTAGTTTTTATTTGAAGATATTTCCTTTCTCACCATAGACCTGAAAGCTGTCCTAATGTTCACTTCCAGATACTACAGAAAGAGTGTTTCAAAACTGCTGTATGAAAGGAAATGTTCAACCCTGTGACTTGAATGCACACATCACAAAGAAGTTTCTGAGGATGCTGCTGTCTACTTTTTATATGTAATCCCGTTTCCAATGAAATCCTCCAAGCTATCCAAATATCCACTTGCAGATTCCACAGAAAGACTGTTTCAAAACTGCTCTGTCAATAGAAAGGTACAACTCTGTTAGCTGCGTGCATATATCCCAAAGAAGATTCTGAGATTGCTTCTGTCTAGTTTTTATGGGAAGATATTTCCCTTTTCACCGCAGGCGTCAAGGTGCTCCAAATGTCCTCTTCCAGATACTACAAAAAGAGTGTTTCAATCCTACTCTGTGAAAGGGAATATTCAACTCTGTGACTTGAATGCAGATATCACAAAGAAGTTTCTGAGAATGCTTCTGTCGAGATTTTATATGAAGATATTCCCGTTTCCAAAGAAATCCTGAAATCTATCCAAATATCCCCTCGCAGATTCTACAAAAAGAGTGTTTCAAAACTGCTCTGTAAAAAGAAAGGTTCAACTCTGTTAGTTGAGTACACACATCACAAACAAGTTTCACAGAATGCTTCTTTCTAGCTTGTAGGGGAAGATATTCCCTTTATCACCATGGGCCTCCAACCGTCCGAAACATCCACTTCCGTATACTACAAAAAGAGCGTTTCAAACCTGCTCTATGAAAGGCAATGTTCAACTCTGTGACTTGAATACAGACATCACAGAGCAGTTTCTGAGAATGCTTCTGTCTAGATTTTATAGGAAGGTATTCCCGTTTCCAACGAAATCTTCACAGCTATCCAAATATCCACTTGCAGATTCTACAAAAAGAGTGTATCAAAACTGCTCTGTCAAAAGGAAGGTTCTTCTCTGTTAGTTGAGTACATACGTCATAAAGTAGTTTCTGAGAATGTTTCTGTCTAGTGGTTATGGGAAGATATTTGCTTTTTCACCTTA
This sequence comes from Homo sapiens, assembly GCF_000001405.40. Lineage (NCBI taxonomy): Eukaryota > Metazoa > Chordata > Mammalia > Primates > Hominidae > Homo > Homo sapiens. Next base: position 17,064,625 of record NC_000014.9, on the reverse strand, counting down.
GGCCTCAGAGCGCTCCAAATATCCCCTTGCACATACTACAAAAAGAGTGCTTCAAAGCTGCTCTCTGAAAGAGAATGTTCAACTCTATGAGTTGAATGCAAACATCAAAAAGACGTTTCTGGGAATGCTTCTGTCTATATTTGATATGAAGATATTCCCGTTTCCAACGAAATCTTCAAATCTATCCAAATGTCCACTTGCAGATTCAACAAAAAGTGTTTTTCAGAACTGCTCTATCAAAAGAAAGATCCACCTCTGTTAGCTGAGTTCACACATCACAAACAAGTTTATGAGAATGCTTCTGTCTAGTTTTTATTTGAAGATATTTCCTTTCTCACCATAGACCTGAAACCTGTCCTAATGTTCACTTCCAGATACTACAGAAAGAGTGTTTCAAAACTGCTGTACGAAAGGGAATGTTCAACTCTGTGACTTGAATGCACACATCACAAGGAAGTTTCTGAGGATGCTGCTGTCTACTTTTTATACGTAATCCCGTTTCCAACGAAATCCTCCAAGCTATCTAAATATCCACTTGCAGATTCCACAGAAAGACTGTTTCAAAACTGCTCTGTCAATAGAAAGGTTCAACTCTGTTAGCTGCGTGCATATATCCCAAAGAAGATTCTGAGATTGCTTCTGTCTAGTTTTTATGGGAAGATATTTCCCTTTTCACCGTAGGCGTCAAGGCGCTCCAAATGTCCACTTCCAGATACTACAAAAAGAGTGTTTCAAACCTACTCCTGTGAAAGGGAATATTCAACTCTGTGACTTGAATGCACATATCACAAAGAAGTTTCTGAGAATGCTTCTGTCGAGATTTTATATGAAGATATTCCCGTTTCCAACGAAATCCTGAAATCTATCTAAATATCCCCTCGCAGATTCTACAAAAAGAGTGTTCCAAAACTGCTCTGTAAAAAGAAAGGTTCAACTCTGTTAGTTGAGTACACACATCACAAACAAGTTTCACAGAATGCTTCTTTCTAGCTTGTAGGGGAAGATATTCCCTTTATCACCATGGGCCTCAAACCGTCTGAAACGTCCACTTCCATATACTACAAAAAGAGCGATTCAAACCTGCTCTATGAAAGGCAATGTTCAACTCTGTGACTTGAATGCAGACATCACAGAGCAGTTTCTGAGAATGCTTTTGTTTAGATTTTATAGAAAGATATTCCCTTTTCCAACGAATTCTTCACAGATATCCAAATATCTACTTGCAGATTCTACAAGAAGAGTGTATCAAAACTGCTCTGTCAAAAGGAAGGTTCTTCTCTGTTAGTTGAGTACATACGTCATAAAGAAGTTTCTGAGAAGGTTTCTGTCTAGTGGTTATGGGAAGATATTTGCTTTTTCACCGTAGGCCTCAAAGTGCTCCTAATGTCCACTTGCACATACTACAAAATGAGTGCTTCAAAGCTGCTCTCTGAAAGGGAATGTTCAACTCTATGAGTTGAATGCAAACATCACAAAGACGTTTCTGAGAATGCTTCTGTCTAGATTTGATATGAAGATATTCCCGTTTCCAACGAAATCTTCAAATCTATCCAAATGTCCACTTGCAGATTCAACAAAACGTGTTTTTCAGAACTGCTCTATCAAAAGAAAGATCCACCTCTGTTAGCTGAGTTCACACATCACAAACAAGTTTATGAAAATGCTTCTGTATAGTTTTTATTTGAAGATATTTCCTTTCTCACCATAGACCTGAAAGCTGTCCTAATGTTCACTTCCAGATACTACAGAAAGAGTGTTTCAAAACTGCTGTACGAAAGGAAATGTTCAACTCTGTGACTTGAATGCACACATCACAAAGAAGTTTCTGAGGATGCTGCTGTCTACTTTTTATACGTAATCCCTTTTCCAACGAAATCCTCCAAGCTATCCAAATATCCACTTGCAGATTCCACAGAAAGACTGTTTCAAAACTGCTCTGTCAATAGAAAGGTTCAACTCTGTTAGCTGCGTGCATATATCCCAAAGAAGATTCTGAGATTGCTTCTGTCTAGTTTTTTAGGGAAGATATTTCCCTTTTCTCCGTAGCAGTCAAGGCGCTCCAAATGTCCACTTCCAGATACTACAAAAAGAGTGTTTCAAACCTACTCTGTGAAAGGGAATATTCAACTCTGTGACTTGAATGCAGATATCACAAAGAAGTTTCTGAGAATGCTTCTGTCGAGATTTTATATAAAGATATTCCCGTTTCCAACGAAATCCTGAAATCTATCCAAATATCCCCTCGCAGATTCTACAAAAAGAGTGTTTCAAAACTGCTCTGTAAAAAGAAAGGTTCAACTACTGTTAGTTGAGTACACACATCACAAACAAGTTTCACAGAATGCTTCTTTCTAGCTTGTAGGGGAAGATATTTCCTTTATCACCATGGTCCTCAAACCGTCCGAATCGTCCACTTCCATATACTAAAAAAAGAGTGTTTGAAACCTGCTCTATGAAAGGCAATGTTCAACTCTGTGACTTGAATGCAGACATCACAGAGCAGTTTCTGAGAATGCTTCTGTCTAGATTTTATAGGAAGATATTCCCGTTTCCAACGAAATCTTCACAGCTATCCAAATATCCACTTGCAGATTCTACAAAAAGAGTGTATCAAAACTGCTCTGTCAAAAGGAAGGTTCTTCTCTGTTAGGTGAGTGCATACGTCATTAAGGAGTTTCTGAGAATGTTTCTGTCTAGTGGTTATGGGAAGATATTTGCTTTTTCACCGTAGGCCTCAGAGCGCTCCAAATATCCACTTGCACATACTACAAAAAGAGTGCTTCAAACCTCCTCTCTGAAACGGAATGTTCAACTCTATGAGTTGAATGCAAACATGACAAAGACGTTTCTGAGAATGCTTCTGTCTAGATTTGATATGAAGATATTCCCGTTTCCAACGAAATCTTCAAATCTATCCAAATGTCCACTTGCAGATTCAACAAAAAGTGTTTTTCAGAACTGCTCTATCAAAAGAAAGATCCACCTCTGTTAGCTGAGTTCACACATCACAAACAAGCTTATGAGAATGCTTCTGTCTAGTTTTTATTTGAAGATATTTCCTTTCTCACCATAGACCGGAAAGCTGTCCTAATGTTCACTTCCAGATACTACAGAAAGAGTGTTTCAAAACTGCTGTACGAAAGGGAATGTTCAACTCTGTGACTTGAATGCACACATCCCAAAGAAGTTTCTGAGGATGCTGCTGTCTACTTTTTATACGTAATCCCGTTTCCAACGAAATCCTCCAAGCTATCCAAATATCCAATTGGAGATTCCACAGAAAGACTGTTTCAAAACTGCTCTGTCAATAGAAAGGTTCAACTCTGTTAACTGCGTGCATATATCCCAAAGAAGATTCTGAGATTGCTTCTGTCTAGTTTTTATGGGAAGATATTTCCGTTTTCACCGTAGGCGTCAAGGCGCTCCAAATGTCCACTTCCAGATACTACAAAAGAGTGTTCCAATCCTACTCTGTGAAAGGGAATATTCAACTCTGTGACTTGAATGCAGATATCACAAAGAAGTTTCTGAGAATGCTTCTGTCGAGATTTTATATGAAGATATTCCCGTTTCCAACGAAATCCTGAAATCTATCCAAATATCCCCTCGCAGATTCTACAAAACGAGTGTTTCAAAACTGCTCTGTAAAAAGAAAGGTTCAACTCTGTTAGTTGAGTACACACATCACAAACAAGTTTCACAGAATGCTTCTTTCTAGCTTGTAGGGGAAGATATTCCCTTTATCACCATGGGCCTCAAACCGTCCGAAACGTCCACTTCCATATAGTACAAAAAGAGCGTTTCAAACCTGCTCCATGAAAGGCAATGTTCAACTCTGTGACTTGAATGCAGACATCACAGAGCAGCTTCTGAGAATGCTTCTGTCTAGATTTTATAGGAAGATATTCCCGTTTCCAACGAAATCTTCACAGCTATCCTAATATCCACTTGCAGATTCTACAAAAAGAGTGTATCAAAACTGCTCTGTCAAAAGGAAGGTTCTTTTCTGTTAGGTGAGTGCATACGTCATAAAGGAGTTTCTGAGAATGTTTCTGTCTTGTGGTTATGGGAAGATATTTGCTTTTTCACCGTAGGCCTCAGAGCGCTCCAAATATCCACTTGCACATACTACAAAAAGAGTGCCTCAAAGCTGCTCTCTGAAACGGAATGTTCAACTCTATGAGTTGAATGCAAACATCGCAAAGACGTTTTCTGAGAATGCTTCTGTCTAGATTTGATATGAAGATATTCCCGTTTCCAACGAAATCTTCAAATCTATCCAAATGTCCACTTGCAGATTCAACAAAAAGTGTTTTTCAGAACTGCTCTATCAAAAGAAAGATCCACCTCTGTTAGCTGAGTTCCCACATCACAAACAGGTTTATGAGAATGCTTCTGTCTAGTTTTTATTTGAAGATATTTCCTTTCTCACCATAGACCTGAAAGCTGTCGTAATGTTCACTTCCAGATACTACAGAAAGAGTGTTTCAAAACTGCTGTACGAAAGGGAATGTTCAACTCCTGTGACTTGAATGCACACATCACAAAGAAGTTTCTGAGGATGCTGCTGTCCACTTTTTATACGTAATCCCGTTTCCAACGAAATCCTCCAAGCTATCCAAATATCCACTTGCAGATTCCACAGAAAGACTGTTTCAAAACTGCTCTGTCAATAGAAAGGTTCAACTCTGTTAGCTGCGTGCATATATCCCAAAGAAGATTCTGAGATTACTTCTGTCTAGTTTTTATGGGAAGATATTTCCCTTTTCACCGTAGGCGTCAAGGCGCTCCAAATGTCCACTTCCAGATACCACAAAGAGTGTTTCAAACCTACTCTGTGAAAGGGAATATTCAACTCTGTGACTTGAATGCAGATATCACAAAGAAGTTTCTGAGAATGCTTCTGTCGAGATTTTATATGAAGATATTCCCGTTTCCAACGAAATCCTAAAATCTATCCAAATATCCCCTCGCAGATTCTACAAAAAGAGTGTTTCAAAACTGCTCTGTAAAAAGAAAGGTTCAACTCTGTTAGTTGAGTACACACATCACAAACAAGTTTCACAGAATGCTTCTTTCTAGCTTGTAGGGGAAGATATTCCCTTTATCACCATGGGCCTCAAACCGTCCGAAACGACTACTTCCATATACTACAAAAAGAGCGTTTCAAACCTGCTCTATGAAAGGCAATGTTCAACTCTGTGACTTGAATGCAGACATCACAGAGCAGTTTCTGAGAATGCTTCTGTCTAGATTTTATAGGAAGATATTCCCGTTTCCAACGAAATCTTCACAGCTATCCAAATATCCACTTGCAGATTCCACAAAAAGAGTGTATCAAAACTGCTCTGTCAAAAGGAAGGTTCTTCTCTGTTAGTTGAGTACATACGTCATAAAGGAGTTTCTGAGAATGTTTCTGTCTAGTGGTTATGGGAAGATATTTGCTTTTACACCGTAGGCCTCAGAGCGCTCCAAATATCCACTTGCACATACTACAAAAAGAGTGCTTCAAAGCTGGTCTCTGAAACGGAATGTTCAACTCTATGAGTTGAATGCAAACATCACAAAGACGTTTCTGAGAATGCTTTCTGTCTAGATTTGATATGAAGGATATTCCCGTTTCCAACGAAATCTTCAAATCTATCCAAATGTCCACTTGCAGATTCAACAAAAAGTGTTTTTCAGAACTGCTCTATCAAAAGAAAGATCCACGTGTGTTAGCTGAGTTCACACATTACGAACAAGTTTATGAGAATGCTTCTGTCTAGTTTTTATTTGAAGATATATCCTTTCTCACTATAGACCTGAAAGCTGTCCTAATGTTCACTTCCAGATACTACAGAAAGAGTGTTTCAAAACTGCTGTACGAAAGGGAATTTTCAACTCTGTGACTTGAATGCACACATCACAAAGTAGTTTCTGAGGATGCTGCTGTCTACTTTTTATACGTAATCCCGTTTCCAACGAAATCCTCCAAGCTATCAAATATCCACTTGCAGATTCCACAGAAAGACTGTTTCAAAACTGCTCTGTCAATAGAAAGGTTCAACTCTGTTAGCTGCGTGCATATATCCCAAAGAAGATTCTGAGATTGCTTCTGTCTAGTTTTTATGGGAAGATATTTCCCTTTTCACCGTAGGCGTCAATGCACTCCAAATGTCCACTTCTAGATACGACAAAAAGAGTGTTTCAAACCTACTCTGTGAAAGGGAATATTCAACTCTGTGACTTGAATGCACATATCACAAAGAAGTTTCTGAGAATGCTTCTGTCGAGATTTTATATGAAGATATTCCCGTTTCCAACGAAATCCTGAAATCTATCCAAATATCCCCTCGCAGATTCTACAAAAAGAGTGTTTCAAAACTGCTCTGTAAAAAGAAAGGATCAACTCTGTTAGTTGAGTACACACATCACAAACAAGTTTCACAGAATGCTTCTTTCTAGCTTGTAGGGGAAGATATTCCCTTTATCACCATGGGCCTCCAACCGTCCGAAACATCCACTTCCATATACTACAAAAAAGCGTTTCAAACCTACTCTATGAAAGGCAATGTTCAACTCTGTGACTTGAATGCAGACATCACAGAGCAGTTTCTGAGAATGCTTCTGTCGAGATTTTATATGAAGATATTCCCGTTTCCAACGAAATCCTGAAATCTCTCCAAATATCCCCTCGCAGATTCTACAAAAAGAGTGTATCAAAACTGCTCTGTCAAAAGGTAGGTTCTTCTCTGTTAGGTGAGTGCATACGTCATAAAGGAGTTTCTGAGAATGTTTCTGTCTAGTGGTTATGGGAAGATATTTGCTTTTTCACCGTAGGCCTCAGGGCGCTCCAAATGTCCACTTGCACATGCTACAAAAAGAGTGCTTCAAAGCTGCTCTCTGAAAGGGAATGTTCAACTCTATGAGTTGAATGCAAACATCACAAAGACGTTTCTGAGAATGCTTCTGTCTAGATTTGATATGAAGATATTCCCGTTTCCAACGAAATCTTCAAATCTATCCAAATGTCCACTTGCAGATTCAACAAAAAGTGTTTTCCCGAACTGCTCTATCAAAAGAAAGATCCGCCTCTGTTAGCTGAGTCCACACATCACAAACAAGTTTATGAGAATGCTTCTGTCTAGTTTTTATTTGAAGATATTTCCTTTCTCACCATAGACCTGAAAGCTGTCCTAATGTTCACTTCCAGATACTACAGAAAGAGTGTTTCAAAACTGCTGTACGAAAGGGAATGTTCAACCCTGTGACTTGAATGCACACATCACAAAGAAGTTTCTGAGGATTCTGCTGTCTACTTTTTATACGTAATCCCGTTTCCAATGAAATCCTCCAATCTATCCAAATATCCACTTGCAGATTCCACAGAAAGACTGTTTCAAATCTGCTCTGTCAACAGAAAGATTCAACTCTGTTAGCTGCGTGCATATATCCCAAAGAAGATTCTGAGATTGCTTCTGTCTAGTTTTTATGGGAAGATATTTCCCTTTTCACCGTAGGTGTCAAGGCGCTCCAAATGTCCACTTCCAGATACTACAAAAAGAGTGTTTCAAACCTACTCTGTGAAAGGGAATATTCAACTCTGTGACTTGAATGCACATATCACAAAGAAGTTTTCTGAGAATGCTTCTGTCGAGATTTTATATGAAGATATTCCCGTTTCCAACGAAATCCTGAAATCTATCCAAATATCCCCTCGCAGATTCTACAAAAAGAGTGTTTCAAAACTGCTCTGTAAAAAGAAAGGTTCAAATCTGTTAGTTGAGTACACACATCACAAACAAGTTTCACACAATGCTTCTTTCTAGACTTGTAGGGGAAGATATTCCCTTTATCACCATGGGCCTCCAACCGTCCGAAACATCCACTTCCATATACTACAAAAAGAGCGTTTCAAACCTGCTCTATGAAAGGCAATGTTCAACTCTGTGACTTGAATGCAGACATCACAGAGCAGTTTCTGAGAATGCTTCTGTCTAGATTTTATAGGAAGATATTCCCGTTTCCAATGAAATCTTCACAGCTATCCAAATATCCACTTGCAGATTCTACAAAAAGAGTGTATCAAAACTGCTCTGTCAAAAGGAAGGTTCTTTTCTGTTAGGTGAGTGCATACGTCATAAAGGAGTTTCTGAGAATGTTTCTGTCTAGTGGTTATGGGAAGATATTTGCTTTTTCACCTTAGGCCTCAGAGAGCTCCAAATATACCCTTGCACATACTACAAAAAGAGAGCTTCAAAGCTGCTCTCTGAAAGGGAATGTTCAACTCTATGAGTTGAATGCAAACATCACAAAGACGTTTCTGAGAATGCTTCTGTCTAGATTTGATATGAAGATATTCCCGTTTCCAACGAAATCTTCATATCTATCCAAATGTCCACTTGCAGATTCAACAAAAAGTGTTTTTCAAAACTGCTCTATCAAAAGAAAGATCCACCTCTGTTAGCTGAGTTCACACATCACAAACAAGTTGATGAGAATGCTTCTGTCTAGTTTTTATTTGAAGATATTTCCTTTCTCACCATAGAGCTGAAAGCTGTCCTAATGTTCACTTCCAGATACTACAGAAAGAGTGTTTCAAAACTGCTGTATGAAAGGGAATGTTCAACTCTGTGACTTGAATGCACACATCACAAAGAAGTTTCTGAGGATGCTGCTGTCTACTTTTTATACGTAATCCCGTTTCCAACGAAATCCTCCAATCTATCAAAATATCCACTTGCAGATTCCACAGAAAGACTGTTTCAAAACTGCTCTGTCAATAGAAAGGTTCAACTCTGTTAGCTGCGTGCATATATCCCAAAGAAGATTCTGAGATTGCTTCTGTCTAGTTTTTATGGGAAAATATTTCCCTTTTCACCGTAGGTGTCAAGGCGCTCCAAATGTCCACTTCCAGATACTACAAAAAGAGTGTTTCAAACCTACTCTGTGAAAGGGAATATTCAACTCTGTGACTTGAATGCAGATATCACAAAGAAGTTTCTGAGAATGCTTCTGTCGAGATTTTCTATGAAGATATTCCCGTTTCCAACGAAATCCTGAAATGTATCCAAATATCCCCTCGCAGATTCTACAGAAAGAGTGTTTCAAAACTGCTCTGTAAAAAGAAAGGTTCAACTCTGTTAGTTGAGTACACACATCACAAACAAGTTTCACAGAATGCTTCTTTCTAGCTTGTAGGGGAAGATATTCCCTTTATCACCATGGGCCTCAAACCGTCCGAAACGTCCACTTCCATATACTACAAAAAGAGCGTTTCAAACCTACTCTATGAAAGGCAATGTTCAACTCTGTGACTTGAATGCAGACATCACAGAGCAGTTTCTGAGAATGCTTCCGTCTAGATTTTATAGGAAGATATTCCCGTTTCCAACGAAATCTTCACAGCTATCCAAATATCCACTTGCAGATTCTACAAAAAGAGTGTATCAAAACTGCTCTGTCAAAAGGAAGGTTCTTCTCTGTTAGTTGAGTACATACGTCATAAAGGAGTTTCTGAGAATGTTTCTGTCTAGTGGTTATGGGAAGATATTTGCTTTTTCACCGTAGGCCTCAGAGCGCTCCAAATATCCCCTTGCACATACTACAAAAAGAGTGCTTCAAAGCTGCTCTCTGAAACGGAATGTTCAACTCTATGAGTTGAATTCAAACATCACAAAGACGTTTCTGAGAATGCTTCTGTCTAGATTTGATATGAAGATATTCCCGTTACCAACGAAATCTTCAAATCTATCCAAATGTCCACTTGCAGATTCAACAAAAAGTGTTTTTCAGAACTGCTCTATCAAAAGAAAGATCCACCTCTGTTAGATGAGTTCACACATCACAAACAAGTTTATGAGAATGCTTCTGTCTAGTTTTTATTTGAAGATATTTCCTTTCTCACCATAGACCTGAAAGCTGTCCTAATGTTTACTTCCAGTTACTACAGAAAGAGTGTTTCAAAACTGCTGTACGAAAGGGAATGTTCAACTCTGTGACTTGAATGCACACATCACAAAGAAGTTTCTGAGGATGCTGCTGTCTACTTTTTATACGTAATCCCGTTTCCAACGAAATCCTCCAAGCTATCCAAATATCCACTTGCAGATTCCACAGAAAGACTGTTTCAAAACTGCTCTGTCAATAGAAAGGTTCAACTCCGTTAGCTGCGTGCATATATCCCAAAGAAGATTCTGAGATTGCTTCTGTCTAGTTTGTATGGGAAGATATTTCCCTTTTCACCGTAGGCGTCAAGGCGCTCCAAATGTCCACTTCCAGATACTACAAAAAGAGTGTTTCAAACCTACTCTGTGAAAGGGAATATTCAACTCTGTGACTTGAATGCACATATCACAAAGAAGTTTCTGAGAATGCTTCTGTCGAGATTTTATATGAAGATATTCCCGTTTCCAACGAAATCCTGAAATGTATCCAAATATCCCCTCGCAGATTCTACAAAAAGAGTGTTTCAAAACTGCTCTGTAAAAAGAAAGGTTCAACTCTGTTAGTTGAGTACACACATCACAAACAATTTTCACACAATGCTTCTTTCTAGCTTGTAGGGGAAGATATTCCCTTTATCACCATGGGCCTCAAACCGTCCGAAACGTCCACTTCCATATACTAAAAAAAGAGCGTTTCAAACCTGCTCTAGGAAAGGCAATGTTCAACTCTGTGACTTGAATGCAGACATCACATAGCAGTTTCTGAGAATGCTTCTGTCTAGATTTTATAAGAAGATATTCCCGTTTCCAACGAAATCTTCACAGCTATCCAAATATCCACTTGCAGATTCTACAAAAAGAGTGTATCAAAACTGCTCTGTCAAAAGGAAGGTTCTTCTCTCTTAGGTGAGTGCATACGTCATAAAGGAGTTTCTGAGAATGTTTCTGTCTAGTGGTTATGGGAAGATATTTGCTTTTTCACCGTAGGCCTCAGAGCGCTCCAAATATCCACTTGCACATACTACAAAAAGAGTGCCTCAAAGCTGCTCTCAGAAACGGAATGTTCAACTCTATGAGTTGAATGCAAACATCGCAAAGACGTTTCTGAGAATGCTTCTGTCTAGATTTGATATGACGATATTCCCGTTTCCAACGAAATCTTCAAATCTATCCAAATGTCCACTTGCAGATTCAACAAAAAGTGTTTTTCAGAACTGCTCTATCAAAAGAAAGATCCACCTCTGTTAGCTGAGTTCACACATCACAAACAAGTTTATGAGAATGCTTCTGTCTAGTTTTTATTTGAAGATATTTCCTTTCTCATCATAGAGCTGAAAGCTGTCCTAATGTTCACTTCCAGATACTACAGAAAGAGTGTTTCAAAACTGTTGTACGAAAGGGAATGTTCAACTCTGTGACTTGAATGCACACATCACAAAGAAGTTTCTGAGGATGCTGCTGTCTACTTTTTATACGTAATCCCGTTTCCAACGAAATCCTCCAGGCTATCCAAATATCCACTTGCAGATTCCACAGAAACACTGTTTGAAATCTGCTCTGTCAATAGAAAAGTTCAACTCTATTAGCTGCGTGCATATATCCCAAAGAAGATTCTGAGATTGCTTCTGTCTAGTTTTTATGGGAAGATATTTCCCTTTTCACCGTAGGCGTCAAGGCGCTCCAAATGTCCACTTCCAGATAGTACAAAAAGAGTGTTTCAAACCTACTCTGTGAAAGGGAATATTCAACTCTGTGACTTGAATGCACATATCACAAAGAAGTTTCTGAGAATGCTTCTGTCGAGATTTTGTATGAAGATATTCCCGTTTCCAACGAAATCCTGAAATCTATCCAAATTTCCCCTCGCAGATTCTACAAAAAGAGTGTTTCAAAACTGCTCTGTGAAAAGAAAGGTTCAACTCTGTTAGTTGAGTACACACATCACAAACAAGTTTCACAGAATGCTTCTTTCTAGCTTGTAGGGGAAGATATTCCCTTTATCACCATGGGCCTCAAACCGTCCGAAAAGTCCACTTCCATATACTACAAAAAGAGCGTTTCAAACCTGCTATATGAAAGGCAATGTTCAACTCTGTGACTTGAATGCAGACATCACAGAGCAGTTTCTGAGAATGCTTCTGTCTAGATTTCATAAGAAGATATTCCCGTTTCCAACGAAATCTTCACAGCTATCCAAATATCCACTTGGAGATTCTACAAAAAGAGTGTATCAAAACTGCTCTGTCAAAAGGAAGGTTCTTCTCTGTTAGGTGAGTGCATACGTCATAAAGGAGTTTCTGAGAATGTATCTGTCTAGTGGTTATGGGAAGATATTTGCTTTTTCACCGTAGGCCTCAGAGCGCTCCAAATACCCACTTGCACATACTACAAAAAGAGTGCCTCAAAGCTGCTCTCTGAAACGGAATGTTCAACTCTATGAGTTGAATGCAAACATCACAAAGACGTTTCTGAGAATGCTTCTGTCTAGATTTGATATGAAGATATTCCCGTTTCCAACGAAATCTTCAAATCTATCCAAATATCCACTTGCATATTCAACAAAAAGTGTTTTTCAGAACTGCTCTATCAAAAGAAAGATCCACCTCTGTTAGCTGAGTTCACACATCACAAAAAGGTTTATGAGAATGCTTCTGTCTAGTTTTTATTTGAAGATATTTCCTTTCTCACCATAGAGCTGAAAGCTGTCCTAATGTTCACTTCCAGATACTACAGAAAGAGTGTTTCAAAACTGCTGTACGAAAGGGAATGTTCAACTCTGTGACTTGAATGCACACATCACAAAGTAGTTTCGGAGGATGCTGCTGTCTACTTTTTATACGTAATCCCGTTTCCAACAAAATCCTCCAAGCTATCCAAATATCCACTTGCAGATTCCACAGAAAGACTGTTTCAAAACTGCTCTGTCAATAGAAAGGTTCAACTCTGTTAGCTGCGTGCATATATCCCAAAGAAGATTCTGAGATTGCTTCTGTCTAGTTTTTATGGGAAGATATTTCCCTTTTCACCGTAGGCATCAAGGCGCTCCAAATGTCCACTTCCAGATACTACAAAAAGAGTGTTTCAAACCTACTCTGTGAAAGGGAATATTCAACTCTGTGACTTGAATGCAGATATCACAAAGAAGTTTCTGAGAATGCTTCTGTCTAGATTTTATAGGAAGATATTCCCGTTTCCAATGAAATCTTCACAGCTATCCAAATATCCACTTGCAGATTCTACAAAAAGAGTGTATCAAAACTGCTCTGTCAAAAGGAAGGTTCTTCTCTGTTAGGTGAGTGCATACTTCATAAAGGAGTTTCTGAGAATGTTTCTTTCTAGCTTGTAGGGTAAGATATTCCCTTTATCACCATGGGCCTCAAGCCGTCCGAAACGTCTACTTCCATATACTACAAAAAGAGCGTTTCAAACCTGCTCTATGAAAGGCAATGTTCAACTCTGTGACTTGAATGCAGACATCACAGAGCAGTTTCTGAGAATGCTTTCTGTCTAGATTTTATAGGAAGATATTCCCGTTTCCAACGAAATCTTCACAGCTATCCAAATATCCACTTGCAGATTCTACAAAAAGAGTGTATCAAAACTGCTCTGTCAAAAGGAAGGTTCTTTTCTGTTAGGTGAGTGCATACGTCATAAAGGAGTTTCTGAGAATGTTTGTCTGTCTAGTGGTTATGGGAAGATATTTGCTTTTTCACCGTAGGCCTCAGGGCGCTCCAAATGTCCACTTGCACATGCTACAAAAAGAGTGCTTCAAAGCTGCTCTCTGAAAGGGAATGTTCAACTCTATGAGTTGAATGCAAACATTACAAAGACGTCTCTGAGAATGCTTCTGTCTAGATTTGATATGAAGATATTCCCGTTTCCAAGGAAATCTTCAAATCTATCCAAATGTCCACTTTCAGATTCAACAAAAAGTGTTTTTCAAAACTGCTGTATCAAAAGAAAGATCCACGTCTGTTAGCTGAGTTCACACATCACAAACAAGTTTATGAGAATGCCTCTGTGTAGTTTTTATTTGAAGATATTTCCTTTCTCACCATAGACCTGAATGCTGTCCTAATGTTCACTTCCAGATACTACAGAAAGAGTTTTTCAAAACTGCTGTACGAAAGGGAATATTCAACTCTGTGACTTGAATGCACACATCACAAAGAAGTTTCTGAGGATGCTGCTGTCTACTTTTTACACGTAGTCCCGTTTCCAAAGAAATCCTCCAAGCTATCCAAATATCCACTTGCAGATTCCACAGAAAGACTGTTTCAAAACTGCTCTGTCAATAGAAAGGTTCAACTGCTGTTAGCTGCGTGCATATATCCCAAAGAAGATTCTGAGATTGCTTCTGTCTAGTTTTTATCGGGAAGATATTTCCCTTTTCACCGTAGGTGTCAAGGTGCTCCAAATGTCCACTTCCAGATACTACAAAAAGAGTGTTTCAAACCTACTCTGTGAAAGGGAATATTCAACTCTGTGACTTGAATGCAGATATCACAAAGAAGTTTCTGAGAATGCTTCTGTCGAGATTTTATATGAAGATATTCCCGTTTCCATCGAAATCCTGAAATCTATCCAAATATCCCCTCGCAGATTCTACAAAAAGAGTGTTTCAAAACTGCTCTGTAAAAAGAAAGGTTCAACTCTGTTAGTTGAGTACACACATCACAAACAAGTTTCACACAATGCTTCTTTCTAGCTTGTAGGGGAAGATATTCCCTTTATCACCATGGGCCTCAAACCGTCCGAAACGTCCACTTCCATATACTACAAAAAGAGTGTTTCAAACCTGCTCTATGAAAGGCAATGTTCAACTCTGTGACTTGAATGCAGACATCACAGAGCAGTTTCTGAGAATGCTTCTGTCTAGATTTTATAGGAAGATATTCCCGTTTCCAACGAAATCTTCACAGGTATCCAAATATCCACTTGCAGATTCTACAAAAAGAGTGTATCAAAACTTCTCTGTCAAAAGGAAGGTTCTTCTCTGTTAGGTGAGTGCATACGTCATAAAGGAGTTTCTGAGAATGTTTCTGTCTAGTGGTTATGGGAAGATATTTGCTTTTTCACCGTTGGCCTCACAGCGCACCAAATATCCACTTGCACATACTACAAAAAGAGTGCCTCAAAGCTGCTCTCTGAAACGGAATGTTCAACTCTATGAGTTGAATGCAAACATCACAAAGACGTTTCTGAGAATGCTTCTGTCTAGATTTGATATGAAGATATTCCCGTTTCCAACGAAATCTTCAAATCTATCCAAATGTCCACTTGCAGATTCAACAAAAAGTGTTTTTCAGAACTGCTCTATCAAAAGAAAGATCCACCTCTGTTAGCTGAGTTCACACATCATAAACAAGTTTATGAGAATGCTTCTGTCTAGTTTTTATTTGAAGATATTTCCTTTCTCACCATAGAGCTGAAAGCTGTCCTAATGTTCACTTCCAGATACTACAGAAAGAGTGTTTCAAAATTGCTGTACGAAAGGGAATGTTCAACTCTGTGACTTGAATGCACACATCACAAAGAAGTTTCTGAGGATGCTGCTGTTTACTTTTTATACGTAATCCCGTTTCCAACGAAATCCTCCAAGCTATCCAAATATCCACTTGCAGATTCCACAGAAAGACTGTTTCAAAACTGCTCTGTCAATAGAAAGGTTCAACTCTGTTAGCTGCGTGCATATATCCCAAAGAAGATTCTGAGATTGCTTCTGTCTAGTTTTTATGGGAAGATATTTCCCTTTTCACCGTAGGCGTCAAGGCACTCCAAATGTCCACTTCCAGATACTACAAAAAGAGTGTTTCAAACCTACTCTGTGAAAGGGAATATTCAACTCTGTGACTTGAAGGCAGATATCACAAAGAAGTTTCTGAGAATGCTTCTGTCGAGATTTTATATGAAGATATTCCCGTTTCCAACGAAATCCTGAAATCTATCCAAATATCCCCTCGCAGATTCTACAAAAAGAGTGTTTCAAAACTGCTCTGTAAAAAGAAAGGTTCAACTCTGTTAGTTGAATACACACATCACAAACAAGTTTCACAGAGTGCTTCTTTCTAGCTTGTAGGGGAAGATATTCCCTTTATCACCATGGTCCTCAAACCGTCCGAAACGTCCTCTTCCATATAGTACAAAAAGAGCGTTTCTAACCTGCTCTATGAAAGTCAATGTTCAACTCTGTGACTTGAATGCAGACATCACAGAGCAGTTTCTGAGAATGCTTCTGTCTAGATTTTATAGGAAGGTATTCCCGTTTCCAACGAAATCTTCACAGCTATCCAAATATCCACTTGCAGATTCTACAAAAAGAGTGTATCAAAACTGCTCTGTCAAAAGGAAGGTTCTTCTCTGTTAGTTGAGTACATACGTCATAAAGGAGTTTGTGAGAATGTTTCTGTCTAGTGGTTATGGGAAGATATTTGCTTTTTCACCGAGGGCCTCAGAGCGCTCCAAATATCCACTTGCACATACTACAAAAAGAGTGCCTCAAAGCTGCTCTCTGAAACGGAATGTTCAACTCTATGAGTTGAATGCAAACATCACAAAGACGTTTCTGAGAATGCTTCTGTCTAGATTTGATATGAAGATATTCCCGTTTCCAAAGAAATCTTCAAATCTGTCCAAATGTCCACTTGCAGATTCAACAAAAAGTGTTTTTCAGAACTGCTCTATCAAAAGAAAGATCCACGTCTCTTAGCTGAGTTCACACATCACAAACAAGTTTATGAGAATGCTTCTGTCTAGTTTTTATTTGAAGATATTTCCTTTCTCACCATAGACCTGAAAGCTGTCCTAATGTTCACTTCCAGATGCTACAGAAAGAGTGTTTCAAAACTGCTGTACGAAAGGGTATGTTCAACTCTGTGACTTGAATGCACACATCACAAAGAAGTTTCTGAGGATGCTGCTGTCTACTTTTTATACGTAATCCCGTTTCCAACGAAATCCTCCAAGCTATCCAAATATCCACTTGCAGATTCCACAGAAAGACTGTTTCAAAACTGCTCTGTCAATAGAAAGGTTCAACTATGTTAGCTGCGTGCATATATCCCAAAGAAGATTCTGAGATTGCTTCTGTCTACTTTTTATGAGAAGATATTTCCCTGTTCACCGTAGGCGTCAAGGCGCTCCAAATGTCCACTTCCAGATACTACAAAAAGAGTGTTTCAAACCTACTCTGTGAAAGGGAATATTCAACTCTGTGACTTGAATGCACATATCACAAAGAAGTTTCAGAGAATGCTTCTGTCGAGATTTTATATGAAGATATTCCCGTTTCCAACGAAATCCTGAAATCTATCCAAATATCCCCTCGCAGATTCTACAAAAAGAGTGTTTCAAAACTGCTCTGTATAAAGAAAGGTTCAACACTGTTAGTTGAGTACACACATCTCAAACAAGTTTCACAGAATGCTTCTTTCTAGCTTGTAGGGGAAGATATTCCCTTTATCACCATGGGCCTCCAACCGTACGAAACATCCACTTCCATATACTACAAAAAGAGCGTTTCAAACCTGCTCTAGGAAAGGCAATGTTCAACTCTGTGACTTGAATGCAGACATCACAGAGCAGTTTCTGAGAATGCTTCTGTCTAGATTTTATACGAATATATTCCCGTTTCCAACGAAATCTTCACAGCTATCCAAATATCCACTTGCAGATTCTACAAAAAGAGTGTATCAAAACTGCTCTGTCAAAAGGAAGGTTCTTTTCTGTTAGGTGAGTGCATACGTCATAAAGGAGTTTCTGAGAATGTTTCTCTCTAGTGGTTATGGGAAGATATTTGCTTTTTCACCGTAGGCCTCAGAGCGCTCCAAATATCCACTTGCACATACTACAAAAAGAGTGCCTCAAAGCTGCTCTCTGAAACGGAATGTTCAACTCTATGAGTTGAATGCAAACATCACAAAGACGTTTCTGAGAATGCTTCTGTCTAGATTTGATATGAAGATATTCCCGTTTCCAACAAAATCTTCAAATCTATCCAAATGTCCACTTGCAGATTCAACAAAAAGTGTTTTTCAGAACTGCTCTATCAAAAGAAAGATCCACCTCTGTTAGCTGAGTTCACACATCACAAACAAGTTTATGAGAATGCTTCTGTCTAGTTTTTATTTGAAGATATTTCCTTTCTCACCATAGACCTGAAAGCTGTCCTAATGTTCACTTCCAGATACTACAGAAAGAGTGTTTCAAAACTGCCGTACGAAAGGGAATGTTCAACTCTGTGACTTGAATGCACACATCACAAAGAAGTTTCTGAGGATGCTGCTGTCTACTTTTTATACGTAATCCCGTTTCCAACGAAATCCTCCAAGCTATCCAAATATCCACTTGCAGATTCCTCAGAAAGACTGTTTCAAAACTGCTCTGTCAATAGAAAGGTTCAACTACTGTTAGCTGCGTGCATATATCCCAAAGAAGATTACTGAGATTGCTTCTGTCTACTTTTTATGAGAAGATATTTCCCTTTTCACCGTAGGCATCAAGGCGCTCCAAATGTCCACTTCCAGATACTACAAAAAGTGTGTTTCAAACCTACTCTGTGAAAGGGAATATTCAACTCTGTGACTTGAATGCACATATCACAAAGAAGCTTCTGAGAATGCTTCTGTCGAGATTTTATATGAAGATATTCCCGTTTCCAACGAAATCCTGAAATGTATCCAAATATCCCCTCGCAGATTCTACAAAAAGAGTGTTTCAAAACTGCTCTGTAAAAAGAAAGGTTCAACTCTGTTAGTTGAGTACACACATCACAAATAAGTTTCACACAATGCTTCTTTCTAGCTTGTAGGGGAAGATATTCCCTTTATCACCATGGGCCTCAAACCGTCTGAAACGTCCACTTCCATATACTACAAAAAGAGCATTTCAAACCTGCTGTATGAAAGGCAATGTTCAACTCTGTGACTTGAATGCAGACATCACAGAGCAGTTTCTGAGAATGCTTCTGTCTAGATTTTATAGGAAGATATTCCCGTTTCCAACGAAATCTTCACAGCTATCCAAATATCCACTTGCAGATTCTACAAAAAGAGTGTATCAAAACTGCTCTGTCAAAAGGACGGTTCTTCTCTGTTAGGTGAGTGCATACGTCATAAAGGAGTTTCTGAGAATGTTTCTGTCTAGTGGTTATGGGAAGATATTTGCTTTTTCACCGTAGGCCTCAGAGCGCTCCAAATATCCACTTGCACATACTACAAAAAGAGTGCTTCACAGCTGCTCTCTGAAAGGGAATATTCAACTCTATGAGTTGAATGCAAACATCACAAAGACGTTTCTGAGAATGCTTCTGTCTAGATTTGATATGAAGATATTCCCGTTTCCAACGAAATCTTCAAATCTTTTCAAATGTCCACTTGCAGATTCAACAAAAAGTGTTTTTCAGAACTGCTCTATCAAAAGAAAGATCCACTTCTGTTAGCTGAGTTCACACATCACAAACAAGTTTATGAGAATGCTTCTGTCTAGTTTTTATTTGAAGATATTTCCTTTCTCACCATAGACCTGAAAGCTGTCTTAATGTTCACTTCCAGATACTACAGAAAGAGTGTTTCAAAACTGCTGTACGAAAGGGAATGTTCAACACTCTGACTTGAATGCACACATCACAAAGAAGTTTCTGAGGATGCTGCTGTCTACTTTTTATACGTAATCCCGTTTCCAACGAAATCCTCCAATCTATCCAAATATCCACTTGCAGATTCCACAGAAAGACTGTTTCAAAACTGCTCTGTCAATAGAAAGGTTCAACTCTGTTAGCTGCGTGCATATATCCCAAAGAAGATTCTGAGATTGCTTATCTGTCTAGTTTTTATGGGAAGATATTTCCCTTTTCACCGTAGGCATCAAGGCGCTCCAAATGTCCACTTCCAGATACTATAAAAAGTGTGTTTCAAACCTACTCTGTGAAAGGGAATATTCAACTCTGTGACTTGAATGCACATATCACAAAGAAGCTTCTGAGAATGCTTCTGTCGAGATTTTAAATGAAGATATTCCCCTTTCCAACGAAATCCTGAAATCTATCCAAATATCCCCTCGCAGATTCTACAAAAAGAGTGTTTCTAAACTGCTCTGTAAAATGAAAGGTTCAACTCTGTTAGTTGAGTACACACATCACAAACAAGTTTCACAGAATGCTTCTTTCTAGCTTGTAGGGGAAGATATTCCCCTTTATCACCATGGGCCTCAAACCGTCCGAAAAGTCCACTTCCATATACTACAAAAAGAGCATTTCAAACCTGCTCTATGAAAGGCAATGTTCAACTCTGTGACTTGAATGCAGACATCACAGAGCAGTTTCTGAGAATGCTTCTGTCTAGATTTTATAGGAAGATATTCCCGTTTCCAACGAAATCTTCACAGCTATCCAAATATGCACTTGCAGATTCTACAAAAAGAGTGTATCAAAACTGCTCTGTCAAAAAGAAGGTTCTTCTCTGTTAGTTGAGTACATACGTCATAAAGGAGTTTCTGAGAATGTTTCTGTCTAGTGGTTATGGGAAGATATTTGCTTTTTCACTGTAGGCCTCAGAGCGCTCCAAATATCCACTTGCACATACTACAAAAAGAGTGCCTCAAAGCTGCTCTCTGAAACGGAATGTTCAACTCTATGAGTTGAATGCAAACATCGCAAAGACGTTTCTGAGAATGCTTCTGTCTAGATTTGATATGAAGATATTCCCGTTTCCAACGAAATCTTCAAATCTATCCAAATGTCCACTTGCAGATTCAACAAAAAGTGTTTTTTAGAACTGCTCTATCAAAAGAAAGATCCACCTCTGTTAGCTGAGTTCACACATCACAAACAAGTTTATGAGAATGCTTCTGTCTAGCTTTTATTTGAAGATATATCCTTTCTCACTATAGACCTGAAAGCTCTCCTAAAGTTCACTTCCAGATACTACAGAAAGAGTGTTTCAAAACTGCTGTACGAAAGGGAATGTTCAACTCTGTGACTTGAATGCACACATCACAAGGATGTTTCTGAGGATGCTGCTGTCTACTTTTTATACGTAATCCCGTTTCCAACGAAATCCTCCAAGCTATCCAAATATCCACTTGCAGATTCCACAGAAAGACTCTTTCAAAAGTGCTCTCTCAATAGAAAGGTTCAACTCTGTTAGCTGCGTGCATATATCCCAAAGAAGATTCTGAGATTGCTTCTGTCTAGTTTTTATGGGAAGATATTTCCCTTTTCACCGTAGGTGTCAAGGCGCTCCAAATGTCCACTTCCAGATACTACAAAAAGAGTGTTTCAAACCTACTCTGTGAAAGGGAATATTCAACTCTGTGACTTGAATGCAGATATCACAAAGTAGTTTCTGAGAATGCTTCTGTCGAGATTTTGTATGAAGATATTCCCGTTTCCAACGAAATCCTGAAATCTATCCAAATTTCCCCTCGCAGATTCTACAAAAAGAGTGTTTCAAAACTGCTCTGTAAAAAGAAAGGTTCAACTCTGTTAGTTGAGTACACACATCACAAACAAGTTTCACAGAATGCTTCTTTCTAGCTTGTAGGGGAAGATATTCCCTTTATCACCATGGGCCTCAAACCGTCCGAAAAGTCCACTTCCATATACTACAAAAAGAGCGTTTCAAACCTGCTCTATGAAAGGCAATGTTCAACTCTGTGACTTGAATGCAGACATCACAGAGCAGTTTGCTGAGAATGCTTCTGTCTAGTATGTTATAGGAAGATATTCCCGTTTCCAACGAAATCTTCACAGGTATCCAAATATCCACTTGCAGATTCTACAAAAAGAGTGTATCAAAACTGCTCTGTCAAAAGGAAGGTTCTTCTCTGTTAGGTGAGTGCATACGTCATAAAGGAGTTTCTGAGAATGTTTCTGTCTAGTGGTTATGGGAAGATATTTGCTTTTTCACCGTAGGCCTCAGAGCGCTCCAAATATCCACTTGCACATACTACAAAAAGAGTGCTTCAAAGCTGGTCTCTGAAAGGGAATGTTCAACTCTATGAGTTGAATGCAAACATCACAAAGACGTTTCTGAGAATGCTTCTGTCTAGATTTGATATGAAGATATTCCCGTTTCCAACGAAATCTTCAAATCTATCCAAATGTCCACTTGCAGATTCAACAAAAAGGGTTTTTCAGAACTGCTCTATCAAAAGAAAGATCCACCTCTGTTAGCTGAGTTCACACATCACAAACAAGTTTATGAGAATGCTTCTGTCTAGTTTTTATTTGAAGATATTTCCTTTCTCACCATAGACCTGAAAGCTGTCTTAATGTTCACTTCCAGATACTACAGAAAGAGTGTTTCAAAACTGCTGTACGAAAGGGAATGTTCAACTCTGTGACTTGAATGCACACATCACAAAGAAGTTTCTGAGGATGCTGCTGTCTACTTTTTATACGTAATCCCGTTTCCAAAGAAATCCTCCAAGCTATCCAAATATCCACTTGCAGATTCCACAGAAAGACTGTTTCAAAACTGCTCTGTCAATAGAAAGGTTCAACTCTGTTAGCTGCGTACATATATCCCAAAGAAGATTCTGAGATTGCTTCTGTCTAGTTTTTATGGGAAGATATTTCCCTTTTCACTGTAGGTGTCAAGGCGCTCCAAATGTCCACTTCCAGATACTACAAAAAGAGTGTTTCAAACCTACTCTGTGAAAGGGAATATTCAACTCTGTGACTTGAATGCACATATCACAAAGAAGTTTCTGAGAATGCTTCTGTCGAGATTTTATATGAAGATATTCCCGTTTCCAACGAAATCCTGAAATCTATCCAAATATCCCCTCGCAGATTCTACAAAAAGAGTGTTTCAAAACTGCTCTGTAAAAAGGAAGGTTCTTCTCTGTTAGGTGAGTGCATACGTCATAAAGGAGTTTCTGAGAATGTTTCTGTCTAGTGGTTATGGGAAGATATTTGCTTTTTCCCCGTAGGCCTCAGGGCCCTCCAAATGTCCACTTGCACATGGTACAAAAAGAGTGCTTCAAAGCTGCTCTCTGAAAGGGAATGTTCAACTCTATGAGTTGAATGCAAACATCGGAAAGACGTTTCTGAGAATGCTTCTGTCTAGATTTTATAGGAAGATATTACCGTTTCCAACGAAATCTTCACAGCTATCCAAATATCCACTTGCAGATTCTACAAAAAGAGTGTATCAAAACTGCTCTGTAAAAAGGAAGGTTCTTCTCTGTTAGGTGAGTGCACACGTCATAAAGGAGTTTCTGAGAATGTTTCTGTCTAGTGGTTATGGGAAGATATTTGCTTTTTCACCGTAGGCCTCAGAGCGCTCCAAATATCCACTTGCACATACTACAAAAAGAGTGCTTCAAAGCTGCTCTCTGAAAGGGAATTTTCAACTCTATGAGTTGAATGCAAACATCACAAAGACGTTTCTGAGAATGCTTCTGTCTAGATTTGATATGAAGATATTCCCGTTTCCAAAGAAATCTTCAAATCTATCCAAATGTCCACTTGCAGATTCAACAAAAAGTGTTTTTCAGAACTGCTCTATCAAAAGAAAGATCCACCTCTGTTAGCTGAGTTCACACATCAGAAACAAGTTTATGAGAATGCTTCTGTCTAGTTTTTATTTGAAGATATTTCCTTTCTCACCATAGACCTGAAAGCTGTCCTAATGTTCACTTCCAGATACTACAGAAAGAGTGTTTCAAAACTGCTGTACGAAAGGGAATGTTCAACACTGTGACTTGAAAGCACACATCACAAAGAAGTTTACTGAGGATGCTGCTGTCTACTTTTTATGCGTAATCCCGTTTCCAACGAAATCCTCCAAGCTATCCAAATATCCACTTGCATATTCCACAGAAAGACTGTTTCAAAACTGCTCTGTCAATAGAAAGGTTCAACTCTGTTAGCTGCGTGCATATATCCCAAAGAAGATTCTGAGATTGCTTCTGTCTACTTTTTATGAGAAGATATTTCCCTTTTCACCGTAGGCGTCGAGGCGCTCCAAATGTCCACTTCCAGATACTACAAAAAGAGTGTTTCAAACCTACTCTGTGAAAGGGAATATTCAACTCTGTGACTTGAATGCACATATCACAAAGAAGTTTCTGAGAATGCTTCTGTTGAGATTTTATATGAAGATATTCCCGTTTCCAACGAAATCCTGAAATCTATCCAAATACCCCCTCACAGATTGTACAAAAAGAGTGTTTCAAAACTGCTCTGTAAAAAGAAAGGTTCAACTCTGTTAGTTGAGTACACACATCACAAACAAGTTTCACAGAATGCTTCTTTCTAGCTTGTAGGGGAAGATATTCCCTTTATCACCATGGGCCTCAAACCGTCCGAAACGTCCACTTCCATATACTAAAAAAGGAGTGTTTCAAACCTGCTCTATGAAAGGCAATGTTCAACTCTGTGACTTGAATGCAGACATCACAGAGCAGTTACTGAGAATGCTTCTGTCTAGATTTTATAGGAAGATATTCCCGTTTCCAACGAAATCTTCACAGCTATCCAAATATCCAATTGCAGATTCTACAAAAAGAGTGTATCAAAACTGCTCTGTCCAAAGGAAGGTTCTTCTCTGTTAGGTGAGTGCATACGTCATAAAGGAGTTTCTGAGAATGTTTCTGTCTAGTGGTTGTGGGAAGATATTTGCTTTTTCACCTTAGGCCTCAGAGGACTCCAAATATCCACTTGCACGTACTACAAAAAGAGTGCTTCAAAGCTGCTCTCTGAAACGGAATGTTCAACTCTATGAGTTGAATGCAAACATCACAAAGACGTTTCTGAGAATGCTTCTGTCTAGATTTGATATGAAGATATTCCCGTTTCCAATGAAATCTTCAAATCTATCCAAATGTCCACTTGCAGATTCAACAAAGTGTTTTTCAGAACTGCTCTATCAAAAGAAAGATCCACCTCTGTTAGCTGAGATCACACTTCACAAACAAGTTTATCAGAATGCTTCTGTCTAGTTTTTATTTGAAAATATATCCTTTCTCACTATAGACCTTAAAGCTCTCCTAAAGTTCACTTCCAGATACTACAGAAAGAGTGTTTCAAAACTGCTGTACGAAAGGGAATGTTCAACTCTGTGACTTGAATGCACACATCACAAGGAAGTTTCTGAGGATGCTGCTGTCTACTTTTTATACTTAATCCCGTTTCCAACGAAATCCTCCAAGCTATCCAAATATCCACTTGCAGATTCCACAGAAAGACTGTTTCAAAACTGCTCTGTCAATAGAAAGGTTCAACTCTGTTAGCTGCGTGCATATATCCCAAAGCAGATTCTGAGATTGCTTCTGTCTAGTTTTTATGGGAAGATATTTCCCTTTTCACCGTAGGCGTCAAGGCGCTCCAAATGTCCACTTCCAGATACTACAAAAAGAGTGTTTCAAACCTACTCTGTGAAAGGGAATATTCAACTCTGTGACTTGAATGCACATATCACAAGGAAGTTTCTGAGAATGGTTCTGTCGAGATTTTGTATGAAGATATTCCCGTTTCCAACGAAATCCTGAAATCTATCCAAATTTCCCCTCGCAGATTCTACAAAAAGAGTGTTTCAAAACTGCTTTGTAAAAAGAAAGGTTCAACTCTGTTAGTTGAGTACACACATCACAAACAAGTTTCACAGAATGCTTCTTTCTAGCTTGTAGGAGAAGATTTTCCCTTTATCACCATGGGCCTCCAACCGTCCGAAACATCCACTTCCATATACTACAAAAAGAGCGTTTCAAACCTGCTCTATGAAAGGCAATGTTCAACTCTGTGACTTGAATGCAGACATCACAGAGCAGTTTCTGAGAATGCTTCTGTCTACATTTTATAGGAAGATATTCCCGTTTCCAACGAAATCTTCACAGGTATCCAAATATCCACTTGCAGATTCTACAAAAAGAGTGTATCAAAACTGCTCTGTCAAAAGGAAGGTTCTTCTCTGTTAGGTGAGTGCATACGTCATAAAGGAGTTTCTGAGAATGTTTCTGTCTAGTGGTTATGGGAAGATATTTGCTTTTTCACCGTAGGCCTCAGAGCGCTCCAAATATCTACTTGCACATACTACAAAAAGAGTGCCTCAAAGCTGCTCTCTGAAACGGAATGTTCAACTCTATGAGTTGAATGCCAACATCACAAAGACGTTTCTGAGAATGCTTCTGTCTAGATTTGATATGAAGATATTCCCGTTTCCAACGAAATCTTCAAATCTATCCAAATGTCCACTTGCAGATTCAACAAAAAGTGTTTTTCAGAACTGCTCTATCAAAAGAAAGATCCACCTCTGTTAGCTGAGTTCACACCTCACAAACAAGTTTATGAGAATGCTTCTGTCTAGTTTTTATTTGAAGATATTTCCTTTCTCACCATAGAGCTGAAAGCTGTCCTAATGTTCACTTCCAGATACTACAGAAAGAGTGTTTCAAAACTGCTGTATGAAAGGGAATGTTCAACTCTTTGACTTGAATGCACACATCACAAAGAAGTTTCTGAGGATGCTGCTGTCTACTTTTTATACGTAATCCCGTTTCTAACGAAATCCTCCAAGCTATCCAAATATCCACTTGCAGATTCCACAGAAAGACTGTTTCAAAACTGCTCTGTCAATAGAAAGGTTCAACTCTGTTAGCTGCGTGCATATATCCCAAAGAAGATTCTGAGATTGCTTCTGTCTAGTTTTTATGGGAAGATATTTCCCTTTTCACCGTAGGTGTCAAGGCACTCCAAATGTCCACTTCCAGATACTCCAAAAAGAGTGTTTCAAACCTACTCTCTGAAAGGGAATATTCAACTCTGTGACTTGAATGCAGATATCACAATGAAGTTTCTGAGAATGCTTCTGTCGAGATTTTATATGAAGATATTCCCGTTTCCAACGGAATCCTGAAATCTATCCAAATATCCCCTCGCAGATTCTACAAAAAGAGTGTTTCAAAACTGCTCTGTAAAAAGAAAGTTTCAACTCTGTTAGTTGAGTACACACATCACAAACAAGTTTCACAGAATGCTTCTTTCTAGCTTGTAGGGGAAGATATTCCCTTTATCACCATGGGCCTCAAACCGTCCGAAACCTCCAGTTACATATACTACAAAAAGAGCGTTTCAAACCTGCTCTATGAAAGGCAATGTTCAACTCTGTGACTTGAATGCAGACATCACAGAGCTGTTTCTGAGAATGCTTCTGTCTAGATTTTATAGGAAGATATTCCCGTTTCCAACGAAATCTTCACAGCTATCCAAATATCCATTTGCAGATTCTACAAAAAGAGTGTATCAAAACTGCTCTGTCAAAAGGAAGGTTCTTCTCTGTTAGTTGAGTACATACGTCATAAAGGAGTTTCTGAGAATGTTTCTGTCTAGTGGTTATGGGAAGATATTTGCTTTTTCCCCGTAGGCCTCAGGGCGCTCCAAATGTCCACTTGCACATGCTACAAAAAGAGTGCTTCAAAGCTGCTCTCTGAAAGGGAATGTTCAACTCTATGAGTTGAATGCAAACATCACAAAGACGTCTCTGAGAATGCTTCTGTCTAGATTTGATATGAAGATATTCCCGTTTCCAAAGAAATCTTCAAATCTATCCAAATGTCCACTTGCAGATTCATCAAAAAGTGTTTTTCAGAACTGCTCTATCAAAAGAAAGATCCACCTCTGTTAGCTGAGTTCACACATCACAAACAAGTTTATGAGAATGCTTCTGTCTAGTTTTTATTTGAAGATATTTCCTTTCTCACCATAGACCTGAAAGCTGTCCTAAAGTTCACTTCCAGATACTACAGAAAGAGCGTTTCAAAACTGCTGTATGAAAGGGAATGTTCAACCTTGTGACTTGAATGCACACATCACAAAGAAGTTTCTGAGGATGCTGCTGTCTACTTTTTATACGTAATCCCGTTTCCAACGAAATCCTCCAAGCTATCCAAATATCCACTTGCAGATTCCACAGAAAGACTGTTTCAAAACTGCTCTGTCAATAGAAAGGTTCAACTCTGTTAGCTGCGTACATATATCCCAAAGAAGATTCTGAGATTGTTTCTGTCTAGTTTTTATGGGAAGATATTTCCCTTTTCACCGTAGGCAGTCAAGGCGCTCCAAATGTCCACTT
Source organism: Homo sapiens (assembly GCF_000001405.40). Classification (NCBI taxonomy): domain Eukaryota; kingdom Metazoa; phylum Chordata; class Mammalia; order Primates; family Hominidae; genus Homo; species Homo sapiens. The sequence goes on along the minus strand of NC_000014.9, from coordinate 17,036,622 downwards.
CCAGATACTACAAAAAGAGTGTTTCAAACCTACTCTGTGAAAGGGAATATTCAACTCTGTGACTTGAATGCACATATCACAAAGAAGTTTCTGAGAATGCTTCTGTCGAGATTTTGTATGAAGATATTCCCGTTTCCAACGAAATCCTGAAATCTATCCAAATTTCCCCTCGCAGATTCTACAAAAAGAGTGTTTCAAAACTGCTCTGTAAAAAGAAAGGTTCAACACTGTTAGTTGAGTACACACATCACAAACAAGTTTCACAGAATGCTTCTTTCTAGCTTGTAGGGGAAGATATTCCCTTTATCACCATGGTCCTCAAACCGTTCGAAACGTCCTGTTCCATATAGTACAAAAAGAGCCTTTCAAACCTGCTCTATGAAAGGCAATGTTCAACTCTGTGACTTGAATGCAGACATCACAGAGCAGTTTCTGAGAATGCTTCTGTCTAGATTTTATAGGAAGATATTCCCGTTTCCAACGAAATCTTCACAGCTATCCAAATATCCACTTGCAGATTCTACAAAAAGAGTGTATCAAAACTGCTCTTTCAAAAGGAAGGTTCTTCTCTGTTAGTTGAGTACATACGTCATAAAGGAGTTTCTGAGAATGTTTCTGTCTAGTGGTTATGGGAAGATATTTGCTTTTTCATCTTAGGCCTCAGAGCGCTCCAAATATCCACTTGCACATACTACAAAAAGAGTGCTTCAAAGCTGCTCTCTGAAACGGAATGTTCAACTCTATGAGTTGAATGCAAACATGACAAAGACGTTTCCGAGAATGCTTCTGTCTAGATTTGATATGAAGATATTCCCGTTTCCAACGAAATCTTCAAATCTATCCAAATGTCCACTTGCAGATTCAACAAAAAGTGTTTTTCAGAACTGCTCTTTCAAAAGAAAGATTCACCTCTGTTAGCTGAGTTCACACATCACAAACAAGTTTATGAGAATGCTTCTGTCTAGTTTTTATTTGAAGATATTTCCTTTCTCACCATAGACCTGAAAGATGTCCTAATGTTCACTTAGAGATACTACAGAAAGAGTGTTTCAAAACGGCTGTACGAAAGGGAATGTTCAACACTGTGACATGAATGCACACATCACAAAGAAGTTTCTGAGGATGCTGCTGTCTACTTTTTATACGTAATCCCGTTTCCAACGAAATCCTCCAATCTATCCAAATATCCACTTGCAGATTCCACAGAAGGACTGTTTCAAAACTGCTCTGTCAATAGAAAGGTTAAACTCTGTTAGCTGCGTGCATATATCCCAAAGAAGATTCTGAGATTGCTTCTGTCTACTTTTTATGAGAAGATATTTCCCTTTTCACCGTAGGCGTCAATGTGCTCCAAATGTCCACTTCCAGATACTACAAAAAGAGTGTCTCAAACCTACTCTGTGAAAGGGAATATTCAACTCTGTGACTTGAATGCACATATCACAAAGAAGCTTCTGAGAATGCTTCTGTCGAGATTTTATATGAAGATATACCCGTTTCCAATGAAATCCTGAAATCTATCCAAATATCCCCTCGCAGATTCTAGAAAAAGAGTGTTTCAAAACTGCTCTGTGAAAAGAAAGGTTCAACTCTGTTAGTTGAGTACACACATCACAAACAAGTTTCACAGAATGCTTCTTTCTAGCTTGTAGGGGAAGATATTCCCTTTATCACCATGGGCCTCCAACCGTCCGAAACATCCACTTCCATATACTACAAAAAGAGCGTTTCAAACCTGCTCTATGAAAGGCAATGTTGAACTCTGTGTCTTGAATGCAGACATCACAGAGCAGTTTCTGAGAATGCTTCTGTCTAGATTTTATAGGAAGATATTCCCGTTTCCAACGAAATCTTCACAGCTATCCAAATATCCAGTTGCAGATTCTACAAAAAGAGTGTATCAAAACTGCTCTGTCAAAAGGAAGGTTCTTCTCTGTTAGGTGAGTGCATACGTCATAAAGGAGTTTCTGAGAATGTTTCTGTCTAGTGGTTATGGGAAGATATTTGCTTTTTCCCCGTAGGCCTCAGGGCGCTACAAATGTCCACTTGCACATGCTACAAAAAGAGTGCTTCAAAGCTGCTCTCTGAAAGGGAATGTTCAACTCTATGAGTTGAATGCAAACATCACAAAGACGTTTCTGAGAATGCTTCTGTCTAGATTTTATACGAAGATATTCCCGTTTCCAACGAAATCTTCAAATCTATCCAAATATCCACTTTCAGATTCTACAAAAAGTGTTTTTCAAAACTACTATATCAAAAGAAATATCCACCTCTGTTAGCTGAGTTCACACATCACAAACAATTTTATGAGAATGCTTCTGTCTAGTTTTTATTTGAAGATATTTCCTTTCTCACCATAGAGCTGAAAGCTGTCCTAATGTTCACTTCCAGATACTACAGAAAGAGTGTTTCAAAACTGCTGTACGAAAGGGAATGTTCAACTCTGTGACTTGAATGCACACATCACAAAGAAGTTTCTGAGGTGCTGCTGTCTACTTTTTATACGTAATCCCGTTTCCAACGAAATCCTCCAAGCTATCCAAATATCCACTTGCAGATTCCACAGAAAGACTGTTTCAAAACTGCTCTGTCAATAGAAAGGTTCAACTCTGTTAGCTGCGTGCATATATCCCAAAGAATATTCTGAGATTGCTTCTGTCTACTTTTTATGAGAAGATATTTCCGTTTTCACCGTAGGCGTCAAGGCGCTCCAAATGTCCACTTCCAGATACTACAAAAAGAGTGTTTCAAACCTACTCTGTGAAAGGGAATATTCAACTCTGTGACTTGAATGCACATATCACAAAGAAGCTTCTTAGAATGCTTCTGTCGAGATTTTATATGAAGATATTCCCGTTTACAACGAAATCCTGAAATCTATCGAAATATCCCCTCGCAGATTCTACAAAAAGAGTGTTTCAAAACTGCTCTGTAAAAAGAAAGGTTCAACTCTGTTAGTTGAGTACACACATCACAAACAAGTTTCACAGAATGCTTCTTTCTAGCTTGTAGGGGAAGATATTCCCTTTATCACCATGGGCCTCAAACCGTCCGAAACGTCCACTTCCCTATACTACAAAAAGAGGGTTTCAAACCTGCTCTAGGAAAGGCAATGTTCAACTCTGTGACTTGAATGCAGACATCACAGAGCAGTTTCTGAGAATGCTTCTGTCTAGATTTTATAGGAAGATATTCCCGTTTCCAACGAAATCTTCACAGCTATCCAAATATCCACTTGCAGATTCTACAAAAAGAGTGTATCAAAACTTCTCTGTCAAAAGGAAGGTTCTTCTCTGTTAGGTGAGTGCATACGTCATAAAGGAGTTTCTGAGAATGTTTCTGTCTAGTGGTTATGGGAAGATATTTGCTTTTTCCCCGTAGGCCTCAGAGCGCTCAAAATATCTACTTGCACATACTACAAAAAGAGTGCTTCAAAGCTGCTCTCTGAAAGGGAATGTTCATCTCCATGAGTTTAATTGAAACATCACAAAGACGTTTCTGAGAATGCTTCTGTCTAGATTTGATATGAAGATATTCCCGTTTCCAACGAAATCTTCAAATCTATCCAAATGTCCACTTGCAGATTCAACAAAAAGTGTTTTTCAGAACTGCTCTATCAAAAGAAAGATCCACCTCTGTTAGCTGAGTTGACACATCACAAACAAGTTTATGAGAATGCTTCTGTCTAGTTTTTATTTGAAGATATATCCTTTCTCACTATAGACCTGAAAGCTCTCCTAAAGTTCACTTCCAGATACTACAGAAAGAGTGTTTCAAAACTGCTGTACGAAAGGGAATGTTCAACTCTGTGACTTGAATGCACACATCACAAAGAAGTTTCTGAGGATGCTGCTGTCTACTTTTTATACGTAATCCCGTTTCCAACGAAATCCTCCAAGCTATCCAAATATCCACTTGCAGATTCCACAGAAAGACTGTTTCAAAACTGCTCTGGCAATAGAAAGGTTCAACTCTGTTAGCTGCGTGCATATATCCCAAAGAAGATTCTGAGATTGCTTCTGTCTAGTTTTTATGGGAAGATATTTCCCTTTTCACCGTAGGTGTCAAGGCGCTCCAAATGGCCACTTCCAGATACTACAAAAAGAGTGTTTCAAACCTACTCTGTGAAAGGGAATATTCAACTCTGTGACTTGAATGCACATATCACAAAGAAGTTTCTGAGAATGCTTCTGTCGAGATTTTCTATGAAGATATTCCCGTTTCCAACGAAATCCTGAAATCTATCCAAATATCCCCTCGCAGATTCTACAAAAAGAGTGTTTCAAAACTGCTCTGTAAAAAGAAAGGTTCAACTCCGTTAGTTGAGTACACACATCACAAACAAGTTTCACAGAATGCTTCTTTCTATCTTGTAGGGGAAGATATTCCCTTTATCACCATGGGCCTCCAACCGTCCGAAACATCCACTTCCATATACTACAAAAAGAGCGTTTCAAACCGGCTCTATGAAAGGCAATGTTCAACTCTGTGACTTGAATGCAGACATCACAGAGCAGTTTCTGCGAATGCTTCTGTCTAGATATTATAGGAGGATATTCCCGTTTCCAACGAAATCTTCACAGCTATCCAAATATCCACTTGGAGATTCTACAAAAAGAGTGTATCAAAACTGCTCTGTCAAAAGGAAGGTTCTTCTCTGTTAGGTGAGTGCATACGTCATAAAGGAGTTTCTGAGAATGTTTCTGTCTAGTGGTTATGGGAAGATATTTCCTTTTTCACCTTAGGCCTCAGAGCGCTCCAAATATCCCCTTGCACATACTACAAAAAGAGTGCTTCAAAGCTGCTCTCTGAAACGGAATGTTCAACTCTATGAGTTGAATGCAAACATCACAAAGACGTTTCTGAGAATGCTTCTGTCTAGATTTGATATGAAGATATTCCCGTTTCCAACGAAATCTTCAAATCTATCCAAATGTCCACTTGCATAATCAACAAAAAGTGTTTTTCACAACTGCTCTATCAAAAGAAAGATCCACCTCTGTTAGCTGAGTTCACACATCACAAACAAGTATATGAGAATGCTTCTGTCTAGTTTTTATTTGAAGATATTTCCTTTCTCACCATAGAGCTGAAAGCTGTCCTAATGTTCACTTCCAGGTACTACAGAAAGAGTGTTTCAAAACTGCTGTACGAAAGGGAATGTTCAACTCTGTGACTTGAATGCACACATCACAAAGAAGTTTCTGAGGATGCTGCTGTCTACTTTTTATACGTAATCCCGTTTCCAACGAAATCCTCCAAGCTATCCAAATATCCACTTGCAGATTCCACAGAAAGACTGTTTCAAAACTTGCTCTGTCAATAGAAACGTTCAACTCTGTTAGCTGCGTGCATATATCCCAAAGAAGATTCTGAGATTGCTTCTGTCTAGTTTTTATTGGTAGATATTTCCCTTTTCACCGTAGGCGTCAAGGCGCTCCAAATGTCCACTTCCAGATACTACAAAAAGAGTGTTTCAAACCTACTCTGTGAAAGGGAATATTCAACTCTGTGACTTCAATGCACATATCACAAGGAAGTTTCTGAGAATGCTTCTGTCGAGATTTTATATGAAGATATTCCCGTTTCCAACGAAATCCTGAAATCTATCCAAATATCCCCTCGCAGATTCTTCAAAAAGAGTGTTTCAATACTGCTCTGTAAAAAGAAAGGTTCAACTCTGTTAGTTGAGTACACACATCACAAACAAGTTTCACAGAATGCTTCTTTCTAGCTTGTAGGGAAAGATATTCCCTTTATCACCATGGGCCTCAAACCGTCCGAAACGTCCACTTCCATATACTACAAAAAGAGCGTTTCAAACCTGCTCTATGAAAGGCAATGTTCAACTCTGTGACTTCAATGTAGACATCACAGAGCAGTTTCTGAGAATGCTTCTGTCTAGATTTTATAGGAAGATATTCCCGTTTCCAACGAAATCTTCACAGCTATCCAAATATCCACTTGCAGATTCTACAAAAAGAGTGTATCAAAACTGCTCTGTCAAAAGGAAGGTTCTCCTCTGTTAGGTGAGTGCATACGTCGTAAAGGAGTTTCTGAGAATGTTTCTGTCTAGTGGTTATGGGAAGATATTTGCTTTTTCACCGTAGGCCTCAGAGCCCTCCAAATATCCACTTGCACATACTACAAAAAGAGTGCTTCAAACCTGCTCTCTGAAACGGAATGTTCAACTCTATGAGTTGAATGCAAACATCACAAAGACGTTTCTGAGAATGCTTCTGTCTAGATTTGATATGGAAGATATTCCCGTTTCCAACGAAATCTTCAAATCTATCCAACTGTCCTCTTGCAGATTCAACAAAAAGTGTTTTTCAGAACTGCTCTATCAAAAGAAAGATCCACGTGTGTTAGCTGAGTTCACACATCACGAACAAGTTTATGAGAATGCTTCTGTCTAGTTTTTATTTGAAGATATTTCCTTTCTCACCATAGAGCTGAAAGCTGTCCTAATGTTCACTTCCAGATACTACAGAAAGAGTGTTTCAAAACTGCAGTACGAAAGGGAATGTTCAACTCTGTGACTTGAATGCACACATCACAAAGAAGTTTCTGAGGATGCTGCTGTCTACTTTTTATACTTAATCCCGTTTCCAACGAAGTCCTCCAAGCTATCCAAATATCCACTTGCAGATTCCACAGAAAGACTGTTTCAAAACTACTCTGTCAATAGAAAGGTTCAACTCTGTTAGCTGCGTGCATATATCCCAAAGAAGATTCTGAGATTGCTTCTGTCTACTTTTTATGAGAAGATATTTCCCTTTTCACCGTAGGCGTCAAGGCGCTCCAAATGTTCACTTCCAGATACTACAAAAAGAGTGTTTCAAACCTACTGTGTAAAAGGGAATATTCAACTCTGTGACTTGAATGCACATATCACAAAGAAGTTTCTGAGAATGCTTCTGTCGAGATTTTATATGAAGATATTCCCCTTTCCAACGAAATCCTGAAATCTATCCAAATATCCCCTCGCAGATTCTACAAAAAGAGTGTTTCAAAACTGCTCTGTAAAAAGAAAGGTTCAAGTCTGTTAGTTGAGTACACACATCACAAACAAGTTTCACAGAATGCTTCTGTCTAGTTTTTATGTGAGGGTACTACCTTTTTCACCATAGGCCTCGAAGCAGTCCAAGTGTCCACTTCCATCTACTACAAAATGAGTGTTTCAGAACTGCTGTATGAAAGGGAATGTTCAACTCTGTGAGTTAAATGCAAACAACACAAAGAAGTTTCAGAGAATGCTTCTGCCTAGTTTTTATGTGAAGATATTCCCGTTTCCAACAAAATCCTCAAAGCTAGCCAAATATCCACTTGCAGACTCTACAAAAAGAATGTTTGAAAACTGCTCTATCAAAAGAAAAGTTCAACTCTGTTAGTTGAGTAAACACATCACAAACAAGTTTCACAGAATGCTTCTGTCTATTGGTTATGGGAAGATATTTGCTTTTTCACCTTAGGACTCAGAGCGCTCCAAATATCCCCTTGCACATACTACAAAAAGAGTGCTTCAAAGCTGCTCTCTGAAACGGAATGTTCAACTCTATGAGTTGAATGCAAACATCACAAAGACGTTTCTGAGAAAGCTTCTGTCTAGATTTGATATGAAGATATTCCCGTTTCCAAAGAAATCTTCAAATCTATCCAAATGTCCACTTGCAGATTCAACAAAAAGTGTTTTTCAGAACTGCTCTATCAAAAGAAAGATCCACGTCTCTTAGCTGAGTTCACAGATCACAAACAAGTTTATGAGAATGCTTCTGTCTAGTTTTTATTTGAAGATATATCCTTTCTCACTATAGACCTGAAAGCTCTCCTAAAGTTCACTTCCAGATACTACAGAAAGAGTGTTTGAAAACTGCTGTACGAAAGGGAATGTTCAACTCTGTGACTTGAATGCACACATCACAAGGATGTTTCTGAGGATGCTGCTGTCTACTTTTTATACTTAATCCCGTTTCCAACGAAATCCTCCAAGCTATCCAAATATCCACTTGCAGATTCCACAGAAAGACTGTTTCAAAACTGCTCTGCCAATAGAAAGGTTCAACTCTGTTAGCTGCATGCATATATCCCAAAGAAGATTCTGAGATTGCTTCTGTCTAGTTTTTATGGGAAGATATTTCCCTTTTCACCGTAGGCGTCAAGGCGCTCCAAATGTCCACTTCCAGATACTACAAAAAGAGTGTTTCAAACCTACTCAGTGAAAGGGAATATTCAACTCTGTGACTTGAAGGCAGATATCACAAAGAAGTTTCTGAGAATGCTTCTGTCGAGATTTTGTATGAAGATATTCCCGTTTCCAACGAAATCCTGAAATCTATCCAAATATCCCCTCGCAGATTCTACAAAAAGAGTGTTTCAAAACTGCTCTGTGAAAAGAAAGGTTCAACTCTCTTAGTTGAGTACACACATCACAAACAAGTTTCACAGAATGCTTCTTTCTAGCTTGTAGGGGAAGATATTCCCTTTATCACCATGGGCCTCAAACCGTCCGAAACGTCCACTTCCATATACTACAAAAAGAGCGTTTCAAACCTGCTCTAGGAAAGGCAATGTTCAACTCTGTGACTTGAATGCAGACATCACAGAGCAGTTTATGAGAATGCTTCTGTCTAGATTTTATAGGAAGATATTCCCGTTTCCAACGAAATCTTCACAGCTATCCAAATATCCACTTGCAGATTCTACAAAAAGAGTGTATCAAAGCTGCTCTGTCAAAAGGAAGGTTCTTCTCTGTTAGGTGAGTGCATGCGTCATAAAGCAGTTTCTGAGAATGTTTCTGTCTAGTGGTTATGGGAAGATATTTGCTTTTTCACCGTAGGCCTCAGAGCGCTCCAAATATCCACTTGCACATACTACAAAAAGTGTGCCTCAAAGCTGCTCTCTGAAACGGAATGTTCAACTCTATGAGTTGAATGCAAACATCACAAAGACGTTTCTGAGAATGCTTCTGTCTAGATTGATATGAAGATATTCCCGTTTCCAACGAAATCTTCAAATCTATCCAAATGTCCACTTGCAGATTCAACAAAAAGTGTTTTTCAGAACTGCTCTATCAAAAGAAAGATCCACCTCTGTTAGCTGAGTTCACACATCACAAACAAGTTTATGAGAATGCTTCTGTCTAGTTTTTATTTGAAGATATTTCCTTTCTCACCATAGAGCTGAAAGCTGTCCTAATGTTCACTTCTAGATACTACAGAAAGAGTGTTTCAAAACTGCTGTACGAAAGGGAATGTTCAACTCTGTGACTTGAATGCACACATCACAAAGAAGTTTCTGAGGATGCTGCTGTCTACTTTTTATACGTAATCCCGTTTCCAACGAAATCCTCCAAGCTATCCAAATATCCACTTGCAGATTCCACAGAAAGACTGTTTCAAAACTGCTCTGTCAATAGAAAGGTTCAACTCTGCTAGCTGCGTGCATATATCCCAAAGAAGATTCTGAGATTGCTTCTGTCTAGTTTTTATGGGAAGATATTTCCCTTTTCACCGTAGGCGTCAAGGCGCTCCAAATGTCCACTTCCAGATACTACAAACAGAGTGTTTCAAACCTACTCTGTGAAAGGGAATATTCAACTCTGTGACTTGAATGCACATATCACAAAGAAGTTTCTGAGAATGCTTCTGTCGAGATTTTATATGAAGATATTCCCGTTCCCAACGAAATCCTGAAATCTATCCAAATATCCCCTCGCAGATTCTACAAAAAGAGTGTTTCAAAACTGCTCTGTAAAAAGAAAGGTTCAACACTGTTAGTTGAGTACACACATCACAAACAAGTTTCACAGAATGCTTCTTTCTAGCTTGTAGGGGAAGATATTCCCTTTATCACCATGGGCCTCAAGCCGTCCGAAACGTCTACTTCCATATACTACAAAAAGAGCGTTTCAAACCTGCTCTATGAAAGGCAATGTTCAACTCTGTGACTTGAATGCAGACATCACAGAGCAGTTTCTGAGAATGCTTCTGTCTAGATTTTATAGGAAGATATTCCAGTTTCCAACGAAATCTTCACAGCTATCCAAATATGCACTTGCAGATTCTACAAAAAGAGTGTATCAAAACTGCTCTGTCAAAAGGAAGGTTCTTCTCTGTTAGTTGAGTACATACGTCATAAAGGAGTTTCTGAGAATGTTTCTGTCTAGTGGTTATGGGAAGATATTTGCTTTTTCACCGTAGGCCTCAGAGCACTCCAAATATCCACTTGCAGATACTACAAAAAGAGTGCTTCAAAGCTGCTCTCTGAAACGGAATGTTCAACTCTATGAGTTGAATGCAAACATCACAAAGACGTTTCTGAGAATGCTTCTCTCTAGATTTGATATGAAGATATTCAAGTTTCCAACGAAATCTTCAAATCTATCCAAATGTCCACTTGCAGATTCAACCAAAAGTGTTTTTCAGAACTGCTCTATCAAAAGAAAGATCCACCTCTGTTAGCTGAGTTCACACATCACAAACAAGTTTATGAGAATGCTTCTGTCTAGTTTTTATTTGAAGATATTTCCTTTCTCACCATAGACCTGAAAGCTGTCCTAATGTTCACTTCCAGATACTACAGAAAGAGTGTTTCAAAACTGCTGTACGAAAAGGAATGTTCAACTCTGTGACTTGAATGCACACATCACAAAGAAGTTTCTGAGGATGCTGCCGTCTACTTTTTATACGTAATCCCGTTTCCAACGAAATCCTCCAAGCTATCCAAATATCCACTTGCAGATTCTACAAAAAGAGTGTTTCAAAACTGCTCTGTAAAAAGAAAGGTTCAACTCTGTTAGCTATGTGCATATATCCCAAAGAAAATTCTGAGATTGCTTCTGTCTAGTTTTTATGGGAAGATATTTCCCTTTTCACTGTAGGCGTCAAGGCGCTCCAAATGTCCACTTCCAGATACTACAAAAAGAGTGTTTCAAACCTACTCTGTGAAAGGGAATATTCAACTCTGTGACTTGAATGCAGGATATCACAAAGAAGTTTCTGAGAATGCTTCTGTCGAGATTTTATATGAATTTATTCCCGTTTCCAACGAAATGCTGAAATGTATCCAAATATCCCCTCGCAGATTCTACAAAAAGAGTGTTTCAAAACTGCTCTGTAAAAAGAAAGGTTCAACTCTGTTAGTTGAGTACACACATCACAAACAAGTTTCACAGAATGCTTCTTTCTAGCTTGTAGGGGAAGATATTCCCTTTATCACCATGGGCCTCAAACCGTCCGAAACGTCCACTTTTATATACTACAAAAAGAGCGTTTCAAACCTGCTCTATGAAAGTCAATGTTCAACTCTGTGACTTGAATGCAGACATCACAGAGCAGTTTCTGAGAATGCTTCTGTCTAGATTTTATAGGAAGATATTCCCGTTTCCAACGAAATCTTCACAGCTATCCAAATATCCACTTGCAGATTCTACAAAAAGTGTGTATCAAAACTGCTCTGTCAAAAGGAAGGTTCTTCTCTGTTAGGTGAGTGCATACGTCATAAAGGAGTTTCTGAGAATGTTTCTGTCTAGTGGTTATGGGAAGATATTTGCTTTTTCACCGTAGGCCTCAGAGCGCTCCAAATATCCACTTGCACATACTACAAAAAGAGTGCTTCAAAGCTGCTCTCTGAAACGGAATGTTTAACTCTATGAGTTGAATGCAAACATCGCAAAGACGTTTCTGAGAATGCTTCTGTCTAGATTTGATATGAAGATATTCCCGTTTCCAACGAAATCTTCAAATCTATCCAAATGTCCACTTGCAGATTCAACAAAAAGTGTTTTTCAGAACTGCTCTATCAAAAGAAAGATCCACCTCTGTTAGCTGACTTCACACATCACAAACAAGTTTATGAGAATGCTTCTGTCTAGTTTTTATTTGAAGATATTTCCTTTCTCACCAAAGACCTGAAAGCTGTCCTAATGTTCACTTCCAGATACTACAGAAAGAGTGTTTCAAAACTGCTGTACGAAAGGGAATGTTCAACTCTGTGACTTGAATGCACACATCACAAAGAATTTTCTGAGGATGCTGCTGTCTACTTTTTATGCGTAATCCCGTTTCCAACGAAATCCTCCAAGCTATCCAAATATCCACTTGCAGATTCCACAGAAAGACTGTTTCAAAACTGCTCTGTCAATAGAAAGGTTCAACTCTGTTAGCTGCGTGCATATATCCCAAAGAAGATTCTGAGATGGCTTCCGTCTAGTTTTTATGGGAAGATATTTCCCTTTTCACCGTAGGCGTCAAGGCGCTCCAAATGTCCACTTCCAGATACCACAAAAAGAGTGTTTCAAACCTACTCTGTGGAAGGGAATATTCAACTCTGTGACTTGAATGCAGATATCACAAAGAAGTTTCTGAGAATGCTTCTGTCCAGATTTTATATAAAGATATTCCGGTTTCCAACAAAATCCTGAAATCTATCCAAATATCCCCTCGCAGATTCTACAAAAAGAGTGTTTCAAAACTGCTCTGTAAAAAGAAAGGTTCAACTCTGTTAGTTGAGTACACACATCACAAACAAGTTTCACAGAATGCTTCTTTCTAGCTTGTAGGGGAAGATATTCCCTTTATCACCATGGGCCTCAAACCGTCCGAAACGTCTACTTCCATATACTACAAAAAGACCGTTTCAAACCTGCTCTATGAAAAGCAATGTTCAACTCTGTGACTTGAATGCAGACATCACAGAGCAGTTTCTGAGAATGCTTCTGTCTAGATTTTATAGGAAGATATTCCCGTTTCCAACGAAATCTTCACAGCTATCCCAATATCCACTTGCAGATTCTACAAAAAGAGTGTATCAAAACTGCTCTGTCAAAAGGAAGGTTCTTCTCTGTTGGGTGAGTGCATACGTCAGAAAGGAGTTTCTGAGAATGTTTCTGTCTAGTGGTTATGGGAAGATATTTGCTTTTTCACCGTAGGCCTCAGAGCGCTCCAAATATCCACTTGCACATACTACAAAGAGTGCCTCAAAGCTGCTCTCTGAAACGGAATGTTCAACTCTATGAGTTGAATGCAAACATCGCAAAGACGTTTCTGAGAATGCTTCTGTCTAGATTTGATATGAAGATATTCCCGTTTCCAACGAAATCTTCAAATCTATCCAAATGTCCACTTGCAGATTCAACAAAAAGTGTTTTTCAGAACTGCTCTATCAAAAGAAAGATCCACCTCTGTTAGCTGAGTTCACACATCACAAACAAGTTTATGAGAATGTTTCTGTCTAGTTTTTATTTGAAGATATTTCCTTTCTCACCATAGAGCTGAAAGCTGTCCTAATGGTTCACTTCCAGATACTACAGAAAGAGTGTTTCAAAACTGCTGTACGAAAGGGAATGTTCAACTCTGTGACTTGAATGCACACATCACAAAGAAGTTTCTGAGGATGCTGCTGTCTACTTTTTATACAGTAATCCCGTTTCCAACGAAATCCTCCAAGCTATCCAAATATCCCCTTGCAGATTCCACAGAAAGACTGTTTCAAAACTGCTCTGTCAATAGAAAGGTTCAACTCTATTAGCTGCGTACATATATCCCAAAGAAGATTCTGAGATTGCTTCTGTCTAGTTTTTATGGGAAGATATTTCCCTTTTCACTTTAGGTGTCAAGGCGCTCCAAATGTCCACTTCCAGATACTACAAAAAGAGTGTTTCAAACCTACTCTGTGAAAGGGAATATTCAACTCTGTGACTTGAATGCAGATAGCACAAAGAAGTTTCTGAGAATGCTTCTGTCGAGATTTTATATGAAGATATTCCCGTTTCCAACGAAATCCTGAAGTCTATCCAAATATCCCCTCGCAGATTCTACAAAAAGAGTGTTTCAAAACTGCTCTGTAAAAAGAAAGGTTCAACTCTGTTAGTTGAGTACACACATCACAAACAAGTTTCACAGAATGCTTCTTTCTAGCTTGTAGGGGAAGATATTCCCTTTATCACCATTGGCCTCAAACCGTCCGAAACGTCCACTTCCATATACTACAAAAAGAGCGTTTCAAACCTGCTCTATGAAAGGCAATGTTCAACTCTGTGACTTGAATGCAGACATCACAGAGCAGTTTCTGAGAATGCTTCTGTCTAGATTTTATAGGAAGATATTCCCGTTTCCAACGAAATCTTCACAGCTATCCAAATATCCACTTGCAGATTCTACAAAAAGAGTGTATCAAAACTGCTCTGTCAAAAGGAAGGTTCTCCTCTGTTAGGTGAGTGCATACGTCATAAAGGAGTTTCTGAGAATGTTTCTGTCTAGTGGTTATGGGAAGATATTTGCTTTTTCACCGTAGGCCTCAGAGCGCTCCAAATATCCACTTGCACATACTACAAAAAGAGTGCCTCAAAGCTGCTCTCTGAATCGGAATGTTCAACTCTATGAGTTGAATGCAAACATCACAACGACGGTTTCTGAGAATGCTTCTGTCTAGATTTGATATGAAGATATTCCCGTTTCCAACGAAATCTTCTAATCTATCCAAATGTGCACTTGCAGATTCAACAAAAAGTGTTTTTCAGAACTGCTCTATCAAAAGAAAGATCCACCTCTGTTAGCTGAGTTCACACATCACAAACAAGTTTATGAGAATGCTTCTGTCTAGTTTTTATTTGAAGATATTTCCTTTCTCACCATAGACCTGAAAGCTGTCCTAATGTCCACTTCCAGATACTACAGAAAGAGTGTTTCAAAACTGCTGTACGAAAGGGAATGTTCAACTCTGTGACTTGAATGCACACATCACAAAGAAGTTTCTGAGGATGCTGCTGTCTACTTTTTATACGTAATGACGTTTCCAACGAAATCCTCCAAGCTAACCAAATATCCACTTGCAGATTCCACAGAAAGACTGTTTCAAAACTGCTCTGTCAATAGAAAGGTTCAACTCTGTTAGCTGCGTGCATATATCCCAAAGAAGATTCTGAGATTGCTTCTGTCTAGTTTTAATGGGAAGATATTTCCCTTTTCACCGTAGGTGTCAAGGCGCTCCAAATGTCCACTTCCAGATACTACAAAAAGAGTGTTTCAAACCTACTCTCTGAAAGGGAATATTCAACTCTGTGACTTGAATGCAGATATCACAATGAAGTTTCTGAGAATGCTTCTGTCGAGATTTTATATGAAGATATTCCCGTTTCCAACGAAATCCTGAAATGTATCCAAATATCCCCTCGCAGATTCTACAAAAAGAGTGTTTCAAAACTGCTCTGTAAAAAGAAAGGTTCAACTCTGTTAGTTGAGTGCAAACATCACAAACAAGTTTCACAGAATGCTTCTTTCTAGCTTGTAGGGGAAGATATTCCCTTTATCACCATGGGCCTCAAACCGTCCGATAAGTCCACTTCCATATCCTACAAAAAGAGCGTTTCAAACCTGCTCTATGAAAGGCAATGTTCAACTCTGTGACTTGAATGCAGACATCACAGAGCAGTTTCTGACAATGCTTCTGTCTAGATTTTATAGGAAGATATGCCCGTTTCCAACGAAATCTTCACAGCTATCCAAATATCCACTTGCAGATTCTACAAAAAGAGTGTATCAAAACTGCTCTGTCAAAAGGAAGGTTCTTCTCTGTTAGGTGAGTGCATACGTCATAAAGGAGTTTCTGAGAATGTTTCTGTCTAGTTGTTATGGGAAGATATTTGCTTTTTCCCTGTAGGCCTCAAAGCGCTCCAAATGTCCACTTGAACATACTACAAAAAGAGTGCTTCAAAGCTGCTCTCTGAAAGGGAATGTTCAACTCTATGAGTTCAATGCAAACATCACAAAGACGTTTCTGAGAATGCTTCTGTCTAGATTTGTTATGAAGATATACCCGTTTCCAACGAAATCTTCAAATCTATCCAAATGTCCACTTGCAGATTCAACAAAGTGTTTTTCAAAACTGCTGTATCAAAAGAAAGATCCACCTGTGTTAGCTGAGTTCACACTTCACAAACAAGTTTATGAGAATGCTTCTGTCTAGTTTTTATTTGAAGATATTTCCTTTCTCACCATAGACCTGAAAGCTGTCCTAATGTTCACTTCCAGATACTACAGAAAGAGTGTTTCAAAACTGCTGTACGAAAGGGAATGTTCAACTCTGTGACTTCAGTGCACACATCACAAAGAAGTTTCTGAGGATGCTGCTGTCTACTTTTTATACGTAATCCCGTTTCCAACGAAATCCTCCAAGTTATCCAAATATCCACTTGCAGATTCCACAGAAAGACTGTTTCAAAACTGCTCTGTCAATAGAAAGGTTCAACTCTGTTAGCTGCGTGCATATATCCCAAAGAAGATTCTGAGATTGCTTCTGTCTAGTTTTTATGGGAAGATATTTCCCTTTTCACCGTAGGCGTCAAGGCGCTCCAAATGTCCACTTCCAGATACTACAAAAAGAGTCTTTCAAACCTACTCTGTGGAAGGGAATATTCAACTCTGTGACTTGAATGCAGATATCACAAAGAAGTTTCTGAGAATGCTTCTGTCGAGATTTTGTATGAAGATATTCCCGTTTCCAACGAAATCCTGAAATCTATCCAAATATCCCCTCGCAGATTCTACAAAAAGAGTGTTTCAAAACTGCTCTGTGAAAAGAAAGGTTCAACTCTGTTAGTTGAGTACACACATCACAAACAAGTTTCACAGAATGCTTCTTTCTAGCTTGTAGGGGAAGATATTCCCTTTATCACCATGGGCCTCCAACCGACCGAAACATCCACTTCCATATACTACAAAAAGAGCGTTTCAAACCTGCTCTATGAAAGGCAATGTTCAACTCTGTGACTTGAATGCAGACATCACAGAGCAGTTTCTGAGAATGCTTCTGTCTAGATTTTATAGGAAGATATTCCCGTTTCCAACGAAATCTTCACAGCTATCCAAATATCCACTTGCAGATTCTACAAAAAGAGTGTATCAAATCTGCTCTGTCAAAAGGAAGGTTCTTCTCTGTTAGGTGAGTGCATACGTCATAAAGGAGTTTCTGAGAATGTTTCTGTCTAGTGGTTATGGGAAGATATTTGCTTTTTCCCCGTAGGCCTCAGAGCGCTCCAAATATCCACTTGCACATACTACAAAAAGAGTGCTTCAAAGCTGTTCTCTGAAACGGAATGTTCAACTCTATGAGTTGAATGCAAACATCACAAAGACGTTTCTGAGAATGCTTCTGTCTAGATTTGATATGAAGATATTCCCGTTTCCAACGAAATCTTCAAATCTATCCAAATGTCCACTTGCAGATTCAACAAAAAGTGTTTTTCAGAACTGCTCTATCAAAAGAAAGATCCACCTCTGTTAGCTGAGATCACACTTCACAAACAAGTTTATCAGAATGCTTCTGTCTAGTTTTTATTTGAAGATATTTCCTTTCTGACCATAGCCCTGAAAGCTGTCCTAATGTTCACTTCCAGATACTACAGAAAGAGTGTTTCAAAACTGCTGTACGAAAGGGAATGTTCAACTCTGTGACTTGAATGCACACATCACAAAGAAGTTTCTGAGGATGCTGCTGTCTACTTTTTATACGTAATCCCGTTTCCAACGAAATCCTCCAATCTATCCAAATATCCACTTGCAGATTCCACAGAAAGACTGTTTCAAAACTGCTCTGTCAATAGAAAGGTTCAACTCTGTTAGCTGCGTGCATATATCCCAAAGAAGATTCTGAGATTGCTTCTGTCTAGTTTTTATGAGAAGATATTTCCCTTTTCACCGTAGGCGTCAAAGCGCTCCAAATGTCCACTTCCAGATACTACAAAAAGAGTGTTTCAAACCTACTCTGTAAAAGGGAATATTCAACTCCTGTGACTTGAATGCACATATCACAATGAAGTTTCTGAGAATGCTTCTGTCGAGATTTTGTATGAAGATATTCCCGTTTCCAACGAAATCCTGAAATCTATCCAAATTTCCCCTCGCAGATTCTACAAAAAGAGTGTTTCAAAACTGCTCTGTGAAAAGAAAGGTTCAACTCTGTTAGTTGAGTACACACATCACAAACGAGTTTCACAGAATGCTTCTTTCTAGCTGGTAGGGGACGATATTCCCTTTATCACCATGGGCCTCAAACCGTCCGAAACGTCCACTTCCATATACTACAAAAAGAGCGTTTCAAACCTGCTCTATGAAAGGCAATGTTCAACTCTGTGACTTGAATGCAGACATCACAGAGCAGTTTCTGAGAATGCTTTTGTCCAGACTTTATAGGAAGATATTCCCGTTTCCAACGAAATCTTCACAGCTATCCAAATATCCACTTGCAGATACTACAAAAAGTGTGTATCCAAAGTGCTCTGTCAAAAGGAAAGTTCTTCTCTGCTACTTGAGTACATACGTCATAAAGAAGTTTCTGAGAATGTTTCTGTCTAGTGGTTATGGGAAGATATTTGCTTTTTCACCGTAGGCCTCAGAGCGCTCCAAATATCCACTTGCACATACTACAAAAAGAGTCTTTCAAAGCTGCTCTCTGAAAGGGAATGTTCAACTCTATGAGTTGAATGCAAACATGACAAAGACGTTTCTGAGAATGCTTCTGTCTAGATTTGATATGAACATATTCCCGTTTCCAACGAAATCTTCAAATCTATCCAAATGTCCACTTGCAGATTCAACAAAAAGTGTTTTTCAAAACTGCTGTATCAAAAGAAAGATCCACGTCTGTTAGCTGAGTTCACACATCACAAACAAGTTTATGAGAATGCTTCTGTCTAGTTTTTATTTGAAGATATTTCCTTTCTCACCATAGACCTGAAAGCTGTCCTAATGTTCACTTCCAGTTACTACAGAAAGAGTGTTTCAAAACTGCTGTACGAAAGGGAATGTTCAACTCGGTGACTTGAATGCACACATCACAAAGAAGTTTCTGAGGATGCTGCTGTCTACTTTTTATACTTAATCCCGTTTCCAACGAAATCCTCCAAGCTATCCAAATATCCACTTGCAGATTCCACAGAAAGACTGTTTCAATACTGCTCTGTCAATAGAAAGGTTCAACTCTGTTAGCTGCGTGCATATATCCCAAAGAAGATTCTGAGATTGCTTCTGTCTAGTTTTTATGGGAAGATATTTCCCTTTTCAACGTAGGCGTCAAGGCGCTCCAAATGTCCTCTTCCAGATACTACAAAAAGAGTGTTTCAAACCTACTCTGTGAAAGGGAATATTCAACTCTGTGACTTGAATGCACATATCACAAAGAAGTTTCTGAGAATGCTTCTGTCGCGATTTTATATGAAGATATTCCCGTTTCCAACGAAATCCTGAAATCTATCCAAATATCCGCTCGCAGATTCTACAAAAAGAGTGTTTCAAAACTGCTCTGTGAAAAGAAAGGTTCAACTCTGTTAGTTGAGTACACACATCACAAACAAGTTTCACAGAATGCTTCTTTCTAGCTTGTAGGGGAAGATATTTCCTTTATCACCATGGGCCTCAAACCGTCCGAAACGTGCACTTCCATATACTACAAAAAGAGCGTTTCAAACCTGCTCTATGAAAGGCAATGTTCAACTCTGTGACTTGAATGCAGACATCACAGAGCAGTTTCTGAGAATGCTTCTGCCTAGACTTTATAGGAAGACATTCCCGTTTCCAACGAAATCTTTACAGCTATCCAAATATCCACTTGCAGATACTACAAAAAGAGTGTATCAAAAATGCTCTGTCAAATTGAATGTTCTTCTCTGCTAGTTGAGTACATACGTCATAAAGAAGTTTCTGAGAATGTTTCTGTCTAGTGGTTATGGGAAGATATTTGCTTTTTCACCTTAGGCCTCAGAGCGCTCCATATATCCCCTTGCACATACTACAAAAAGAGTGCTTCAAAGCTGCTCTCTGAAAGGGAATGTTCAACTCTATGAGTTGAATGCAAACATGACAAAAGACGTTTCTGAGAATGCTTCTGTCTAGATTTGATATGAAGATATTCCCGTTTCCAACGAAATCTTCAAATCTATCCAAATGTCCTCTTGCAGATTCAACAAAAAGTGTTTTTCAGAACTGCTCTATCAAAAGAAACATCCACGTGTGTTAGCTGAGTTCACACATCACGAACAAGTTTATGAGAATGCTTCTGTCTAGTTTTTATTTGAAGATATTTCCTTTCTCACCATAGAGCTGAAAGCTGTCCTAATGTTCACTTCCAGATACTACAGAAAGAGTGTTTCAAAACTGCTGTACGAAAGGGAATGTTCAACTCTGTGACTTTAATGCACACATCACAAAGAAGTTTCTGAGGATGCTGCTGTCTACTTTTTATACGTAATCCCGTTTCCAACGAAATCCTCCAAGCTATCCAAATATCCACTTGCAGATTCCACAGAAAGACTGTTTCAAAACTGCTCTGTCAATAGAAAGGTTCAACTCTTTTAGCTGCGTGCATATATCCCAAAGAAGATTACTGAGATTGCTTCTGTCTAGTTTTCATGGGAAGATATTTCCCTTTTCACCGTAGGCGTCAAGGCGCTCCAAATGTCCACTTCCAGATACTACAAAAAGAGTGTTTCAAACCTACTCTGTGAAAGGGAATATTCAACTCTGTGACTTGAAGGCAGATATCACAAAGAAGTTTCTGAGAATGCTTCTGTCGAGATTTTATATGAAGATATTCCCGTTTCCAACGAAATCCTGAAATCTATCCAAATATCCCCTCGCAGATTCTACAAAAGAGTGTTTCAAAACTGCTCTGTAAAAAGAAAGGTTCAACTCTGTTAGTTGAGTACACACTTCACAAACAAGTTTCACAGAATGCTTCTTTCTAGCTTGTAGGGGAAGATATTCCCTTTATCACCATGGGCCTCAAACCGTCCGAAACGTCTACTTCCATATACTACAAAAAGAGAGTTTCAAACCTGCTCTATGAAAGGCAATGTTCAACTCTGTGACTTGAATGCAGACATCACAGAGCAGTTTCTGAGAATGCTTCTGTCTAGATTTTATAGGAAGATATTCCCGTTTCCAACGAAATCTTCACAGCTATCCAAATATCCACTTGCAGATTCTGCAAAAAGAGTGTATCAAAACTGCTCAGTCAAAAGGAAGGTTCTTCTCTGTTAGGTGAGTGCATACGTCATAACGGAGTTTCTGAGAATGTTTCTGTCTAGTGGTTATGGGAAGATATTTGCTTTTTCACCTTAGGCCTCAGAGCGCTCCATATATCCCCTTGCACATACTACAAAAAGAGTGCTTCAAAGCTGCTCTCTGAAACGGAATGTTGAACTCTATGAGTTGAATGCAAACATCACAAAGACGTTTCTGAGAATGCTTCTGTCTAGATTTGATATGAAGATATTCCCGTTTCCAACGAAATCTTCATATCTATCCAAATGTCCACTTGCAGATTCAACAAAAAGTGTTTTTCAAAACTGCTGTATCAAAAGAAAGATCCACGTGTGTTAGCTGAGTTCACACATCACAAACAAGTTTATGAGAATGCTTCTGTCTAGTTTTTATTTGAAGATATTTACTTTCTCATCATAGACCTGAAAGCTGTCCTATTGTTCACTTCAGATACTACAGAAAGAGTGTTTCAAAACTGCTGTACGAAAGGGAATGTTCAACTCTGTGACTTGAATGCACACATCACAAAGAAGTTTCTGAGGATGCTGCTGTCTACTTTTTATACGTAATCCCGTTTCCAACGAAATCCTCTAAGCTATCCAAATATCCACTTGCAGATTCCACAGAAAGACTGTTTCAAAACTGCTCTGTCAATAGAAAGGTTCAACTCTGTTAGCTGCGTGCATATATCCCAAAGAAGATTCTGAGATTGCTTCTGTCTAGTTTTTATGGGAAGATATTTCCCTTTTCACCGTAGGTGTCAAGGCGCTCCAAATGTCCACTTCCAGATACTACAAAAGAGTGTTTCAAACCTACTCTGTGAAAGGGAATATTCAACTCTGTGACTTGAATGCACATATCACAAAGAAGTTTCTGAGAATGCTTCTGTCGAGATTTATATGAAGATATTCCCGTTTCCAACGAAATCCTGAAATCTATCCAAATATCCCCTCGCAGATTCTACAAAAAGAGTGTTTCAAAACTGCTCTGTAAAAAGAAAGGTTCAACTCTGTTAGTTGAGTACACACATCACAAACAAGTTTCACAGAATGCTTCTTTCTAGCTTGTACGGGAAGATATTCCCTTTATCACCATGGGCCTCCAACCGTCCGAAACTTCCACTTCCATATACTACAAAAAGAGCGTTTCAAACCTGCTCTATGAAAGGCAATGTTCAACTCTGTGACTTGAATGCAGACATCACAGAGCAGTTTCTGAGAATGCTTCTGTCTAGATTTTTTAGGAAGATATTCCCGTTTCCAACGAAATCTTCACAGCTATCCAAATATCCACTTGCAGATTCTACAAAAAGAGTGTATCAAAACTGCTCTGTCAAAAGGAAGGTTCTTCTCTGTTAGGTGAGTGCATACGTCATAAAGGAGTTTCTGAGAATGTTTCTGTCTAGTGGTTATGGGAAGATATTTGCTTTTTCACCGTAGGCCTCAGAGCGCTCCAAATATCCACTTGCACATACGACAAAAAGAGTGCTTCAAAGCTGCTCTCTGAAACGGAATGTTCAACTCTATGAGTTGAATGCAAACATGACAAAGACGTTTCCGCGAATGCTTCTGTCTAGATTTGATATGAAGATATTCCCGTTTCCAACGAAATGTTCAAATCTATCCAAATGTCCACTTGCAGATTCAACAAAAAGTGTTTTTCAGAACTGCTCTATCAAAAGAAAGATGCACCTCTGTTAGCTGAGTTCACACATCACAAACAAGTTTATGAGAATGCTTCTGTCTAGTTTTTATTTGAAGATATTTCCTTTCTCACCATAGAGCTGAAAGCTGTCCTAATGTTCACTTCCAGATACTACAGAAAGAGTGTTTCAAAACTGCTGTAAGAAAGGGAATGTTCAACTCTGTGACTTGAATGCACACATCACAAAGAAGTTTCTGAGGATGCTGCTGTCTACTTTTTATGCGTAATCCCGTTTCCAACGAAATCCTCCAAGCTATCCAAATATCCACTTGCAGATTCCACAGAAAGACTGTTTCAAAACTGCTCTGTCAATAGAAAGGTTTAACTCTGTTAGCTGCGTGCATATATCCCAAAGAAGATTCTGAGATTGCTTCTGTCTAGTTTTTATGGGAAGATATTTCCCTTTTCACCGTAGGCGTCAAGGCGCTCCAAATGTCTACTTCCAGATACTACAAAAAGAGTGTTTCAAACCTACTCTGTGAAAGGGAATATTCAACTCTGTGACTTGAATGCACATATCACAAGGAAGTTTCTGAGAATGCTTCTGTCGAGATTTTATATGAAGATATTCCCGTTTCCAACGAAATGCTGAAATCTATCCAAATATCCCCTCGCAGATTCTACAAAAAGAGTGTTTCAAAACTGCTCTGTGGAAAGAAAGGTTCAACTCTGTTAGTTGAGTACACACATCACAAACAAGTTTCACAGAATGCTTCTTTCTAGCTTGTAGGGGAAGATATTCCCTTTATCACCATGGGCCTCAAACCGTCCGAAACGTCCACTTCCATATAATACAAAAAGAGCGTTTCAAACCTGCTCTAGGAAAGGCAGTGTTCAACTCTGTGACTTGAATGCAGACATCACAGAGCAGTTTCTGAGAATGCTTCTGTCTAGATTTTATAGGAAGATATTCCCGTTTCCAACCAAATCTTCACAGCTATCCAAATATCCACTTGCAGATTCTACAAAAAGAGTGTATCAAAACTGCTCTGTCAAAAGGAAGGTTCTTCTCTGTTAGGTGAGTGCATACGTCATAAAGGAGTTTCTGAGAATGTTTCTGTCTAGTGGTTATGGGAAGATATTTGCTTTTTCACCGTAGGCCTCAGAGCGCTCCAAATATCCACTTGCACATACTACAAAAAGAGTGCCTCAAAGCTCCTCTCTGAAACGGAATGTTCAACTCTATGAGTTGAATGCAAACATCGCAAAGACGTTTCTGAGAATGCTTCTGTCTAGATTTGATATGAAGATATTCCCGTTTCCAAAGAAATCTTCAAATCTATCCAAATGTCCACTTGCAGATTCAACAAAAAGTGTTTTTCAGAACTGCTCTATCAAAAGAAAGATCCAGCTCTGTTAGCTGAGTTCACACATCACAAACAAGTTTATGAGAATGCTTCTGTCTAGTTTTTATTTGAAGATATTTCCTTTCTCACCATAGATCTGAAAGCTGTCTTAGTGTTCACTTCCAGATACTACAGAAAGAGTGTTTCAAAACTGCTGTACGAAAGGGAATGTTCAACTCTGTGACTTGAATGCACACATCACAAAGAAGTTTCTGAGGATGCTGCTGTCTACTTTTTAAACGTAATCCCTTTTCCAACGAAATCCTCCAAGCTATCCAAATATCCACTTGCAGATTCCACAGAAAGACTGTTTCAAAACTGCTCTGTCAATAGAAAGGTTCAACTCTGTTAGCTGCGTGCATATATCCCAAAGAAGATTCTGAGATTGCTTCTGTCTAGTTTTTATGGGAAGATATTTCCCTTTTCACCGTAGGTGTCAAGGCGCTCCAAATGTCCACTTCCAGATACTACAAAAAGAGTGTTTCAAACCTACTCTGTGAAAGGGAATATTCAACTCTGTGACTTGAAGGCAGATATCACAAAGAAGTTTCTGAGAATGCTTCTGTCGAGATTTTATATGAAGATATTCCCGTTTCCAAAGAAATCCTGAAATCTATCCAAATATCCCCTCGCAGATTCTACAAAAAGAGTGTTTCAAAACTGCTCTGTAAAAAGAAAGGTTCAACTCTGTTAGTTGAGTACACACCTCACAAACAAGTTTCACAGAATGCTTCCTTCTAGCTTGTAGGGGAAGATATTCCCTTTATCACCATGGGCCTCAAACCGTCCGAAACGTCCACTTCCATATACTACAAAAAGAGCGTTTCAAACCTGCTCCATGAAAGGCAATGTTCAACTCTGTGACTTGAATGCAGACATCACAGAGCAGTTTCTGAGAATGCTTCTGTCTAGATTTTATAGGAAGATATTCCCGTTTCCAACGAAATCTTCACAGCTATCCAAATATCCACTTGCAGATTCTACAAAAAGAGTGTATCAAAACTGCTCTGTCAAAAGGAAGGTTCTTTTCTGTTACGTGAGTGCATACGTCATAAAGGAGTTTCTGAGAATGTTTCTGTCTAGTGGTTATGGGAAGATATTTGCTTTTTCACCGTAGGCCTCAGAGCGCTCCAAATATCCCCTTGCACATACTACAAAAAGAGTGCTTCAAAGCTGCTCTCTGAAAGGGAATGTTCAACTCTATGAGTTGAATGCAAACATCACAAAGACGTTTCCGCGAATGCTTCTGTCTAGATTTGATATGAAGATATTCCCGTTTCCAACGAAATCTTCAAATCTATCCAAATGTCCACTTGCAGATTCAACAAAAAGTGTTTTTCAGAACTGCTCTATCAAAAGAAAGATCCACCTCTGTTAGCTGAGTTCAGACATCACAAACAAGTTTATGAGAAAGCTTCTGTCTAGTTTTTATTTGAAGATATTTCCTTTCTCACCATAGACCTGAAAGCTATCCTAATGTTCACTTCCAGATACTACCGAATGAGTGTTTCAAAACTGCTGTACGAAAGGTGATGTTCAACTCTGTGACTTGAATGCACACATCACAAAGAAGTTTCTGAGGATGCTGCTGTCTAATTTTTATACGTAATCCCGTTTCCAACGAAATCCTCCAAGCTATCCAAATATCCACTTGCAGATTCCACAGAAAGACTGTTTCAAAACTGCTATGTCAATAGAAAGGTTCAACTCTGTTAGCTCCGTGCATATATCCCAAAGAAGATTCTGAGATTACTTCTGTCTAGTTTTTATGGGAAGATATTTCCCTTTTCACCGTAGGTGTCAAGGCGCTCCAAATGTACACATCCAGATACTACAAAAAGAGTGTTTCAAACCTACTCTGTGAAAGGGAATATTCAACTCTGTGACTTGAATGCAGATATCACAAAGAAGTTTCTGGGAATGCTTCTGTCGAGATTTTGTATGAAGATATTCCCGTTTCCAATGAAATCCTGAAATCTATCCAAATTTCCCCTCGCAGATTCTACAAAAAGAGTGTTTCAAAACTGCTCTGTGAAAAGAAAGGTTCAACTCTGTTAGTTGAGTACACACATCACAAACAAGTTTCACAGAATGCTTCTTTCTAGCTTGTAGGGGAAGATATTCCCTTTATCAACATGGGCCTCAAACCGTCCGAAAAGTCCACTTCCATATACTACAAAAAGAGCGTTTCAAACCTGCTCTATGAAAGGCAATGTTCAACTCTGTGACTTGAATGCAGACATCACAGAGCAGTTTCTGAGAATGCTTCTGTATAGATTTTATAGGAAGATATTCCCGTTTCCAACGAAATCTTCACAGCTATCCAAATATCCACTTGCAGATTCTACAAAAAGAGTGTATCAAAACTGCTCTGTCAAAAGGAAGGTTCTTTTCTGTTAGGTGAGTGCATACGTCATAAAGGAGTTTCTGAGAATGCTTCTCTCTAGTGGTTATGGGAAGATATTTGCTTTTTCACCGAAGGCCTCAGAGCGCTCCAAATATCCACTTTCACATACTACAAAATGAGTGCCTCAAAGCTGCTCTCTGAAACGGAATGTTCAACTCTATGAGTTGAATGCAAACATCACAAAGACGTGTCCGAGAATGCTTCTGTCTAGATTTGATATGAAGATATTCCCGTTTCCAAAGAAATCTTCAAATCTATCCAAATGTCCACTTGCAGATTCAACAAAAAGTGTTTTTCAGAACTGCTCTATCAAAAGAAAGATCCACGGCTCTTATCTGAGTTCACACATCACGAACAAGTTTATGAGAATGCTTCTGTCTAGTTTTTATTTGAAGATATTTCCTTTCTCACCATAGACCTGAAAGCTGTCCTAATGTTCACTTCCAGATGCTACAGAAAGAGTGTTTCAAAACTGCTGTACGAAAGGGAATGTTCAACTCTGTGACTTGAATGCACACATCACAACGAAGTTTCTGAGGATGCTGCTGTCTACTTTTTATGCGTAATCCCGTTTCCAACGAAATCCTCCAAGCTATCCAAATATCCACTTGCAGATTCCACAGAAAGACTGTTTCAAAACTGCTCTGTCAATAGAAAGGTTCAACTCTGTTAGCTGCGTGCTTATATCCCAAAGAAGATTCTGAGATTGCTTCTGTCTAGTTTTTATGGGAAGATATTTCCCTTTTCACCGTAGGTGTCAAGGCGCTCCAAATGTCCACTTCCAGATACTACAAAAAGAGTGTTTCAAACCTACTCTGTGAAAGCGAATATTCAACTCTGTGACTTAAATGCAGATATCACAATGAAGTTTCTGAGAATGCTTCTGTCGAGATTTTATATGAAGATATTCCCGTTTCCAACAAAATCCTGAAATCTATCCAAATATCCCCTCGCAGATTCTACAAAAAGAGTGTTTCAAAACTGCTCTGTAAAAAGAAAGGTTCAACTCTGTTAGTTGAGTACACACATCACAAACAAGTTTCACAGAATGCTTCTTTCTAGCTTGTAGGGGAAGTTATTCCCTTTATCACCATGGGCCTCAAACCGTCCGAAACGTCCACTTCCATATACTACAAAAAGAGCGTTTCAAACCTGCTCTATGAAAGGCAATGTTCAACTCTGTGACTTGAATGTAGACTTCACAGAGCAGTTTCTGAGAATGCTTCTGTCTAGATTTTATAGGAAGATATTCCCGTTTCCAACGAAATCTTCACAGCTATCCAAATATCCACTTGCAGATTCCACAAAAAGAGTGTATCAAAAATGCTCTGTCAAAAGGAAGGTTCTTCTCTTTTAGTTGAGTACATACGCCATAAAGGAGTTTCTGAGAATGCTTCTGTCTAGTGGTTATGGGAAGATATTTGCTTTTTCACCGTAGGCCTCAGAGCGCTCCAAATATCCACTTGCACATATTACAAAAAGAGTGCCTCAAAGCTGCTCTCTGAAACGGAATGTTCAACTCTATGAGTTGAATGCAAACATCGCAAAGACGTTTCTGAGAATGCTTCTGTCTAGATTTGATATGAAGATATTCCCGTTTCCAACGAAATCTTCAAATCTATCCAAATGTCCACTTGCAGATTCAACAAAAAGTGTTTTTCAGAACTGCTCTATCAAAAGAAAGATCCACGTGTGTTAGCTGAGTACACACATTACGAACAAGTTTATGAGAATGCTTCTGTCTAGTTTTTATTTGAAGATATTTCCTTTCTCACCATAGTCCTGAAAGCTGTCCTAATGTTCACTTCCAGGTACTACAGAAAGAGTGTTTCAAAACTGCTGTACGAAAGGGAATGTTCAACTCTGTGACTTGAATGCACACATCACAAAGAAGTTTCTGAGGATGCTGCTGTCTACTTTTTATACTTAATCCCGTTTCCAACGAAATCCTCCAAGCTATCCAAATATCCACTTGCAAATTCCACAGAAAGACTGTTTCAAAACTGCTCTGTCAATAGAAAGGTTCAACTCTGTTAGCTGCGTGCATATATCCCAAAGAAGATTCTGAGATTGCTTCTGTCTAGTTTTCATGAGAAGATATTTCCCTTTTCACCGTAGGCGTCAAGGCGCTCCAAATGTCCACTTCCAGATACTACAAAAAGAGTGTTTCAAACCTACTCTGTGAAAGGGAATATTCAACTCTGTGACTTGAATGCACATATCACAAAGAAGTTTCTGAGAATGCTTCTGTCGAGATTTTATATGAAGATATTCCCGTTTCCAACGAAATCCTGAAATCTATCCAAATATCCCCTCGCAGATTCTACAAAAAGAGTGTTGCAAAACTGCTCTGTAAAAGGAAAGGTTCAACCCTGTTAGTTGAGTACACACATCACAAACAAGTTTCACAGAATGCTTCTTTCTAGCTTGTAGGGAAAGATATTCCCTTTATCACCATGGGCCTCAAACCGTCCGAAACGTCCACTTCCATATACTACAAAAAGAGCGTTTCAAACCTGCTGTAGGAAAAGCAATGTTCAACTCTGTGACTTGAATGCAGACATCACAGAGCAGTTTCTGAGAATGCTTCTGTCTAGATTTTATAGGAAGATATTCCCGTTTCCAACGAAATCTTCGCAGCTATCCAAATATCCACTTGCAGATTCTACAAAAAGAGTGTATCAAAACTGCTCTGTCAAAAGGAAGGTTCTTCTCTGTTAGGTGAGTGCATACGTCATAAAGGAGTTTCTGACAATGTTTCTGTCTAGTGGTTATGGGAAGATATTTGCTTTTTCACCTTAGGCCTCAGAGCACTCCAAATATCCCCTTGCACATCCTACAAAAAGAGTGCTTCAAAGCTGCTCTCTGAAAGGGAATGTTCAACTCTATGAGTTGAATGCAAACATCACAAAGACGTTTCTGGGAATGCTTCTGTCTAGATTTGATATGAAGATATTCCCGTTTC
This sequence comes from Homo sapiens, assembly GCF_000001405.40. Taxonomy (NCBI): domain Eukaryota; kingdom Metazoa; phylum Chordata; class Mammalia; order Primates; family Hominidae; genus Homo; species Homo sapiens. Next base: position 17,007,159 of record NC_000014.9, on the reverse strand, counting down.
CAAAGAAATCTTCAAATCTATCCAAATGTCCACTTGCAGATTCAACAAAAAGTGTTTTTCAGAACTGCTCTATCAAAAGAAAGATCCACCTCTGTTAGCTGTGTTAACACATCACAAACAAGTTTATGAGAATGCTTCTGTCTAGTTTTTATTTGAAGATATTTCCCTTCTCACCATAGACCTGAAAGCTGTCCTAATGTTCACTTCCAGATACTACAGAAAGAGTGTTTCAAAACTGCTGTACGAAAGGGAATGTTCAACTCTGTGACTTGAATGCACACATCACAAAGAAGTTTCTGAGGATGCTGCTGTCTACTTTTTATACGTAATCCCATTTCCAAAGAAATCCTCCAAGCTATCCAAATATCCACTTGCAGATTCCACAGAAAGACTGTTTCAAAACTGCTCTGTCAATAGAAAGGTTCAACTCTGTTAGTTGCGTGCATATATCCCAAAGAAGATTCTGAGATTGCTTCTGTCTAGTTTTTATGGGAAGCATATTTCCCTTTTCACCGTAGGTGTCAAGGCGCTCCAAATGTCCACTTCCAGATACTACAAAAAGAGTGTTTCAAACCTACTCTGTGAAAGGGAATATTCAACTCTGTGACTTGAATGCAGATATCACAAAGAAGTTTCTGAGAATGCTTCTGTCGAGATTTTACATGAAGATATTCCCGTTTCCAACGAAATCCTGAAATCTATCCAAATATCCCCTCGCAGATTCTACAAAAAGAGTGTTTCAAAACTGCTCTGTAAAAAGAAAGGTTCAACTCTGTTAGTTGAGTACACACATCACAAACAAGTTTCACAGAATGCTTCTTTCTAGCTTGTAGGGGAAGATATTCCCTTTATCACCATGGGCCTCAAACCGTCCGAAACGTCCACTTCCATATACTACAAAAAGAGCGTTTCAAACCTGCTCTAGGAAAGGCAATGTTCAACTCTGTGACTTGAATGCAGACATCACAGAGTAGTTTCTGAGAATGCTTCTGTCTAGATTTTATAGGAAGATATTCCCGTTTCCAACGAAATCTTCACAGCTATCCAAATATCCACTTGCAGATTCTACAAAAAGAGTGTATCAAAACTGCTCTGTCAAAAGGAAGGTTCTTCTCTGTTAGGTGAGTGCACACGTCATACAGGAGTTTCTGAGAATGTTTCTGTCTAGTGGTTATGGGAAGATATTTGCTTTTTCACCGTAGGCCTCAGAGCGCTCCAAATATCCACTTGCACATACTACAAAAAGAGTGTTTCAAAGCTGCTCTGTGAAAGGGAATGTTCAACTCTATGAGTTGAATGCAAACATCACAAAGACGTTTCTGAGAATGCTTCTGTCAAAATTTGATATGAAGATATTCCCGTTTCCAACGAAATCTTCAAATCTATCCAAATGTCCACTTGCAGATTCAACAAAAAGTGTTTTTCAGAACTGCTCTATCAAAAGAAAGATCCACCTCTGTTAGCAGAGTTCACACATCACAAACAAGTTTATGAGAATGCTTCTGTCTAGTTTTTATTTGAAGATATATCCTTTCTCACCATAGACCTGAAAGCTGTCCTAATGTTCACTTCCAGATACTACAGAAAGAGTGTTTCAAAACTGCTGTACGAAAGGGAATGTTCAACTCTGTGACTTGAATGCACACATCACAAAGAAGTTTCTGAGGATGCTGCTGTCTACTTTTTATATGTAATCCCGTTTCCAACGAAATCCTCCAAGCTATCCAAATATCCACTTGCAGATTCCACAGAAAGACTGTTTCAAAACTGCTCTGTCAATAGAACGGTTCAACTCTGTTAGCTGCGTGCATATATCCCAAAGAAGATTCTGAGATTGCTTCTGTCTAGTTTTTATGGGAAGATATTTCCCTTTTCACCTTAGGCGTCAAGGCGCTCCAAATATCCACTTCCAGATACTACAAAAAGAGTGTTTCAAACCTACTCTGTGAAAGGGAATATTCAAACCTGTGACTTGAATGCACATATCACAAAGAAGTTTCTGAGAATGCTTCTGTCGAGATTTTATATGAAGATATTCCCGTTTCCAACGAAATCCTGAAATCTATCCAAATATCCCCTCGCAGATTCTACAAAAAGAGTGTTTCAAAACTGCTCTGTAAAAAGAAAGGTTCAACTCTGTTAGTTGAGTACACACATCAAAAACAAGTTTCACAGAATGCTTCTTTCTAGCTTGTAGGGGAAGATATTCCCTTTATCACCATGGGCCTCAAACCGTCCGAAACGTCCACTTCCATATACTACAAAAAGAGCGTTTCAAACCTGCTCTATGAAAGGCAATGTTCAACTCTGTGACTTGAATACAGACATCGCAGAGCAGTTCCCTGAGAATGCTTCTGTCTAGATTTTATAAGAAGATATTCCCGTTTCCAACGAAATCTTCACAGCTATCCAAATATCCACTTGCAGATTCTACAAAAAGAGTGTATCAAAACTGCTCAGTCAAAAGGAAGGTTCTTCTCTGTTAGGTGAGTGCATACGTCATAAAGGAGTTTCTGAGAATGTTTCTGTCTAGTGGTTATGGGAAGATATTTGCTTTTTCACCGTAGGCCTCAGAGCGCTCCAAATATCCACTTGCACATACTACAAAAAGAGTGTTTCAAAGCTGCTCTCTGAAAGGGAATGTTCAACTCTATGAGTTGAATGCAAACATCACAAAGACGTTTCTGAGAATGCTTCTCTGTCTAGATTTG